>NC_000006.12:165070790-165385865 GCF_000001405.40 Homo sapiens | reverse complement strand
GTTTGAAAACAAATTTATATGTTCGATTGACCAAATCCCTTCAATTTGAGCTACGCCCAGAGAGAAATAATATTGGGGCCATAAACAGACAACCCAATCTACATGGGCAGGAACATTCAGGGAAGAGTGTCTTCCTCTTCGGAAAATTTCTGTACACTTGGCTGATTTTGCAGTAATCCTCATGATACTTCTCTGAGTGTTTTTTTGGATTCATCTAACTGGTCCCTGAAATCCAATTTAATAACAAACATACTTACTGAGCACCTTCTATTTGCCAACAACTGTTTTAGGCACTGGGGATATAGTGATAAACAGAGCAACCACAAATCCCTGTCCTCTGGAACTCACCGTCAGAGTGAGGAAGGCCTGAGTCCCCTGACTTCTGCCCTTATGTTGTTCTTCTCATTGGCCCACCACCTGGCACACCTGTGGCTCTGACAGTGGTGCCCTGAGGACTCTCGTACCCATGTAATTCTGCCTAGTGCTCAATAGGACTTCTGCCCAAGCAGTTGAACCCTGTATTCAGTATGCCCGAATTGTGCTTGGTATTATACTTATTTAGGTGCCTTTTGTATTTTATATCTCTGTGGTGGCAATCTCATTGACCCAGGAATGCAGGCTGATGACCTTAGAGTCATCATTTTTCCCTTCTTTAGCTTTATCTTCCCATCCCTCCATCCTGTTACCACCAAGTCCTGCTGATTTTATGTTTCATCAAAAGACACCTACAAGCTTGACTAATTAAGATGCTATCCTTGGGTAACAGTTAAAAATTCCAACTTCCAGTCATTAAAATAAGAACAATATATAGTTTCATAATATGAATACCTGTGATACTTCTGTTTATCCACAAAAGACTTTTCCCATTGCTTTCTTGATCTGCATTGCCACACAGATGATTACGAGCATGGCGCTGCCCATCCTCTGGCCACACAGACAGATAGGACGTAAGCAATTTTGTGTATGATGGTTGGAAATAGTTCCTCATCAGGCATCTTCACAGGTGTGTGTTGCATATGTGGCTGCTTATTATAGTTTTGCCAACCTGAGTGCCAGCTTTCACTATGGCTGCCAGTGGTATCTACTGGATAAGCAGGGCATTCAGAAGAGTACTGCTGGCTAACACAGTGACAACAGCAAGCAAGGAGAATAATACAATAGACTTGAAAAGCTAACCTTTAGTCGCCCCCCCCCATACACACACACACACACACACACACACACACACACACACTCACTCACACATACACACACACGTTACTCATGGTAGGGAAAAGCAGGAAGTGGGTATTTGCTCACAGCTTGCCTTGACCTTGGTCACAGTGATAGGGATGCAGTAGATAATCCCGTGTTGAGTGGGCAATGGGAAGAGATTAAGTCATGAAGTAAGGGTAAATACAAGAGCATCTGCAGAGAAGGTCAGTCTGCGTTCTCATTTTTCCCTGAGCTTCCCATTGTGCCTTAATGCTGGCCATCAGGATTGTTTTCATGGTGTTTGGGGCCCGTCGCTGTGTAGAGCTCATGGTGGACATTTAGCAGACAGGAAAGTCCCTTGAGTCTCTAGTAAATGGTAATCTGGCCCCTCTGACCACTACAGCTCCCAAGTGGCAAGCACCATCCCTACTTGACATCTCGGTTTCAGCCTTCATCGTATTTTGTCTGTTTTTCCGCCTTTTCCTCCTCATCCATCACTGTTTCTCCAAGTGTTTGTGTCCCAAATCCGTCCTCCAAGTATATGTCTGAATATGTTTTTCTCCTGTTTAAAAGTCATTAGTGACTCTCTGGGGCCTCTGGAATAATTTCCTGTTTTCTTAGTGGATATACAAGTCTTTCATGAGTGGCCCCTGTCTGTTCCAGGACTACAGATCTGCTCTGCTTCTGTAGTTTCAGACCGTATCTTAACCCTGTGCCATTGGCCGGGTTCTCTCTACATGTAATTACCCCACACCCTTTCTTGTGGCCCCCCACTCAGGCATGACCTCATCCTGTAAAATTCTTTGAGTGTATCCCCACATGACTGGGGTACAGCACTGCCCCCTTTTACATAGCGCCTGAGCACCTCAAGCATACATACATCTTAGTGTTTTGTTTGTTTTTTTGTTTTTAACACTGTATTGAAGTTTTCTGTTTGTGAGTTTAGCTTCCCACTTCTTCTGAATTAGAAGCTGATGAGGAGAGTCACTGCCCCTTCTTCACCTCTGGACTCACAGGCCCACCTCTGGGGCTGTTGATATGGGCACAAGTGGAAGTGTGAAGGTAGAGCATGGGGAGGGGAAGATGCAGAGTGGGCAGAACCAGCACTCAGAGACTGAAACTGAAGCTTTACGTGAGGAAAGTGAGTAGCTGTGTCCGGTGGGGCAGAGAACTGAGACACTGAGCAGGGGAAGAAGGCAAGCAGAATGCCTTCATGTGAGCAGACTGTTTTGTGTGGACAGTCACATCCAAGAACGTAGGTGAGCTTTGTTTTCTTGCCTAAAACTTACTAGCTTACAATTAGTAATGGTAATTGAATCATTATTGCTGGAATATTAAATCAATTTATTCTGTTTACTCATAAGATATGAATGATTATTTTGAACATTGAAACTATACTTTTTCTTTGCCTTTTTTAATAGCCCATTTTGACTTTAAAAATAGTCAAAATTTTAGAAAACAGACCAATTAGGAATGATTATTCTCATTATTGAGAACATTTTCTTAATGTTCCACTAATCTTAAATTATCTGTTGCTTTTGAAATGTGATCATATTTCAGAAAGTTATCTATTTATACCAACATTTTGGGATCCCGTGACTTCTTACTACTCTTTATAGAAGCACTATTTCTGTTACTTAGCTAGAGAGTTCTTCCAATTCGTCTGCACTAGATACAATTTGCTGTTGTATATTACAATTATAGCAAAATTATTGTACTTATATTCAACACTACCTGTACTGGTAATCTAAAATATATGACAAAGTGGCTAGTTTAAATCCGTCCTTTTCTACAGCTGTGTTCTGAATAGAAAAGGTATTTGGCTATCAAATTCTCTTTTAGGCATATATTTGTTTTTTCATCTGTCTTTCCTTTTTTAACTCTGACTGTGGAAGTTGTACTGGTAGATTTTATCATCATCATCATCATCATCAATCATCACTATTATAATAGTAATCGTTTTATCATGTATTGGGTACTTACAATGAACCAGAAACTTAAATATTTTGTACATATTTTAATACAGTTTATTTTTATTATATCCCCATGAGATAGGTATTAATTTATTTTCATTTTACAGATGAGAATAATATGCATCAAGGAGGTTAAGTAATCTATTTGTCACATAACTAGTAAGTGGCAGAATGACATTAAAAGATAGAATTATTTGGCTCCAAAATCGGTGCTCTTAATTACAGTACTATAATGCTCCCTAATATGTGGTTTCATGTACTAGGTAATTAACTTTCAAAATCAGTATTCTATGTATTGTAAAGGCATTGCCATCATGAATGTTTGATGCGCTTAGTTGCATCGTTGACATTTTTTTCCAAAAGCGGTGGTTCCCTAATCCCCCAGCAGTGGACAGAATACTAACAGCCTTTAGGATCCTTATGATTAAGGGCTGGAAGGAGTGTTGAGAATCATCTATTCAAGGCAGTCCCTGGGTCATCTTTCAGCGTCAGCACCAATTTCAACATTGTTTCCATTCTCTAATATCAGATCTCAGCCACAGCATTTACATACAACCAGAGCCTCCCTGTGTGCTTCCATAGAGTTAAGAATTACATGCTGTTCACCCACGTTAAGTTTTAGAAACATTCGTGGGTGTAAAAAGTCTACTATTTCATGCTTGATTTATGCAAAATGGAATCAACTAGCTTGAATTAACATAGACTTCAAACTATGTAACTATAGTAAAATTATCAATTGGTGTATAAAAGTATTATAATGCATTATAAGGATTTATTATGTGTTAACAAATGTGAGGTTGGAGGTTTAAAGAAGATACTGTTTGTCTGCTATGCTTCATTGCTTGTATCTCCCTTCCTTATTTTCTTTAGTTTGGATAGCAGCAAAATGCTAGATTCTCTTAAAGTAAAGGGAGACGTGGCCGGGCGCGGTGGCTCACGTCTGTAATCCCAGCACTTTGGGAGGCCGATGCAGGCAGATCACGAGGTCGGGAGATGAAGAGCATCCTGGCCAACATGGTGAAACTCCGTCTCTACTAAAAATACAAAAAAAAAAAAAAAAAAAAAAATTAGCCAGGTGTGGTGGTGCGTCCCTGTAATCCCAGCTACTCTAGAGGCTGAGGCAGGAGAATCGCTTGAATCCAGGAAGCAGAGATTGTGGTGAGCAGAGATCCACTCCAGCCTGGTGACAGAGCGAGACTCTGTCTCAAAGAAAGAAAAGGGAGATATTTATTTTTTGTTTGTTCATTCATTCCCTTTACTCTTGTAAATTATTGAAGGGGACAGTAAATGAGTTAGACCTTTTTATTATAAAAGCCCTCTATGGAGCTTTTTCACCTAGTTTCCTTTAATACTGAAAAGTAATGACTCCAAAGTAGTCAGTAGAATATATACATTCTTTAAAATAAATCTTAACTTGCTTTGGGACAGTCGACACTTTTGGGACTCTGATAAAAACATGAGCTTACAGATGACATATCCAGTGTGTAGAATTGCAGTGAGTTTATAACTCTTTTGTCCCCCTACAGAATTTACAGAGCCTAGGCTAAGGAGACCCTATTTTAGAGATATTTCTTTTTAAATGTCAACAGCAGACTAGAATATTTTATATATTATAATTTAACAGGTTATGGTGATAATTATTGGTGATAAAGAGAGTAAAGCATACAAATACAAAGCACAAAATTGTATCAGCTGTGATTCCCTTCACATGACCTGCTGAAAGCAGATGTGTGCGTGAGCACCAGCCAGACATGCTGAAACATGTTCATGAAGTGGGAAATAGAGGTGACAGGCATTCAGTGTTGATGCAGGAGCTACCTGCTTCACGTGAGTTACGGTCACTTCAAAGGAAAGCAGATACCATAGCATGAATCAATATTTCCTTCTTAGAACTTTCTACAACAAAATTGAAGAGAGTCGAGCTTGGATGATTATTGAGTTCAGCCACCAGCCCAAAGCCTGAGTCCCCTCCCGTTGTCCCCATCAGTCACTAACCAGCCTATGCTCAAACGGCTCATCTCATAGCATCTCATGTACAATCCATGTGGGAACTCTGAACTAATATAAGTTTTATAATTTGAAAGTGAAGTCGTGTGTTTCAAAGTGCTTTGTAAGCTGTAGAACTTTCTACAAATGTAAGGTCTTACTACTATTATTGTCAGGAAAATAAATAACTAGACCTGAGTCCATTTGCTGCATTTATCATACAATAATTCAAATACTTCTAAGACTTTAAGAGCAAATAATATGGAACTGTTCTGATAATTGAAAACAAATGGTGCATGTACAATTTCATTTAAGAATATGAAGAGACAGTGTCTTAGTGAGATGTCTAATTTTTTAAAGAAATATGCTTCAATCATTGTGTTTTTACTGTATTTTAACTCAATAAATGTATATTAAGAAAAGTGAAATTAATTGAAAATCAACTTAGAGTAGTACTATATTGACCAATAATGAAATAATATCAAAATAATTGATGAATCTGCAAATTGACTGCATCTTAATTATCTCAAACTTTTTAGTTTCAACAAAGGGTTTTTTTCCCTCAATTACAAATAAAAACCTTAAAATTTCCACAGGAATAAATTATTATAAAGTTTTTAAAAGATTAATACACGAAGGATATTCTGAGCCAATAGAATCCAGATTACCAGTGTTCTGGTGTTGTGTAGGGTGATGATCTGCCATTCCCACCTCCCTTGGGAATAGAAGATGGTCCTAGAATTGTCGTAGCTTCAGTGATTTGTGTTGTAGGGAAAGGTACTCTTGCCCTTAGAGTTTTTAATGTGTTTGAATAAACATTTTATTGAGGTTGTAGGACATTTTCTTCTAGGATACAGAGAAATATATTACTGTCTATTAAGCATGTTTTGGTATGTTACAACCTGAAGTGGACAAGGATATAGATGCCTTTTTTAGCCCATTAAGGTTCTAGTATAATACAAAAATTACTGAAGTTTTTAATTAGCTTAAGAGGAAAAGTCTTTAACTTAAATATTTTACATTTTCAAGTTTTTTTAAACTATTAGAAATATCCAAGAACTAGATATATTTAAATCACTGGGGTTTTATGGTAGTAAATGATGTTATTATAGTTGCAATAGTTTATTTAAGTGGTAGCTTCATTGTTTCTGTAGCTTAAAGAGAAACCAAAACGCAGTTTTCGTTAGTCATTTCTAACTATTCAAAAAAAACAAAAGTTACCCCAAAACCTTTCATTAGTGTGCCAGATGTCATTGACTGACTATATAGTTTCAAATAACTAAAAATGTCATAAGATTAGAGCTTGTGCTTGTTATTGGTGGTTTTTATTTGTATTTTTTCCCTAGTTGGAAGGGCACAATATCTTCTCCACTCTGAGCTCCAGTGAATATGAGCAGGTGCTTGAGATCATCCGCAAAGCCATCATTGCCACAGACCTTGCTTTATACTTTGGAAACAGGAAGCAGTTGGAAGAGATGTACCAGACCGGATCACTAAACCTTAATAATCAATCACATAGGTAAAAATAATTTTTAAAAGCTTAGAAGCCCAGAAAGTGTTATCTGGAATAAATTGATACTTAAGAAATGTAATGTGGCGTAAGCTTATATTTGAAAGAAGGAATGTAAAAAATTTACATGTTTTTCACTTTATGTACATCTTGTTTATATTTACTTTAGATGCTTTGTTGTTTGACAAGATTGCTGGCAATGTCTAGTGAGGATAATCAAAATACAGATTGGAAGTTACACTAATCACACAGGGATTGGCAACTTTCAAAGGAAAGGCTGGAATGATGTTTCTCCAAGAGGTCCCTTCTTGCATTGATCAGCATTCAGGGTCTGGCCATTGGCCTCAGAAACTCAAGAGCAAATGAAAATGGATTCTATTTCCAGAATCCAGTCCTATTAAGCAAGCTAATGTGATTGGTGTAGAAACTGGACTCCCCTTTTATTGATCTGTAATTGTATTAGGCAGTCACAAGGGTCAGAATATTGGCATCCCATGGGGTAGAAAGCCAAGTAGCAATGAAAAGTTTATTTGGTGAACATGGAATTACAACAAGGAGGATTAGATAAATTAGATATCCTAATGGAATCAGGCTAAATTAGTCTGATGCCCTTTTGTTTTTGAGGATGGGTGTCTTGCCTAGTGGATTCAGAAATAGGTCAGGTATGTTCTTTATGAACCTGTTCACCCATCTGTATATTAGATCAAAGTTCATTGGCTAACCTGCCATCTCCCCTTGACAATTTGTAGTGGTAACACTAGCTTTTATTTCTGTGGCTTTCCTGTTCCTGTTTGCATGTCTGACCAACTTCTGCTTAAGTGAGGACATCTTTATCCCTAGGCTGGTGAGCACTTACTTACTGCTTCTTTGCCACTCTTGCTGAATTTGGATTTATACTTTTTGTTCAGGTGTTCTGTATATCTCCTCTGTGATTCATTAAGTACTGATCCTACATTTTGTTCTTTGGGACAGACTGTTTTAAAGTTCTTAGAAATAATTCACTATTCTCTCAGGTACACCAAATACAAAATGTTGGTTTTACAAATGACTATAGATATCTAATAAAGTTTACCTCTTCAAGAATAAGTACCATTTGTATAATGATATTGATGCTTTTGGATAAGCAGCAGTTATTTGTGATTCAACTTACCTTCAAACTGGATGGATCCAGATTTTGTAGAGCTTGAAACTGATACAATTTAGGGAACCTTATTTAAGAAAAACAATACAAAGATATCTTATTTTCACACATGGCAGTCTGAGGACATTGCCAGGGCCTCTTCCTGGACCACAAAGAGGGATGGTATCAGGGAAAAGCCCCTAAACATCAATTAGGGTGTTCTAGCATGTCTTTCTTTTCCTTCAGCCCACATGAGAAGTGTGGTCTACAGTCTTTATGTCTCCAACAGGTTGTGTGTAGTCCTTGTTCCAAGACATGTAGAAACAGGTGTTTGTTCAGTTTTTTTTTATGGCAATCAGAAGATCAGGGAAATAGAGCCTTCATGAAATATCCCTTGGTTTCCTGAAACCCATACACTTTCTTTTTTTTCTTCTGGGGTTGTAAATAAGAATCATGTAACTAGTATCCAGCCTCTTGAATATAATCTTTTCAGCAGAATGATTACAATGATTATTATAATATAGGAAATTTAAACATTCACCTAAAAATAACAACACTTTTGGTACCCATGTACATACGTGGTAGTGGTGCATGTTTAAATAATTTTTGACATATAACTTGAAAAGCAATTAAAACAAATATGCATTGAAACATGCATTGAAAGGCAATGCATGTTTGTTTTAATAATTCAAATAATATAGAGGTATAAAAAAGAGTAATATTCTATTTTTCTGCATTCCAGTAGCAACTGTCTATTTCCTGTAATGTCATCTTAGGCATTTTTCTATGATTTTTCAAAGGTAGGGGTGTGTGTGTGCGTGTGTGCATACAGTATGTTCAAGCATAACTCAGATGTATTGTAAAAGAAATTTCATAATAAAGCAAGTCACACAAACTTTTTGGTTTCCCAGTGCATATAAAAGTTGTATTTACACCATGTGTTCTACTAAGTATGCAATAACATCATGCCTAAAAAATACACACCTTAATTTAAAAATGCTTTGTTGCTTAAAAATGCTAATGATCATCTAAGACTTCAGCAAATCATAATCTTTTTACTGGTGAAGGGTCTTGCCTCAGTATTGGTGGCTTCTGACCAGGGTGGTGGTTGCAAATCATAGAACGGTAGGGATGCATGTGGCAATTTGTTTTCTTCTCCTTCTTTTTTAAAGATGGGGTCTTGTTCAGCCTGTCAACATGCAGTGGCATCATCATAGCTCACTGCAGCCTCAAACTCCTGGGCGCCAGGGATCCTCCTACCTCAACCTCCTGAGTAGCTAGGACTACAGGCACACACCACCATGCCCAGCTAATTTTTTTCATTTCTTATTTTAGAGATAGGGAATTGCTGTGTTGCCCAGGCTGGTCTCAAACTCCTGGCCTCAAGCAGTCCTCCCACCTCAGCCTCCTGAGTAACTGGGATTACAGGCCAGAGCCGCTGTGCCCAGCCTGGATGTGGCAGTTTCTTAAAATATGACGAGAGTGAAGTCTGTCACATCAATGGACTCTTCCTTTCACAGAAAATTTCTCTGCAGCTTATGACGCTGTTTGATAGCATTTCACCTGCAGTAGAACTTCCTTCAACATTAGAGTCAGTCCTCTCAGACCCTGCCCCTGCTTTGTCAAACAAGTTTATGGAATATTCTAAATCCTTTGCTGACATTTCAACCATGTTCACAGCATCTTCACCAGAAGTAGATGTCATCTCAAGAAACTTTCTTGGCTCATTCATAAGAAGCACCTCATCCGTTCAAGTTTGATCATGATTGCATCAGTCATCATTTTCAGGCTCCACTAGTTTCTACCACATCTGCAGTTTCTTCCTCCACTGAAGTCTTGAAGCTTTGACTACCTCCTGTGAATCATGAATGTTCTCAATGGCATCTAGAATGGTGAATCTTTTCCAAAAGGTTTTCAATTCACCTTTCCCACATTCATTGGAGGAATCACTGTCTATAACAGCTATATTCTTACAAGATGTATTTCTTAGATAATAGGACTTGAAGGACAAAGTTACATTTTGATCCATTAGCTACAGAATAGATGTTGTGTGAACAGGCTTGAAAATGCATTAATCATGTGCATGTCCATCAGAGCTCTTGAGTGACTTGGTTCATTGTCAATGAGCAGTAACATTTTGAAAGGAACCTTTCTTTCTGAGCAGTAAGTTTTGATAGTAGGCTTAGAATGTTCAGTATATCATGCTCTAAACAAATGTGCTGTCATTGAGGCTTTGTTGTTCCATTTATAGAGCACAGACAGAATTGACTTAGCATAATTCTTAAGGACCCTAGAATTTTTGAAATGGTAAATAATCATTGGCTTTACCCTGATGTCACCAGCTACATTAGCCCCTGACAGGAGTCAGCTCATCCTTTGAAGCTTTGGAGCTAGACATTGACTTCTCCTCTCTAGATATCAAAGTCCTAGATGTCTCTAATAGATGTTTTGTCTATACTGAAAATCTGTTATTTAGTTGAGCCACCTTCATCCGTTATCTTAGTTAGATCTTCTGAATAACCTGCTGCTTTTACATCAGCACTTGCTGCTTCAGCTTGCACTTTTTACCTTGCTTTAAACCTCTCGAACCAATCTCTGCTACTTTCATACTTTCCTTCTGCAGCATTTTCACATCTCCCAGGTGTCACAGAATTGGAGACAGTTAAGGCCTTGCTCTGGATTAGCTTTTGGCTTAAGGGAATGTTGTGGCTGGTTTGATCTTCTATCCAGATTACTAAAACTTTCTTCATATCATCAAGAACACTTGTAGCCCTTTTAATTTCCTTGAAGAATTTTTTCTTTCCATTCACAACTTGGCTGTTTGGCCCAAGAGTCCTTGCTTTCAGCCTATCTCAGCTTTAGATGTGCCTTCCTAAGTTTAGTCACTTCTAGCTTTTGATTTAAAGTGAGAGACATATGACTTTTTTTCACTTGAACAGTTAGAGGTCATTGTAGAGTTATTAATTGGCCTAATTTTAATATTACTGCTTTTAGGGAACAAGGATGTTCAAGGACAGGGAGGGAGATGGGGGAACAGCCAGTTGGTGGAGCAGTCTGAATACACACAACATTTATCAATTAAGTTCACCATCATATATGGGTGTAATTCATGGCACCCACAAATAGTTACAATGGTAACATCAAAGATCACTGATCATAGATCACTGTGACTGATACAATAAAATAATGAGAATATTTGAAATATTTTGAAAATTACCAAAATGTAACACAGAGAATCAAAGTAAGCACTTGCTGTTGGAAAAATGCTGCCGATATTGCTGTACCCAAGGTTGCCACAAAACTTCAATTTGTAAAAAAAAAAAAAAACCAAAAACATGGTATTTATGAAGCACAATCAGGCAAAATGCAATAAAACAATGTATGCCTGGAACATATATTGCCGTCAATTTATACATATATTACATTCTCAGAAAAGGCTATAGAAATTCACACTCCTTCTAACATAAAGGTGAAAACCTTTTCTCAGTAAATACGCCAGTCTCTGACCACTCACTGTATTGAAGATTTTTTTATGTTTGTTTATTACTTACTATTCTTACTTCTGTGTATTTATTCATAAATTTTGCTTATACTTTGTTGAATTGTTTACTTTTTTATATATCAGCTTTTATTCTATATTTTTGTTAAGGATATTAAAATTTTCTGTTATATATTACACATATTTCTTTACATTAGATTTTCAAAAAACTTATTCAGATTTTCTTTTGAAAACAGATTTAGTTTCAGGAGGACAAATTTTTGATCTTTTAAAGAAATCAAGTCTCATAGTAACAAATAATAATTAAAGTTTTCTTTATGTATTTTTATAGATTTAATTTTTTTATTATTATTATCATACTTCAAGTTTTAGGGTACATGTGCACAATGTGCAGGTTAGTTACATATGTATACATGTGCCATGCTGGTGTGCTGCACCCATTAATTCGTCATTTAGCATTAGGTATATCTCCTAATGCTATCCCTCCCCCCTCCCCCCACCCCACAACAGTCCCCAGAGTGTGATGTTTCCCTTCCTGTGTCCATGTGTTCTCATTGTTCAATTCCCATCTATGAGTGAGAACATGCGGTGTTTGGTTTTTTGTCCTTGCGATAGTTTACTGAGAATGATGATTCCAATTTCATCCATGTCCCTACAAAGGACATGAACTCATCATTTTTTATGGCTGCATAGTATTCCATGGTGTATATGTGCCACATTTTCTTAATCCAGTCTATCATTGTTGGACATTTGGGTTTGTTCCAAGTCTTTGCTATAGTGAATAGTGCCGCAATAAACATACATGTGCATGTGTCTTTACAGCAGCATGATTTATAGTCCTTTGGGTATATACCCAGTAATGGGATGGCTGGGTCACATGGTATTTCTAGTTCTAGATCCCTGAGGAATCGCCACACTGACTTCCACAATGGTTGAACTAGTTTACAGTCCCACCAACAGTGTAAAAGTGTTCCTATTTCTCCATATCCTCTCCAGCACCTGTTGTTTCCTGACTTTTTGATGATTGCCATTCTAACTGGTGTGAGATGGTATCTCATTGTGGTTTTGATTTGCATTTCTCTGATGGCCAGTCATGATGAGCATTTTTTCATGTGTCTTTTGGCTGCATAAATGTCTTCTTTTGAGAAGTGTCCGTTCATATCCTTTGCCCACTTTTTGATGGGGTTGTTTGTTTTTGTCTTGTAAATTTGTTTGAGTTCATTGTAGATTCTGGATATTAGCCCTTTGTCAGATGAGTAGGTTGCGAAAAATTTTCTCCCATTTTGTAGGTTGCCTGTTCACTCTGATGGTAGTTTCTTTTGCTGTGCAGAAGCTCTTTAGTTTAATTAGATCCCATTTGTCAATTTTGTCTTTTGTTGCCATTGCTTTTGGTGTTTTAGACATGAAGTCCTTGCCCATGCCTATGTCCTGAATGGTAATGCCTAGGTTTTCTTCTAGGGTTTTTATGGTTTTAGGTCTAACATTTAAGTCTTTAATCCATCTTGAATTAATTTTTATATAAGGTGTAAGGAAGGGATCCAGTTTCAGCTTTCTACATATGGCTAGCCAGTTTTCCCAGCACCATTTATTAAATAGGGAATCCTTTCCCCATTTCTTGTTTTTGTCAGGTTTGTCAAAGATCAGATGGTTGTAGATATGCAGCGTTATTTCTGAGGGCTCTCTTCTGTTCCACTGATCTGTTTCTCTGTTTTGGTACCAGTACCATGCTGTTTTGGTTACTGTAGCCTTGTAGTATACTTTGAAGTCAGGTAGCGTGATGCCTCCAGCTTTGTTCTTTTGGCTTAGGATTGACTTGGCAATGCGGGCTCTTTTTTGGTTCCATATGAACTTTAAAGTATTTTTTTCCAATTCTGTGAAGAAAGTCATTGGTAGCTTGATGGGGATGGCATTGAATCTATAAATTACCTTGGGCAGTATGGCGATTTTCACAATATTGATTCTTCCTACCCATGAGCATGGAATGTTCTTCCATTTGTGTGTATCCTCTTTTATTTCATTGAGCAGTGGTTTGTCGTTCTCCTTGAAGAGGTCCTTCACGTCCCTTGTAAGTTGGATTCCTAGGTATTTTATTCTCTTTGAAGCAACTGTGAATGGGAGTTCACTCATGATTTGGCTTTCTGTTTGTCTGTTATTGGTGTATAAGAATGCTTGTGATTTTTGTGCATTGATTTTGTATCCTGAGACTTTGCTGAAGTTGCTTATCAGCTTAAGGAGATTTTGGGCTGAGACAATGGGGTTTTCTAGATATACAATCATGTCATCTGCAAACAGGGACAATTTGATTTCCTCTTTTCCTAATTGAATACCCTTTATTTCCTTCTCCTGCCTGATTGCCCTGGCCAGAACTTCCAACACTATGTTGAATAGGAGTGGTGAGAGAGGGCATCCCTGTCTTGTGCCAGTTTTCAAAGGGAATGCTTCCAGTTTTTGCCCATTCAGTATGATATTGGCTGTGGGTTTGTCATAGATAGCTCTTATTATTTTGAGATACGTCCTATCAATACCTAATTTATTGAGAGTTTTTAGCATGAAGGGTTGTTGAATTTTGTCAAAGGCCTTTTCTGCAGCTATTGAGATAATCATGTGGTTTTTGTCTTTGGTTCTGTTTATATGCTGGATTACATTTATGGATTTGCATATATTGAACCAGCCTTGCATCCCAGGGATGAAGCTCACTTGCTCATGGTGGATAAGCTTTTTGATGTGCTGCTGGATTTGGTTTGCCAGTATTTTATTGAGGATTTTTGCATCAATGTTCATCAAGGATGTTGGTCTAAAATTCTCTTTTTTGGTTGTGTCTCTGCCCGGCTTTGGTATCAGGATGATGCTGGCCTCATAAAATGAGTTAGGGAGGATTCCCTCTTTTTCTATTGATTGGAATAGTTTCAGAAGGAATGGTACCAGTTCCTCCTTGTACTCTGGTAGAATTTGGCTGTGAATCCATCTGGTCCTGGACTCTTTTTGGTTGGTAAGCTGTTGATTATTGCCACAATTTCAGCTCCTGTTATTGGTCTATTCAGAGATTCAACTTCTTCCTGGTTTAGTCTTGGGAGAGTGTATGTGTCGAGGAATTTATCCATTTCTTCTAGATTTTCTAGTTTATTTGCGTAGAGGTGTTTGTAGTATTCTCTCATGGTAGTTTGTATTTCTGTGGGATTGGTGGCAATATGCCCTTTATCATTTTTTATTGCGTCTATTTGATTTTTCTCTTTTTTTCTTTAGTAGTCTTGCTAGCAGTCTATCAATTTTGTTGATCCTTTCAAAAAACCAGCTCCTGGATTCATTAATTTTTTGAAATGTTTTTTGTGTCTCTATTTCCTTCAGTTCTGCTCTGATTTTAGTTATTTCTTGCCTTCTGCTAGCTTTTGAATGTGTTTGCTCTTGCTTTTCTAGTTCTTTTAATTATGATGTTAGGGTGTCAATTTTGGATCTTTCCTGCTTTCTCTTGTGGGCATTTAGTGCTATAAATTTCCCTCTACACACTGCTTTGAATGTGTCCCAGAGATTCTGGTATGTTGTGTCTTTGTTCTCATTGGTTTCAGAGAACATCTTTATTTCTGCCTTCATTTCGTTATGTACCCAGTAGTCATTCAGGAGCAGGTTGTTCAGTTTCCATGTAGTTGAGCAGTTTTGAGTGAGTTTCTTAACCCTGAGTTCTAGTTTGATTGCACTGTGGTCTGAGAGACAGTTTGTTATAATTTCTGTTCTTTTACATTTGCTGAGGAGAGCTTTACTTCCAAGTATGTGGTCAATTTTGGAATAGGTGTGGTGTCGTGCTGAAAAAAATGTATATTCTGTTGATTTGGGGTGGAGAGTTCTGTAGATGTCTATTAGGTCCGCTTGGTGCAGAGCTGAGTTCAATTCCTGGGTATCCTTGTTAACTTTCTGTCTCGTTGATCTGTCTAATGTTGACAGTGGGGTGTTAAAGTCTCCCATTATTATTGTGTGGGAGTCTAAGTCTCTTTGTAGGTCACTCAGGACTTGCTTTGTGAATCTGGGTGCTCCTGTATTGGGTGCATATATATTTAGGATAGTTAGCTCTTCTTGTTGAATTGATCCCTTTACCATTATGTAATGGCCTTCTTTGTCTCTTTTGATCTTTGTTGGTTTAAAGTCTGTTTTATCCGAGACTAGGATTGCAACCCCTGCCTTTTTTTGTTTTCCATTTGCTTGGTAGATCTTCCTCCATCCTTTTATTTTGAGCCTATGTGTGTCTCTGCACGTGAGATGGGTTTCCTGAATACAGCACACTGATGGGTCTTGACTCTTTATCCAATTTGCCAGTCTGTGTCTTTTAATTGGAGCATTTAGTCCATTTACATTTAAAGTTAATATTGTTATGTGTGAATTTGATCCTGTCATTATGATGTTGGCTGGTTATTTTGCTCGTTAGTTGATGCAGTTTCTTCTTAGTCTCGATGGTCTTTACATTTTGGCATGATTTTGCAGCGGCTGTACCGGTTGTTCCTTTCCATGTTTAGTGCTTCCTTCAGGAGCTCTTGTAAGGCAGGCCTGGTGGTAACAGAATCTCTCAGCATTTGCTTGTCTGTAAAGTATTTTATTTCTCCTTCACTTTTGAAGCTTAGTTTGGCTGGATATGAAATTCTGGGTTGAAAATTCTTTTCTTTTAAGAATGTTGAATATTGGCCCCCACTCTCTTCTGGCCTGTAGGGTTTCTGCCGAGAGATTTGCTGTTAGTCTGATGGGCTTCCCTTTGTGGGTAACCCGACCTTTCTCTCTGGCTGCCCTTAACATTTTTTCCTTCATTTCAACTTTGGTGAATCTGACAATTATGTGTCTTGGAGTTGCTCTTCTCGAGGAGTATCTTTGTGGCGTTCTCTGTATTTCCTGAACCTGAACGTTGGCCTGCCTTGCTAGGTTGGGGAAGTTCTCCTGGATAATATCCTGCAGAGTGTTTTCCAACTTGGTTCCATTCTCCCCATCACTTTCAGGTACACCAATCAGACATAGATTTGGTCTTTTCACATAGTCCCATATTTCTTGGAGGCTTTGCTCATTCCTTTTTATTCTTTTTTCTCTAAACTTCCTTCTCGCTTCATTTCATTCATTTCATCTTCCATTGCTGATACCCTTTCTTCCAGTTGATCGCATCAGCTCCTGAGGCTTCTGCATTCTTCACGTAGTTCTTGAGCCTTGGTTTTCAGCTCCATCAGCTCCTTTAATCACTTCTCTGTATTGGTTATTCTAGTTATACATTCTTCTAAATTTTTTTCAAAGTTTTCAGCTTCTTTGTCTTTGGTTTGAATGTCCTCCCGTAGCTCAGAGTAATTTGATCGTCTGAAGCCTTCTGCTCTCAGCTCGTCAAAGTCATTCTCCATCCAGCTTTGTTCCGTTGCTGGTGAGGAACTGTGTTCCTTTGGAGGAGGAGAGGTGCTCTGCTTTTTAGAGTTTCCAGTTTTTCTGCTCTGTTTTTTCCCCATCTTTGTGGTTTTATCTACTTTTGGTCTTTGATGATGGTGATGTACAGATGGGTTTTTGGTGTGGATGTCCTTTCTGTTTGTTAGTTTTCCTTCTAACAGACAGGACCCTCAGCTGCAGGTCTGTTGGAGTTTGCTAGAGGTCCACTCCAGACCCTGTTTGCCTGGGTATCAGCAGCGGTGTCTGCAGAACAGTGGATTTTCGTGAACCGCGAATGCTGCTGTCTGATCGTTCCTCTGGAAGTTTTGTCTCAGAGGAGTACCGGGCCGTGTGAGGTGTCGGTCTGCCCCTACTTGGGGGTGCCTCCCAGTTAGGCTGCTCAGGGGTCAGGGGTCAGGGACCCACTTGAGGAGGCAGTCTGCCCGTTCTCAGATCTCCAGCTACGTGCTGGGAGAACCACTGCTCTCTTCAGAGCTGTCAGACAGGGACATTTAAGTCTGAAATCACTGCTTTTTAATGTACTGTTTAGTCTATTTGCATTTATAAGTTGTCTAATTATCCATTTTCTATTTTGAGCTATTTGTGTTGGGGGAGTGATATTTCATTCTATATTTGCTTTTGGTTTTTCTTGTTATACCCTTTTTAAATTTTCAAGTGGTTGTTCCTGAGTTTACAGTATGCATTTTTATTAGTCCGCTTTGAATTGATATTATTTCCATTTTGTTCAATGTGAAAAACTTTAAAATAATTCAATTTATACCTCTTTTTGTCTTTTCTGCTATAGTTATATATGTAGCTATTATTGCTGCATATGTTATACACCCCACATAGGTTGCTAATATTTAAAATTAAATAATGAATCAATTATTAAAGAATTTAAGAAATATGGGCTGGGTGTGGTGACTCACACCTTTAATCCCAGCACTTTGGGATGCCAAGCCAGGCTGATCACTTGAGGCCGGGAGTTCAAGGCCAGCCTAGCCAACATGGGGAAACCCCATCTGTAGTAAAAATACAAAAATTAGCCAGGTGTGGTGGTGCATGCCTGTAATCCCAGACACTCGGGAGGCTGAGGCAGGAAAATCGCTTGAACCCGGGAGGTAGAGGTAGCAGTGAGCCAAGACCATGCCACTGCACTCCAGTCTGGGCTACAGAGCAAGACTTCATCTCAAAAAAACAAGAAAAGAATTTAGGAAAAATAACTTTTTATATTTTTCACATGTATACCATTTCCTCTGTTTTTAATTCATTAATGTAAATCCAAATTTCCAACTTCTATCATTTCATTTGAGCCCAAATAACCTCCTTTAACATCTCTCAGTGTGTTGACAGCAGATCCTTTGAGGTGTTTTTTTGTTTTTGTTTTTTGTTTTTGTTTTTTTTTAATCTAAGAATGGCTTTATTGTGGCTTCGCTTTTTAAAGATATTTTCACTGGACTTAGAGTTCTTAGTGGGCAGATTATTTTTTCATCATTTCATAAAAGTCAGTAAATGGTCTTCTGGCCTCTGTCTTTTTTTTTTTCCCCCTCCTGAGGGGAAAAGTCAGCAGTTGTTGTTCTCCTCAGTATACTGTGATCTTTTACCCTGACCGCTTTTACAGTCATTCTTCTTGGTGTCTTCTGAGGTTTCTGGGTCTGTGGGCTGCTGATTTCAGTGAAGTTTGGAGAAGTTTCAAGCATTACATTTCTTCAGATGTTTTTTCTGCCCCATTATGTCTCTTTTCTTCTGAGACTCTGACACTTCTGTTAGACCCCTTTATACTGTGTTACAGGTTATTAAGGCTCTGTATGGTTTTTCACTGGTAATGGTTTGTGTATTTTGTTGTGATCTGTCTAATCTCACTGTTTTTTTTCCTAATATTCTGTCCAATCTGTAGTTAACCTCATGTTGTGATTTTTAGAAAATACACACAGATGCACGCACACACACACACACACACACATATGTGTGTGTGTATATATATATATGTAATATTTTCAAGTTCTGGGATTTCCTTTTCATTCATTTTTATAGCTGCTATGTTTCTCCTGAAATTCCCCATCTCTTCACCTATCTTTTCTAAATATATATTTTCCTGAAGATTCTTTAGCGTATCTGTACATTATTTAGAGATTGTTGTCTGAATTTTCACTATCTGGGTTTTCTATGAGTTTTGTCTTGTTGACTGATTTTACTCTAGACAGTGTAATACATTTTTCAGTTTCTTTACATGGCTAGTAATTTTTTTATATTTGTATATTACATAATGGGCAACAAGCTCCATTATCTTTCTGGATGCTCTTGTCTTTCTCTGAAGGTAATTAACTTTTATCCTAGTGGCCAGTTGCATTTCTCATCAATCATCCTAAATATATGAGTATGTTCCTTTAAGCTTTAGTTGGGTGGTTCCATTTCTGTTTTGGCCTTGGTGTACTCTGTCAGGGATTTGTATGAATTCCAATTTGGGGACTTCCACTTCTGTGGTTCTCCCTGCTTTCTAGGATTTCCCTCCTCAACTTGTGTGTGCTCTGACATCCCCAGACTCTCCCTTCTCAATGGGCCCTGACTTTCTTTTGGGCTGTATTTATGACATGCCCTTAGGAGAAGAGCTGTGTAAATAAGGATGTCACCCAACGTGGTCTTGCCTTTCAACGTTTAAATCTTCTTCCACTTACGCCAGTTTTTAGGTACTAGACAGCATCTTCAAGATTTGTTTTTAGTTCTATCTAGAATTTATTATTATTATTCTATGATTACCAGAATCTTAAAACTTTGTTTAGTATCTAGCCATTTCATTATATACTCTTTATCAGCTGAAAAGTTTTATTTTAGTCTCTTGGCTTTTTAAGGTATATAGTAATGTCATCTACAAATGAATAAAATTTGTTCTACTTTTCTGATGTTTGTATGTATTTTGCTTTCTGATCTGACTGCATAGCTAGAATTTACAACACAATATTAGCTTATTGTGAAGAAAGCAAGCACATTCTAATATGTGCATGACTTTAATAGACATGAGTTTAGAGTTTTAATTTTTAAGGTAGTATTTGATGTATCTTGATAAATCATGTTTATCATGTATAAGGTTTATCTGTATCCATGTTCCATGGATAGAAGGTTTTTCTCTAATTTCTTAGTGTTACTGATTTCTTATTTGATGAATAGGTTTTTAAATTTTCTAATTTTGTGCCACTCCTTAATTTCCTGAACTGTACTTTTCCATGGAATTAGTTCTTTAATAGGCTGAGGAAATAAAATTTTCTTTTTTAGCATATTTGCATGTAATCTATTAATTTTGACATATAGTTGTCTTTTTTGTACATTATAATTTGCTAGAAGCTATTGATCTTTCTTTCTGATCTGGAAGACTTTAAATAACTAATGTTAACCATTTTGGGAAGGTTCATTTAATCATTTTGGGAATTACTCATTTGTGAAACTATCCAGTCACCTTTTAAATTTTAATTTAATTTAATTCACTTTTTTGAGACCGGGTTTTCTCTGTCCCCCAGGCTTAAGTACAGTGGCACAACCACAGCTCACTGCAGCCTTGACCTCCCAGGCTCAAGGGTTCCTCCTACCTCAGTCTTTCAAGTAGCTAAATAGCTGAGACCATAGGCAAACACCATCATGCCTGGCTACATTTTTTGTCATTATTTGTTGAGATAATTTGTTGAGACAGAGTCTTGCTATGTTGCCAGTGCTGGTCTTGAACTCCAGGGCTCAAATGATCTTCCCACCCCAGCCTCCCAAAGTGCTGGGATTACAGGTATGAGCCATCATGTCCAGCCTGTCACCTTTTTAAATGAAAAATATTTAACAAACTTTCAGTGTCTTTTATGGTTTGGGGATTTGTTTTGTTTTTGCCACTTTATTCCATCTCTTGGTCAATGTATTATGCTACAAAATTATCTTTTGCCTTGAGATTTAAAACTTCATAAAAAATGTATGCACAGATTATTTTCACTTAAAATTTAATTGATATTACTAAATTTGTATTTATATCTAATTTTCAGTGTTTTACATTTTTATTTCTTCCTTTCTTATATAATCCATTTTGCCTGGGAATTTTTAATTACTCCTTTTTAATAAAACTAACTTTTATAAAATTTTTCATTTATTTGTTGTCTGTTCTTTCATTAATTTTAACTTTTATTTTTATGCTTTCACTATACTTTTGGATTTTTTTCTTGTTTCTCTGATTGAATAGTAATGAAATAATCAGATTATATGTATTATGATCTGGGCATTGACTGAACTATACCTTGCAAGTTTTGATGAAGTACTTTTCCTTAGTTTTTAGATTATTTATTTCTGCTTTTGTTTCCTTGTTGATGTAGAGGTTATTTCAAAGTAATTTTCTAATTTCGAAATACTTTGGATGTTTGCTTGTTTTTTATTTTTTATTTTGTTCCTAGAGACTTCTTTGGATTGTTGTAAAAAGAATATAACTATTAAGTTAAAATTTTATAGTTGATCAATATTTTCTTCCTGGCCAAGACAGAAAAGATGATTGTTAAAGCAACTTTATTTAGGTGTAATTACACTAATTTTAAGTTTTGGCAAATGCAACTACTAGCAGAGTCACAGTAAAGGTATAAAAAAGTCTGCCACCACTCTACCTTTTTCCAATCAAATTTCCCTACCCCAGGCATAGAAATCAATGTGTTCTTTCTTTATAGATTATATGTGTGTCTTAGTCCCTTCAGGCTATTATAACGAAATACCATAGACTGGGTGGCTTATAAAAGGTTACTTCTCACATATTTGGGGTATGAGTATTCCAGAATCAAGCTACTGGCAGTTTGAGTGTCTCAATTTGAGTGAGGGCCTGTTTTCTGGTTCCTAGAGAGCCATCTTCTAGCTGCCACCTCACTTGATGGAAGAAGGGAGGGAGCTCTCTGAGGTTTCTATTATGTGGGAACTAATCCCATTCATGAGGGCTCTACCCTCATGACATAATCACCTTCCTTCCAAAAGTCCCACCTCCAAATACTAACATGTTGGACATTAGGATTTAACATATTAATTTTAGGGGAAAGAAACATTCAGTCTATAGAAACTTGTATTATCTAGAGTTACAAATATGTAGAATAACAGTAAGTGCTTTTCTGTTACTGATCCTTCCTTCCTCTCTTCTTTCCCGATATTGTTTTCACTATTCTGGGTCTCTAGCAATTCCATGTGAATCACCTTGTCAGTTTCTAAAGAAAAGCTAGCTAGGATTCTGATGCAGAAAATGTTGAATCTGTAAATCAATTTTGGAAGTATTGCCGTCTTAACAATATTAAGTCTGTGAATATGAGATGCTTTTCCATTTACTTACTTGTTCTTTAATATTTTTCAACCATGTTTTCTAGTTTTCAAGTCCATATTTTGTACTTCTATTGTTAAATTTATTACTAAGGATTTTATTGTTTTGATAATATTGTAAGTGGAATTTTGTTAATTTTATTTTCACATTTTTTATTGTTAGTATGTAGAAATAATTGATTTTTGTACTACCGATCTTATATCTTGACACCTTAATGAACTCATTTCTTCTAATAATTTTTTGGTGCATTGCTTAGGTTTCTCTTTGTGCACACAAGGTCATGTCGTCTTCAAATAGAGATAGTTGTACAAACAATTGCATTCAGAATCTGTCATTTCTTTCTTTCTTTTCTTTTCTGTTTTTTTTTTCTTTTTTGAGACAGAGTCTCACTCAGTCGCCCAGGCTGGGAGTGCAGTGGCACGATCTCAGCTCACTGCACCCTCCTTCCCCCGGGTTCAAGCAATTCTCCTGCCTCAGCCTCCCGAGTAGCTGGGATTACAGGCACCTGCCACCATGCCTGGCTATTTTTTGTATTTTTAGTAGAGACGGGGTTTCACCATCTTGACCAGGCTGGTCTTGAACTCCTGACCTCATGGTTTACCTGCCTCAGCCTCCCAAAGTGCTGGGATTACAGGCGTGAGTCATGGCACCTGGCCCATTTCTTTCTTTTTATTTAATCATTGGTTTGGCTTATGCTGAATATCAGTGACAAGAGAAGACATCCTTTTCTTGTTTCTGATTTCAGGGGGAAAGCATCTAGTCTTTCACCATTAAGTGTGGTATTAGATATGGGTATTTTATAGATGAACTTTATCAGGTTGAGGAAGTTTCCTTCTAATTCTGATTTGTTGAGTGTTTATTTTTTTTATTGTGAATGGGTGTTGGATTTTGTCATATGCTTTATCTGCATCTATCGAGATTATCAAGCAGTTTTTGTTATTTATTCTATTAGTAAGGTGCATTAGATTAATTGATATTTAGATGTTAAACCAACCTTGCATTCCTATGATAGATATCAGGTAATAATGGTGTATAGTTGTTCTATATATTGCTGGATTTGGCTTGATGATATTTCGTTGAGGACATTAGTGCCTGTATTCATAAATTATACTGGTCTGTACTTTTCTTTTTTGTGGTATTTGTCTTATTTTGGTGTCAGGGTAACACTGGCCTCATGGAATTAGCTGGGAAGTATTCCCTCCTCTACTGTTTTTTTGGAAGAGTTTATGAAGAATTTGTATTAATTCATCTTCAAATGTATAGAATTTACCAGTGAAGTCATGTGGGTATAGATGTTTCTTTGTGGTTGTTATTTTTCCCTTTGACTGCTAATTCAGTCTTTGTACTTTTTATAGGTCTATTCACATTGACTATTTCTTCTTATGTCATATTTAGTCACTTGTGTCTTTCTAGAAATTTGTCCATTTTCAACTAACTTGTCTACTTTATTGGCATACAGTTGTTCATGGTAGTTCTTTATGATCCTTTTTATTTCTGTAAGATTGGTAGTAAAGTTCCCTTTTTCGTTTCTGTTCCTTATTAAGTTGAATCGTCTTTCTTTTTCTCCCTCTCCCTCTCTGTCTTTTCTTGGTCAGTCTAGCTTAAAAGTTTGTCAGTTTTGTTGATCTTTTCAAATAACCAGCTTTTGGTATCATTGATTTTTTTCTAATGTTTTTCTCATCCAAATTTCATGTATTTCTTTTGTAATCTTTATTTGCTTACTTCTGTTTGCTTTAGTTTTAGTTAGCTCCTCCTTTTTCAGTCTTAAGGCAGTTTAGGTTATTAATTTGAATTATTTCTTCTTTCTTAATATAGACATTCATAGCTCTAAATTTTCCTCTAACTACTGTTTAACTGCATCCCATGAGCTTTGATATATTGTGTCTTTATTTTCATACATCTCAAGGGATTTTCACATTTCCTTTTTAATTTCTTAACTTTGATACATTTGTTATTGTATTCATATTCTAGGACTGCTGTTAACAAAGTATACCACAAACCAGATGGCTTAAAACAATAGAAATTTATTTTCTCACAATTCTTAAGGCCAGAAGTCTGAAATCAAGGTACCGGCAACGTTGGTTCCTTCTGGAGGGTTCAGAAGGACAGTAAGTTCAATGTTTCTCTCCTACTTTTTAACAGATACTGGCAACTTCAGGCATTTGTAGTCTATGAGAGTATCACTCCAATCTCTGCCTCCATCATCACATGCCAGTGATGAGATACCTGTGTGTCTCTGTATTCCCCTGGTGTCTTTCCTTCTTTGTATCACTTTCCTCTTCCTATAAGGACACCAGTCATATTGTATTAAGGGCCCACACTTTTCCAATATTTCCTCATCTTAACGAATTATGTCTGGAAGAACACTATTTCTATATAAGGTCACGTTCTGAGGAACTGTCAGGACTTCAGCATATCTCTTTGAGGGACACAATTTCGTGCATAATAGTCATATGAGAATATGTTTTTAAATTTCCATAAATGTTTGAAGATTCCAAGTTTCTTTTTGTTATTGATTTAATTGTGGTCAAAGAACATACTTTATATTATTTTTATTCTTTTAAATCTAATGAGGCTTGTTTTATTTCCTGACATTTGATTTAGCCTGGGGGATGTTCCATCTGTACTCAAAAAGAATATATATTCTGTGGTGTTTGGTGGAGTGCTCTGTACATGTCTTTTAGGCCTGTTTATTGATTTCTGTACTGCTTATCTTGTATCTTGAAACCTTGATGAACGCATTTATTACTTCTAATGCTTAGGCATCTCTGTACACACATAAGATTATGTCATCTTCAAATAGAGATAGTTATACAATTCTCTTTTAATCTGTTTGCCTTTTCTTTCTATTTGATAAATGTCTGGCTTGTGCTGAATTTAAGTGGCAAGAGCAGGCATTCTTCTTGTTCCTGTTCTTTGGGGGAAAGCAAATTGTCTTTTTCCCTTAAGTAATGAACCCCCCAGTATTAAGCCTTTGATGTTGATCCTCAAAGGGGACAGCATTGGTGTACCCACAGTCACCTGGAAGGACAGTGGTTTTGGCATGTCTCTTTGACTGTCTCTTTTCCTGACCCACACCCTACTCTTAAGTTCCAACAGCCATCAGCTGGTGGCTTTATTGTTTACAACAACAGTATTTGGGGGAGACATTGCTTTACAGACAGAGTCAGTCAAATATGGGCCCTTTCAAGGCCCGTTTCCAGCACTCGGTTATTTGAGATTTGTCTCACCATAGGATGGCTCCTCCCAGCCACCTCTTCCCCAGTTTCTCCTCAGCAGTTTTTCCAAACTACAGTTGAGCCTGTATCTCCAATAAATCCATCCATGTCCTCCCAGTTGCCTCCTCCTACAACATCCACTCTTTATGGGAGTACCTCTAGGCAACTGACATTGGATGGTAGGTGATAAAGGACTGTAATCCTTGAGAAAAGTGAAACATATGAACTCCTACATTTATCCAGTTGAGGATAATTTCCTGACTCTGGGACAGGGCAGTGGAACGAAAGCAGAGCCTTATAGCAGCACTGGGTAGAATCCGGGAGATGTGGGAATTGTGCTGAGATGCCAAGAATCTGCAGAAGCTCCTCACGGGTCAGTGGCTGGGCCTGAGTTTCTCATACCTGGGGTGGAATTTCACAGGCCCTAGCAGAGCAGTTGAGAGTGCCACAGTGTGCAGAGTTAAGCATCCCACGGAGATTGTAGGGATCACACAGTATTTGGAAACAGACTTTCAGCTCATCTAGAGTAGAGAGAGCTTGTCCACACCACAGGATAGAGTATCAGCAAAGCCATATCGTGGGTATGGACCACACTGTGGAACAAAGACAATACTTGATTCTCCTAACCAAAGCGTAAACTCAAACTTCCACAGGATTGGGGAGATCCACTAGTGAAGTAACAGCCTGGCAGAAATAAACTCAAAAGGGAGACATCATGACCCAGATTTCTCATAATGGACTGTCAGAAATAGGGGTTGGCACTCTAAAGCCTCAGGCCACATCTGGTGTGCCCTGTCTGTGTGCACAGCCCACAAACTGGGATGAGTTTACGTTTGTAATGCACTGGTAAACAAAAAAGAACAGAAAAAAAAAGATATGTGACAGATGTTACATATAGCCCACCAAAATTGAAGTATTTACTATCTGGCCCTTTACTACAAATATAAAGAAGCAGGAAAATAGGACCCACAATCAAGAAGACATAAGCAGTCAGGAGAAACAGAGCCCAAGATGACTTAGATTGTGGAATTAGCAGGGAAGGACTGGAAATCAGTGACTCTAAATATGTTCAAGGTGTTAAACAAAAATTGATTTTAAGGAGTGAAAAAATGCAGAATTTTAGCAGAGAAGTGAAAATTATAAAATTGAGCCCCAAAGAAATTTGAGAATAATAAAGTACCAGGGAGAAACAACACGTAACAAACAGGGTAAAATACTACACATGATGCGTGTTTCTTGCCAGAAATCATGGAGAGCAAAAACATGGACGTATTCAAAGCACTGTCTGTTCCAAATCCTATGTCCATTAGAAACATTCTTCAAAAAAGGAGGCTGAAATAAGGACATTTTTGTGATAAATAAAAGCTGGAAGAATATGTTGTCAGCAGACAGGAATAACATGACATACTAAAGGAGAAACCTCAGAGTGATGAATTACCAGATGAAAACTCAGTCTGTAGGAAGGTAAAGTAGCAAATATGTAGATAAATAGAACATATTAACAGAATACTGTTTCTTCTATTTTTCTAAAAAATGAATGAGTGGTTCAAGCAAAAATAATACTAGGGTAAGATAGGGTTTGTATCATATGTAGTGATTAAATATGAAAACAGCACAAAGGATGAGACTATGTAGAATTATAGTTCTATATATTCTATAGTTATAAGTTTCTTACATTTGTGAAGGGTAGAGTGAAGTGTTAAGTGGAAGAACATTAATTTTCAGTAGATAAGTATGCATATTATAATCCCCAGGGAAACTGTAAAAAGAGTAAAAAAAAGAGATTTGCTCTTTTTACAGTTTCCCTAGAGATTAGAATATGCATATTTATCTACTGAAACTGTATAGCTTTTAAAAGTAGACAAAAATATTGAATAGTAAAAGTACATTTGATAAAACCACAGGGAAGCAGGACAAGAGGAGCAAAAACAGATTCAACAAATAGAAAACAAATCCCAAGATGGTACATTTGAACCTAATAAAACCAACAATTAAATTAAATATACATAGACTGAATATCTGAATTAGCCAGAAATGATCAGACCAGCTAAATAGCAAGACCGAGTTCCATGTTGTCTATGACGTATGCACTTTAAGTAGAAAGATTTGTTGAAAGCAAATGATAAAGATATACCATGGCAACAGCATTAAAAAAAAAAAACTGGTGTACCTATATTAAAATTGTACAAAATAATCTTTAAGATAGGAAACATTGCCAGATATAAAGAGGTCAAGTTTACTCTGAAATGGTCAATGTACAAAAGACATAATAAATGCAGAATGTACATGCACCTAATAACAAAGCTTCAAAAACAAACGAACAAAAAAACACAGAACTAAAAAGTAAACAAATCCAAAATCCTAGTTGGAGAGTTTTATATCCCTCCTTAAGTAACTTACAGAAGAACTATGTAAAAGTTCGCTAAGGCTAACAGAGATCTAAACGACACTATTGTGACCTAATTTGTCAATAAATTTCAAAAGATTGAAGTCTTAGGAGTATTATTTTACCACAGAGGAATTAAATTAAAAATAATGATAAGCTATCTGGAAAACCCCAACCATTTGGAAAGTAAACAGTATACTTCTAAATAACCCATGAGTCAAAAGAGACACTCCACGGGAAGTCCGAGAATACCTCAACCAGAATGACAGTGAAAACAAACTATATCAAAATCTGTAGGATGCAGCTAAAACAGTGCTGAGAGGGAAATGTATAACTTTCAATGTGTATGTTCATCAGTGATTTAAATCCTTAAGCAGCTAGAAAAAAAGAGTAAATTAAAGCCTAACTTGTGGGAAGTAAATAATCTGGATAAGAGAGCAATAAAACATAAAGCAAGCAACAGAAGGAAGATTCGAAATGCCAGTAGTTCTTTGAAAAGACTATTAAAATGGATACAATTCTGACTAATTAAGGAAAAAAAAGAAAATATTAACACCAATTGCCAATGTTGACAGTGAAAGAGGGGATAGCACTTAGATTACATTGGGATAATAAGAGAGTATTATAAATAATATGCTAATAAATTTGAAACTTAGATGAACCGGATAAATTTTTTGAGAAATCCAGCTTACTATACTTGAACCAAAAAGAACTCTGAATATTTCATTGAAGAAATCTAATCTTAAAACAAACAAACAAACAAACCACCCATCCCTCAGGACCAGGCCTCAACAGCTTCATGTGGGGTTGCTATCAAACAATCTTGCACAAAAGCTTTCCAAAAGAAGGACAAGAACCATTTCCTACCTTATTTTATGAAGGCTAAATAATCCTGATTTCCAAAGTCTGTCAAAAACATCACAAAAACAGTAAATTCAAGTTCAGTATTCCCTTTGGATCTAACTATAAAACTCATGACCATATATAACTGTAAAAGTATAACTGTAAAATTCATAACAAAATATAACATGTTCAATCACATATAACAAGATCATATGTCATAACAAGAATTTTATTGCAGGATTAGGAAACTGGCTTAACATTTCCAAAATTCACCACAACAGAATGAAGAAGAGACATCATATGATTATTACAATAGATGTAGAAAAAGCATCTGACAAAATTACACCTCCATTTATGAAGGCCAAAAATCTCAGAAAACTAGGAATACAATGGAACTTCTTTAATATTGTAAAAAGTGTATGAACACATCATAGCCCCCGTGATGATAGTTCATATATTAAGTAATACCCCCTCTGTCTAGTTCTGTAGTACTCTGAATTGGAGGTCCTAGCCAGTGAATTATAGAAAGAAATAGAAATGAAAGGCATAAAGATTTGAAAGAAAAAAGTAAATCTGACTTTATTTTTAAATTACATGCCATCTACTGAAAAACACCTAAGTCATCTCCAAAAAATGTACTAGAATTAATAAGCGAATTAAGCAAGTTTACAGGCTATGTGGTCAACATTTTTTAAAAAATCAATTATATTTTTTGTATATGAACAACTGTCTTTTCTGCAAATGGTTCTTTACCAGTTTTAGTTGGATGAGAGACCTAAATATAAGAATTAAAATTATAAAATTTCTAAAACAAAACATGGGAGAAAATCTTCATGACCTTAGGGTAGGCACAAAAATGGATGAACCTTTAAACAAATAAATGACAGATGAGACTTCATCATGCTAAAAAACAAGATCCTTAAAAGGTACCTTTAAGGAAATGAAAAGACAAGCCACATAATGTGAGAAAATATTCTCAGTATTTATGTTTGACGAAGGTATTATATAACTTTGTAAAGTCAATAATAAAACAACCCAAGAAAAAAATTATATGAAAGATTTTTACAGAATTTAAAGCCAATAAACACATGGAATTTTCTCAACATCTCTAATCATAAGGTAAAACCAGGGTGGTGTATGTACCATTATGCACCCACTAGAATGGCCAAAATTACAAAGACCAACATTATCAGTTGTTGGCAAGTGATATTGTTTGGCTGTGTCCCCACCTAAATCTCATCTCGGATTGTAATCTGCATGTGTCAAGGGAGGGGCCTGGTGAGCGGTGATTGAGTCATGGGGACAGATTTTCCCTTTGCCATTCTCATGATAGTGAATGAATTCTCACCCAGATCTGGTTGTTTGAAAGTGTGTGGCACCTCCCACTTTGCTTGCTCTCTCTCTCCTGCAGCCATATAATACTTGCTTCCCTTTCACCTTCGCCATGATTGTAAGTTTGCTGAGGCCTCCCCAGCCATGTGGAACTGTGAGTCAATTAAACCTCTTTTCTTTATAAATTACCCAGTATCAGGTAATTCTTTATAGCGGTGTGAAAATGGACTAATACAGCAAGGATGTCAAGCAGCTGAAATACTCATATATTGCTGGTAAGAGTATAGAATTTGTACAGCTGCTTTAGAAAACACCTTAGTTGTTTTGTTTTTATTTTGTTTTGTTTTAATAAAGCTGAACATGTTCTTATACTGTGTTCTAGCAGTTCACTCTCAGGTATTTTTATCCAAGAGGAATGAAAGTGTACTTTCACACACAGGCTAGGACACACATTCATAGCAACATTACTCTTAGTATATCCCACCTGGTGGCAACCTAAATGTCCAGCAACAGGGGCTAGATACACAACTTTGGACATTTAAACAATGGAATACTGTACTATTCAGCAATTTTTAAAGTTATGAACTCTGAATCATGAGACAACATGGTTGAATCACACAAATGTTAGTTTGAGCAAAGTGGTTACATACTACTATATGATACTATTGTAATGCAGTTCTACAACAGGCAAAACAATAATGTTAGTGATTGTGCTGGAATTTAAACTGGCAGTTGCTGGGGTTCGATGAGGGACATTGACTAGAAAACGAGGTTTCTGGGTGATAAAAACATTACTTGTCATCATTGGTGTGGTCATTACAGACTGCATATATTTTCATACTCACTAATATCCTTCAAATTTATGCATTTCATTCTATATAACATAACCTAAAGTATAAAAAAAGTATGATCTATAAATCTGCATTTTGTAAAATACAAAGCATTTTGTTTGAAGTATTTTGTTCTTAAGATGTCGATTACCTCAGTATCACTTTAAAGGAAATCATTAAAAGATTAATATGGAATGATCCTTAATTCACCAAGTGAGATCTTATCTCACTGTGAGGTGATTAGGAATTGATAAGCTCATGGAAGCAATCCACAGAATTCTACATTATAATGAGTAAAGTTATAATCTACTTAAGAATTAATAATGAGTTCAAAATTCACACATTTACATTGTTGTGATGGCTAATTATGTAAGGAATTGCCTAACACAAGCCATTCTTTGCTGTCATATGAGATGGACTGTGTAGAATTTGGTCACTGGAAGGCTTTTACCACCAGCGTAGAAATGCCTTCATGGCTATTGGAAACCTTTCTCTTCTCCTCACCATTTTCTAGAGTTCCTTATAACACTCGAGTTAACACAGACATCATTTCCCCTGTAACAAGGATGTGGACTCCTCCACCTGTCCTTTTCAAAGATTTGGGTTTGCTTCCCATGTTCCCTAGGTGGCACCATCTATATCTTTACAGTTGTTTCTCCCATCTGAAGTCTGCAGATGGACACTTTACCTCAGTTGTAGAAATAACTCAATTGGAATTCAGTAACTCAGTTGAACAACTGATTTGAATTATTCAAATAACTGAATTCCCATCTGTGCCGATGTGAAGATACCATCTCCAGCTTGGAGTGGCTTTTATATCTTAACTCCTTATTTTCTTGTTTGGACAATTCATGTTCAAAAGAAACAAGATTAAGTATGCTCTTAGCTGATGTCATTGGCCTTAGGACTAATGTGGTTATCCAATGGACATTTGCCTCCACTGCTGGTTGTTCTTTATTCAGGATGGCTGATGAGTTTTCTCCATACTATTCAAAAAGGATACTTCTCCAAAATTATTTTTTTCTCTGTTAAGTTACGGTCTTAAGTCAGAAATACACTTCCAGACTGCTTTTCTTCACTATACAATTTACCTTTCCTTATCAATGTGGCATCATGCCTTTACTACCAATTCATCTTTTCTTTTGGAACTTAGCTGTTATTTCTGATGTGGGCATTTATCTTAGCCTACTAATTTTCCATCTTATTTGAAACTATAATTCTTTTTTACATTAACCAATTTTATTTCTTAAAGCAATTTTAGATTCACAGAAAGATTGGGTAGAAAGTACAGAGTTCCTCTATATCCTGGTCCCCACACATGGACAACTTCCCCCACTGTTGGTATCCTGCACCAGAATAGTACATTTATTACAATTAATGAACCAACATTAAATCATCATTATCACCTAAAGTCTGTAGTTTACATTAGGATGCAGGCTTAATGATGTGTACCTTCTATGGGTCTGGACAAACGTATCCACCATTTTAGTATCATATGGAGGAATTCCACTGCCCTAAAAATCCCTTGTGCTCAGCCTATTCATTCCTCACTCTCCGCAACTCCTGGCAATCCCTGATCCTTTTACAGTCCTCATACCATTGCCTTTTCCAGAATGTCATATAGTTGGAATCATAGAGTAGTTGACTTTCAAATTGGCTTTTTCCACAAAGTAATATGCATTTAAGTTTCTTCCATGTCTTTTCATGGCTTGATAGCTCATTTCTTTTCAGCATTGAATAATATTGCATTGTGTGGATGTACCATCATTTATTTACCCATTCATCTACTGAAGGACACCACTGTTGTTTCCAAGTTTTGACAACTATTCGTAAAGCTGCCTATACATCCATGTGCAGGTTTTTGTGTAAACATAAATTTCCAACTCCTCTGGGTAAGTATTAAGGAGCATAATTACTGGGTCATATTATAAGAGTATGTCTTATGACATACTGTATGAAATACTTATGAATAATTATGAATTATTTCATAATTCTGTATGAAATATACCAGACTCTTTTCCACAATGGCTGTACCTTTTTGCATTCCCACCAGCAATGAATGAGAATTCCTCTTGCTCCATATCCAGCATTGGGCATTGTCAGTTTTCTGGATCTTGGCCTTTCTAATAGATGTGTAGTGTTATCTCATTGTCTTAATCTGCATATTTATGATGACATATGATGTGGACCATCTTTTCAAATACTTATTTGCCATCTTTATATATATTTTTAGTGAGGTGTCAGTTCATGTCTTTAGCCCTATTTTTATATTTGGGTGTTTTCTTATTGTTGAATTTTGAGGGTTCTTTGTATATTTGTGGTAACAGTCTTTGATCAGATATGCCTTTTGCCAATGTTTTCTCTCGGTCTGTGGCTTGCCTTTTTACTCTTTTGACAGTATCTTTTGCAGGGCATACATTTTTAATTTTTAATGAAGTCTAGCTTATTCTTTCATGAATCATGCCTTTGTGTTGTATTTAAAAGTCACCAAATTCTGGATGAACTAGATTTTTCTTCTATGTTATATATCTGTGTTACAGTTTTGTGTTTTATATTTAAGGTTGTGATCCATTTTGAATTAAGTTTTCTAAAGGTTCTAAGGTCTCTGTCTAGATGCATTGTGTTTTTTTTTTTCATGCAGATGTCCAGTTGTTCTGGCACCATTTGTTAAAAATGGAACTATAACTTTTAAAATGCTTGTTGTTTATGAGCTTGGTAAATATCCAACTTAGTTTCATTGGTTTTATACTTTTAATGGATCAATTTATCTGATATTGCTTGAAACTTTATAGCTAATATATGGTAATATTTCTTAGGTGATCTTTTTTGGAGATGTCAATTATAATTACTATCTTGGGTAGTTGATGGATGACAGTCAGTGGCCTCTCTCTATCCAAAATTAATACTAAAACACAGAAGGAGTGTTTATTTCATTTGGAGAAATAAATGGCAGACTTGGCCTGAGAACTCAAGTTGCCCAATGTATAGAGCCAGGCATCCTTATTTGTATTAAGAATCAATGTATTTCTGTACCATAAGTAGATAGAAAGGTGCAACTTATAAATGCATTTTCGTTTAGTGGAAAAATTAATACTTAAAGTTAATATTTTTAGAATAATTCTCAAATTGTCTGGGTGCAGTGGCTCATGCCTGTAATCCCAGCACTTTGGGAGGCCAAGGTGGGTGGATGACTTGAGGTCAGGAGTTCGAGACCAGCCTGGCTAACATGGTGAAACCCCATCTCTACTAAAAATACAAAAATTAACTGGGAGTGGTGGCAGGCACCTATAATTCCAGCTACTTGGGAGGCTGAGGCAGGAGAATTGCTTGAACCTGGGAGGCAGAGGTTGCAGTAAGCTGAGATTGCACCACTGCACTCCAGTCTGGGCATCAGAGTGAGACTCAGTCTCAAAAAAAATTCTCAAATGTTATATTTTCATTATTTATTTTATGGATATTTTGTGTTAAAATTAGAGTGACCATGCTCCACAGTTTGCCTCGATCAATCTCAGCTAACACATGTTGAGCTAAAATAATTCATAGCAGTGCTGGCTTTTACTCTCAAAACTGTATTGGCTTGAACATAAATTATGTGGCATACCATCCTTGTTGCAATGATGGAATGTCATGTAATGGAAGGAGTCACATTCTGGGCTTTTGTGTAGTGGTAAGGCCCAGAGGTATGGATAACTATGACAGTGTCTAGCACATAGTAGGTGTTCAGCAAATATTTCTCAAGTAAACAAATAATCCAAAATAGCAAGTAATTTGAATTATAGGTTGTATCATGTGGTCATATACTCATGTATGTCTTTGATTGTTGGCATTTTTTGTCCTGGTAATTTTTTTTAAAAAATTTCATTCTTTGTTTCATTCATTCTGGAGTTACATTATCTTGACTTTTGCTGGAAGTCCTAATCTTCTGACACTTGCTTCCCACCTTTTGTCCTTACCAGTGGCCCTTACCACCTACCCCTCACATTTACTATGATGTCATTAGCTATTATGCCATTTACTCATATTGACATTGTGACCACAACTGTGATTAAAGACACTAGGTATTTTTTATGATATTTTATTTTAAAAATGAAACAACCAAAGCCCAATTGTGTATAAAGTCATTGTCATGTGTGTTTCAAATGCAGATGAATAATTTGTTTACATAAGACATACAGTGCAGACTTCACAAATACCTTACACTTAATAATAATTTTTTTTAAACTTTATAAATGGCAAAGACTGACAAGTGAATTTGGGATCCTAGAAATCGATTCTTAGACAGTGTATTAGTCCGTTCTCATGCTGCTAATAAAGACATAGCCGAGACTGAGTAATTTATAAAGAAAAGAGGTTTAATTTACTCACAGTTTAGCATGGCTAGGGAGGCCTCAGAAAACTTACAATCATGATGGAAGGGGAAGCAAACACGTCCTTCTTCACATGGCAGTAGGAGGGAGATGAATGAGTGCCCAGCGAAGAGGGAAGCCCCTTACAAAACCATCAGCTCTTGTGAGAACTAACTCACTATCATGAGAAGAGGATTGGGGAAACTGCCCCCATGTTTCAATTATCTCCACCTGGTCCCTCCCATGACAAGTGAGGGTTAGGGGAACTGCAATTCAAGATGGGATTTGGGTGGGGACACAGCCAAACCATATCATTCTGCCCCTGCCCCCTTCCAGATCTCATATCCTCACAATTCAAAACACAATCCTCTACTTCCAACAGTCCCTCAAATTCTTAACTAATTCCAGTGTTAACTCAAAAGTTCAAGTCCAAAGTCTCATCTGATACAAGTCCCTCCCACCTATGAGCCTATAAAATCAGAAGCAAGTCAGTTACTTCCTAGACACAATGGGGGTACAGGCATTGGGTAAATATAGCATTCCAAATGGGAGAAATTGGCCAAAACAAAGGGGTTACATGCCCCATACAAATCCAAAATCCAGTAGGACAGCCATTAAACCTTAAAGTTCCAAAATGATATACTTCAACTCCATGTCTCACATCCAGGTCATGCTGATGCAAGAGGTGGGCTCCCACGGCCTTCGGAAGCTCTGCCCCTGTGGCTCTACAGGATACAGTTACCCTCCCGGCTGCTTGCATGGGCTGGCATTGAGTGTCTGCAGCTTTTCCAGGTGCACGATGCAAGCTGTAGGTGGATCTGCCATTCTGGAATCTGGAGGATAATGGCCCTCTTCTCACAGCTCCACAAGGCACTGCCCCAATGGGAACTCTGTGTGGGTGCTCTGACTCCACATTTCCCTTTCACACTGCCCTAGCAGGGTTCTCCATGAGGGCTCTGGCCCTGCAGCAAACTTCTGCCTGGACATCCAGGCTTTTCCATACATTCTCTGAAATCTAGGTGGAGGTTTCCAAACCTCAATTCTTGACTTCTCTGTACCCTCAGGCCCAACACCACATGTAAGCCACCAAGGCTTGGGGCTTGCACCCAGTAAAATAACAGCCTGAGCCATACATTGGCCCCTTTTCGTCACCACTGGAGTTGAAGCAGCTGGTAAACAGGGCACCATGTCCCAAGGCTGCATAGAGCAGGGGGGCCCACGAAACCATTTCTGCCCCTTGGGCCTCTGGGCTTGTGATGGGAGGAGCTGCCATGAAGGTCTTTTACGTGCCCTGGAGACATCCCCATTGTCTTGGTGATTAACACTCAGTTCTTTGTTACTTAAGCAAATTTCTGCAGCTGGCTTGAATTTCTCCCCAGAAAATTGGTTTTTCTTTTCTACCACATCATCAGGCTGCACATTTTTCAAACTTTTATGCTCTGCTTTCCCTTGAATGCTTTGCCACTTAGAAATTTCTTCCACCAGATACCCTCAATCATCTCTCTCAAGTTCAAAGTTCCACAGTTCCTAGGGCAGGGGCAACATGCCACCAGTCTCTTTGCATAGCAAGAGTGACCTTTATTCCAGTTCCCAACAAGTTCCTCATCTACATCTGAGACCACCTGGACCAGCCTGGACTTCATTGTCCTTATCACTGTCAGCATTTTGGTCAAAGCCATTCAACAAGTCTCCAGGAAGTTTCAAACCTTCCCACTTCTTCCTGTCTTCTGAGTTGTCCAAGTCTCTAGGAAATTCCAAACTTTCCCATATTTTCCTGCCTTCTGAGCCATCCAAACTCTTCTTACGTCTGCCTGTTACTCAGTTCCAAAGTCGCTTCCACAGTTTCATGTATCTTTATAGCAGCACCCAACTCTCTGCAGTATCAATTTACTGTATTAGTCTATTCTCATGCTGCTATGAAGAAATACCCAAGACTGGGTAATTTATAAAGGAAAGAGGTTTAATTGACTCACAGTTCTTCATGTCTGGGGCGGCCTCAGGAGACTTACAGTTATGACAGACGGGGAAGCTAACACATCCTTCTTCACGTGGCAGCAGGAGAGAGAAAAATGAGTGCCCAGCAAAGGGGGAAGCCCCTTATAAAACCATCAGCTCCTGTGAAAACTGAATCCCTATCACAAAACAGGAAGGGGGAAACTGCCCGCATGATTCAGTTATCTCCACCTCATCTCTCCCACAACATGTGGAGATTATGGGAACTACAATTCAAGATGAGATTTGGGTGGGGGACAACTATATCAGACAGTTTAATTCTAGCTTATGAAAGGATTTGCTAGGAACAGAAAAGAGAGAGAGAGGAAACGTAATGCAGGGCCACCAATCATCTGTGAACTGCTTGATTTCTGCACTGAAATTTCCCTTCAAAGCACTTTTCCTGACTACAACTAAAAACAAATGTCATGTCTGGAAACCAGCTCTGAACTCAAGCCAAGGGTAGGCAAAAGTAGAATTATTGTTTTTTGTTGAAATTAGCAAGCATGGTCCCATTATGGCTAAATAGAACCAGGTATAGTCTTAACTAAGAACCATTTCAGCAAATTCAGAAAAGACCATGGTGCGTTTTAAGCTATGATATCAGATAAAAGTATCCTTTTAAGTATTAAGATGACAAATATGGAAGTTGCTGGTAGTTTTTAAAATTTTTACTTTCATGTATTTCATGCAAGAACTGCCTTTCGTAAACACAAATTGTAAAGATAAACTAATTTCATAATTTGAAATGGCAGCTTAAAAATCATAATTTCTCTTATTTTTGTTATCTTTCTAAAATGAAAATGTTTATTCTCTTAGTCCCAGATAATATTTGTACCCTTCAAAAGCAATCCCTTTGCTCCACTTCCCTTGAAGTCTTTTCTTAATTTAGATGTACGTGCATGTCAAAGAAAGGGTACAGGTACGTGCACGTCAAAGAAAGGGTACAATATTAAACACTTTAACAATTCTTTGTTAATTCTTCAAATAATTCAGAAATAGAACTTGAAAAGTTCTATATTTTTACATAGCTATTGCTGTGTGCTTTGAAGAACAACAAATGTGTCTATGTGATGTGTTACCTGTTTTTTATATATATATATGCCATAATGTAGTTTCTTTAGCATTTCCCAAATGTGGCAGCAGCCTCCAGCCTTTACCTGCTGTAGGACTGTAAGTGCATAAAGGCCTCCCTCTGCCAGGAATGTTTGATGTCTCAACTGAAGAACCTGAAATGTGGGGAACTGAAATTCTAAAGCAAGATCACTAATGTTCCCATTTGGATTAAAGTTATGTATGGTACTCTGTGAGACCATGTAAAGGTTGTTAACTCTAGGAATAATACTCTGGTATTAACTTTAATAACAGCAGTTCCCTCTGTGGTAGTCATTTACCTAAGATTCATTTTCCATTCGTTTATAATTTATTTTTCTCTCTGTAATGGAGAAAAATGTATTTTTAAAAGAAGCAACTTATTTCTGTGATGGAAAAAATGTATTTTTAAAAGAAGTAACATTTAGGGTTTTATTAAGATTTTAGAACTTAAATTTAAAGTATATTTTAGTGAGATAATTACTATATCATGTTTATACTTATATGAAAGTTATTTATGTTATTGGAAACAGTAAGATTTTAAAATATTTTCTATGATTTTGAGTATGCAGCTGTTCAAATAATACTTTCAGAAAAACTGTATTATTCTTAGGCTAGTTTAATGTTTACTAAATTACTCAAAATAGGTCACATTTTGATGAAGGTATAGTAGTTATTACAGATATGATTTAAATTACTCAACCCAATGATTTAAAATCCCTTGAAAATGAGTTTAAAAGCAAGATAAAAAAAAAAGCATTAAGGTGATAATTTAGAGAAAAAAAGAATTGAACCTAGTTTCTTTTCAAATTCTATGTGTTACTTTATTTTAAAGTAAAATAATTAAAATGAGGCTAGATGACAGCTTCTAAACAAAACATCCACTGTACATCCCCCACCTTTGCTTTTTAGTTAACCGCTTGATAACACTTAACCACTCTCACAGTAATAATTAAGACTACCTCATAACAGAATTCTGGTCTTTGCTTATACATCAGTATACTTTTGAATACAGAAATTCAAAAGAAATTTCAAATAATCATTATAAAATTAGAGAATGGGTGTTTCTTCTTTTCCAACAAAATAGTATATCCTTGGCTGGCCAGGTTTACAGAGTGTGTGGCGTGGGATTGTGGGCAGTGTGGGAGGGCTGGGCTTCCTTCTTGCCCATCAGTAACTCATCTGAAGTACTACTGCAGGCTGTGTGGTCTATTTTGCCTTCCTTTGGTAAAGTTCTGTGATTCCATGATCTTCTGATGTGGGAAGAAAATCTTGAAATAGGATGGCACTTAGCAGGCAAACATGCACGCTGCGGAGAGGTGCCCGCCTCTTTGAGGTTGGAATATCTGCACCCCTGTGATAGAGCCTGTGCTCTTTATCTGCTCCACTTGATCTGGGATAATTAATACATGGCAGTCGGGGAGAAAGGAGGGAAAAGGAAACGAAGACGGGAGAGAGAAATGCCTTGTCTTTATAACTCTTATGGGTGTTAATAATTTGCATTTGGCTCTACCTCTAATGTCTGGAATCCTCCTACTCCCCCTGTCCCACTACTGTCACCATACTTCAAGCTGCCCTCACCTCTCATCTGAACTACTGTAGGGTTCTCCTAAGTGATCACTCCGAACCTGCCCTTGCCCCTTCACAGGTCTATGAGTCATCTCCACCCAGCAGACCTGAGTGATCCTCTTTAATACCTGTATCAGGCCACTCCTCTGGGAAAAGACACCAAGATTTTACCATCAAACTTGGAATAAAAGTTAAACTCCTATCTTGTCTCCAGCCTGTTTCTCCAAACTTAACTACGTTCCATGTTTCACTTCATTCACTGTGTCGCAGCCATAATGGCATTTCTTTTTGTTCCTCAAACCTGCCTTGCTTGTTTCCACATTAGGACTTCACGTGCACTCCTCTCTGCTGGACCTTCCTCCCAGATCTTCACGTGGTAGCCTCTCTTTATTGATTTATTGATTTATTGATTTTTACCCAGCACTTGCTTCATGAAAGTTTTGACCTGTTGACTGTCTGCCTTGCCCTATTAGGACATTATTACTCTGAGAAAAGGGTCTATTTGGTTCTTTGCTGTAACTGCCAGATACATGCAGGCATTCACAACTTTTGAGGATAAATGAATGTAGTTAAACCTTCTGAAATTATGTGATTAAGAATCGTTTTATCATAGGCATTGTGTTGGGCTCCTCCTTGATTGTTTTTAGCGACTAGGTTATATGATCTCAAACCAAGAGTAGGCTTAGCATGAACATGATCCTTTCACAATTGGTTATTAAAGCATATTTGGAGTTAAGGATCTACCTCAGTTAGCAGTCAGTTCTACATTCCATTCATGGATAGAAATAAAATGTTGATCCCAATTAATATTTCTGTATAGCCATGGCCATCTAACTGGTTTGGAATTGGGAGTAAAAAAATGAGTACTTACATTTACTAAAGACATTTGATGCCAAATTTCTAATCTGTTTTATTTTTTGTGCTTTGTCTAAGTAATTTTGACAGTGAAATCTAAATAACTGTTTTATAATCTTTTCAGTCCTTATATTGGCAACTTTATGTTGGGAATAATTTCCAGCAAGAAAATTGCTTTCATGTGTTTTATAATGCCCAATTCTATTGACATTTCTTTTGTTTTACAGATTTATGAAAGTTTTTTGAGATAAACCTTATTAGATTATTTCACCATGATATACGTTATTTTGGTGAATATAAATTAATAAGATTGAATTATTTTAAACATATGAAATATTTGTAAATGGTAGTTTTTCACATTCGATTTGTGTTTAAATGAATTTACCTGTTGAAAAAAAAGGTCATATATTCATTACGTTAGAAGTTCAAATCCAAAAATAAATATCTTCAAGACACAAAGTTCTTAGAAACGACCTCATTAAGAAAATCTTATAGTTTCCCTGACCACTTGTAAGGGATTTGGATCTTCACATAGCATCTGTTTGGGGTTACAGGAAGGGTATGCATAAATCTAACCAATGTTTGTAAAGTGATTTAGTCTAACCTGTAAGAGACCTGATACCCTCTTGAAATGTGCCCTTACAAAAAGCAAGGTAGTAAAACTGATGATTCCTTAAATGGGCTAAAGGAAGCGAGCTGACAGGAAATAAAGAACTCTGTGATCGATGGTATCATAAGAATCAGGGTATTCCAGGTATCCAAACATCTTAGCTTGAGCTAAGATGTGCTAAGAGCACTACTAGAGCAGAGTCTCTGCCAGATTGACAGATGGATGCTCCTAATGTGCTGTCTGCCTGGGTCAAGACAGGCTCGGGAGCTAGGGCAGGACTGTGCCCGCAGTTGGAGAATGTGGACCTAGAAGAGGTAAGGCAGTGGTTAACAGCAGGGGATTGCTTAAACTCATTCGAATTGAGATAGGAGCTAGAAGTAAGAGCATCGTCTCACTCATTACACACTTTTATATCCTTGTTGATAATTTGTCTTTTAAAATTATATAATTTGCTTTACAAAAGCTAAAGTTGTACATTAAACTGTCTTAATTACTACCACTTAATTATTCTGTTAAGTAGAGACTTCACTTAGGGTAGCCACATATCACAAGACCAAATCTATTCAAATTGCAGGGGATATGTCTTTGATTTTTTTTAAGTTATTATTTTTCTTCAAGAGGAAAGATTAAACCAAGCCATATTTAGAAAATAAAGTCAGACATGGAGCACCTAGTTATGAATGCAAGCAGCTGAAAAGGGAAAAGTCATTTTGGTTGAAAGGCTGGTGTTGAAAAGAAATATCTGCTAATGAGAAGCACAGTGTTTGGAGGCTGCATCCAGCTCACACACTTGCACGGGGAGAGTGAGGAACCAGGTTGCACAGCTACCTCCTCCTCTGGCCTTGCCACAAATTCCTGTCCCTTTAGAAAAGTCATTTCATTTCTGTGCACCTCAGACTTTGCTAATATAAAATGAAAGGATTGGGATAGATTTTCTCTTAAGACGTCTTCCCACTCTAAATTTCCAAAATTCAATGAAAATGAAAGCCTGATCCATAGCCATAAAAGTGTACCAGGGGATTTAGATGGCAGCCTAGTCAGAGCCTACATTATATTTGATTTCTTCAGTAGCATTGAGGCAACAGGAACATATGATGCACTCCTCACGGGACTTGTGATAGAAGTGACTCTTGTTCTTATGATGAAAATGACACTAATTTTTAATTCCATTTTACTGTCCTGGCTGTCACTTCTGTGTGCTCTTTAATGAAGTAATACATACTTAAACTTCACTCCTGAAATACAGAAGTCTTTCTAGTCCTTACTATAAATGTGCAAATGCTATGCTGACCAGTCTTATATTGTTGTGTTCTAGAGACCGTGTAATTGGTTTGATGATGACTGCCTGTGACCTTTGTTCTGTGACAAAACTGTGGCCCGTTACAAAATTGACGGCAAATGATATATATGCAGAATTCTGGGCTGAGGTATGTCCTTGATTCTTATATTGACATAGATAGTGAGGAGAAATAAAACGTATGGATCAATTGCTAAGAATACTTTAGTTGTTCATGTTGATAGTTATTTCAGAGAACTGTGGTGAGTCACATACTGAAGGATTTAGCACTTATGCAGATACAAAGAGAGAATGATCATTCTTTTACATATTACTTACATGTGTGTCTAATTCTCTGAGCTCAACTGAAAGAGTTTAGGAACTTACTCACTGAACAGTAGTATAACAGTTATCTTACTTAACAGCTGATCTTTTGTTCATTCATTCAATAAACATTACTGGCCATCTACTTTAGATAGGCACTGGACAAAGTACTCAGAGGGTCCCATAATACAGGATATATCCACCTGCAGTTAAAAATTCAGGAGAATAATTGTTTTGCACCATAGACATTGAGAATATGTAAATATAACCAATAGCTCACCTGCAAATTATGTGTTCTGCAGAATGTGTGGAATATTCATTCATAATACTCCTGAAACAACACGTAAATGACTTTTATTAACGCCTTTTCTTGACTGACTTATCTAATTTATCAGTGATGTGCATTGTACTGCTCAATTTGCTGATGGAATTGTATGTAAGTAAGTAGAATATCATTCTCCCATCCAAATGAGTCACGGATACCTAGGCCTTTGCATATTCAAAAACTACTCTATGAAGAAAGCTGTAAATCTTTTGAGTACCTCTTCTGGTTTGAATAAATAAAAGTAAATTTGGAGGACAAAGCAGCTGATAATTCAATCGTATATCTCATTCATACAGAAGAATGTATGTAAAACATAAACAGCAAATCATTCAGCCACAAGTTTAGTGGGAAAGGTTTATCATGTTGAATTATTTCATAATAATAAAGCCAAAGTATGTTTACTGTATGAGGATCACAGACCTTGAGTTGATTATACTCCCGGCATGATTTCTCCAGAATGCTTTACACATCGCATATGCGTGGTCTCGCATGAGCTTTTTCTTTATTTTATTGTGTATGTGTCAGAACCTAGTTACCATCAGACTCAAGTAGGAAGATTGATTTCAATGCACAGTTGACCCTTGAACAACACGGGTTTGAACTGTGTGGATCCACTTATATGTAGATATTTTTCAATAAATATATTGAAAGATTTTTTTGGAGATCTATGACAAAAATACAGAACAACATATCCTAGAAATATAAAAAATTTAAGTATGCCATAAGTGCATAAAATATATGTAGATACTAGTCGATTTTATCATTTACTACCATAAAATATACAAAAATCTATGATAAGTTAAAATTTATCAAAACTTATATACACACTTATAGACTGGAGAGAAATGTAAACAAACAGATGCCGTGTTAAATTGTAACTGCGTAAAGTTAACCATAGTACATACGGCAGTACTGTAATAATTTTGCAGCAACCTTCTTTTGCTGTTACGGTGAGCTCAAGTGTTACAAGTATCCACTTAAAATGCTGTGTTTAAAATGCTCTGTGATGCTAATTGTCTCTGAGCTATTCGTCTCTCCAGTAAATTGTGTATCACAGTAAAAAGTGATCTCTCGTGGTTCTTGCATAGTTTTCATTGTGTTTAGTGCAATACCTAAGTCCTCCGTAACACCATAGCACCTATACAGAGTTACACTAGGATGCTGGAAGTGCTCCCAAGAAGCAGAGAAAAGTCATGACATGACAAGAAAAAGTTGAGTTGCTTGATACGTTCCCTAGACTGAAGTCTGCAGCTGTGGTTGCCGCCATGTTAACATAAATGAATCCCGTGTAAGGATCGTTGCAAAAAAAGAAAAGGAAATTCATGAAGCCATCACTGCAGCTATGACAACAGGAGCAAAAACCTTGCACTGTTTGTGAAATATCTTTTTATCTCATACTAAAAATGCACGTTTTGTTCAGGTACAGGATTGCTATGAGAAAGGCATAACTATAGACTGTAATATGATTTCTATATTCTAGACAAATGTAGAAAATGTGCAGTCATTAAATGACAACTTAAAGTAAAAGGAAGGTGCAGGATTAAAAGCTGGAGAATTTAATGCCAAAATGTGACCAATATGTAATGGAGATGTTTTTCCTTTATATTATTCACTGGTTATTCAGTCCACAGATAATGATTCAGCTCTCTGCATGCTCTTAGGTGCAGCCTTCACCAACCTCAATAGTCCACAGGAAGAAGCAGGAATATATTCACCAAGTCCTGACAGTTGTTCCCAGTATCTATAAAGTCCTGTCTCTTCTCTCCATCCTCACAATCTTTCCCCTCTTCAGGTCATCACCAACTCATGCCTTGAGTACTGCAACTTTCTAACTGAATTCCTTGCCATTACCTTTTAGAATTTGTGCAAAAGTAATTAATAATGTGGTCTTTGGTGCCAGGTTGCTTGAAATTAAAATTCCGCTTTGGCACTTGGTATTTAACCTCAGGCCAGTTTATGAGATAGGGATGATAATAATTCGGATTCCATCCGTACCCTGCTTCTGATCCTCTTGTTGTAATACAGACCAAAATCATGACCTCCGTGTGGAGAGCCCCACATGGCTGGCCCCCTGCCCACTGTCTGTGCAGGCATATTCCCCATCTCAGCCCCTAGCTGCCATTTAGGTCTTTGTTCCCTGCAGTCTCTGCCTGGAGCATGCTCCTGCCCTCTGTATTCTGTGAAAGCCTCAGATTGGCTCAGCCCTCTGTTAGAGCCATGGTCTGTAGCACTGGGTTCTTTTCCTTTTTAGCATTTTTGTTTCGAGTACATATTCAAATCATCGTTTGTTTAAAAAGCTGTTTCCTTGTTGGACTTGTCAAGTCTTTGAGAGCAAGGGACTTAGTATGTCTCACTCACTTTGGATAGAGAAGCAAAAGGTTTGAGACCACTGATTTTAAATTTAAAGTGGTAACAATGGAACAGCAGCCATGCTTGAAGTGGCTTTGCTTTGTCAGGACAAGTGCTTTGGTCCTGTACATAAAAATACCTAATTATGGTGATAGTAGTTTGTTTGTAGACCCTATTTTAGCAAGTCTGGGAAGTTTCTAGGCTGTACTTCTGATTTCTAAAAACATGACCAACGTTACTAAAATAATAAAAACTATGAGGGAAGAGTGGGAAGTTAGGAAAAATACTAGGAAATCTTAAGAAGATTGTACAAGTTTTACCTTTAACAAATAAATAAAAAGCAAGATAATTTCTAAAATCTTTAAAATGGGAACAGCATATCCTAGAATATTTCATAAGGATTAAATGAAATAATATTTACAAATTACTTAGCTCAGGGCCTGCATCATAGTGAATCTTTAGTAACTATTACCTGTAACTGTAAGTGAATCTTTAGTAACTAACATAGTGAATCTTTAGTAACTATTACCTGTAAGTGAATCTTTAGTAACTAACATAGTGAATCTTTAGTAACTATTACCTGTAAGTGAATCTTTAGTAACTAACATAGTGAATCTTTAGTAACTATTACCTGTAACTGTACGTGAACCTTCAGTAACTAACATAGTTAATCTTTAGTAAGTATTACCTATAATTGTAAATTAGATGATATGTGTAGTTTGTTGTACTGCGTCTTTACTAGCACATTTTAGTCGACTGGTGATGTTTATCTTCCTCTGTAAATATTCCTCTGGAAAGCCAAACTTCACTGAGTTCCATGCACTTGGAAGATCATTTGGAAGAGAGAAGGGCCTGGAGGTTATTCCATATCTTGTTATTGTTATTTCTCCTCACTGTTTACTGTATCTCCTCTTATTATAACATTTATTTACTAACTTCTGCAAAATGAAACCAGTAATAATGGCTGGGTTTCTGGTAATTCAGTAGTGGAGAAAATCAGGATAAAGTACAAAATAATGATACATTAAGTTTTTCTTTATTTTGATGTACTTTTCTTGGGTTAACAACCACAAACATTATTTGTTTTGAAGAAAATTAAGGAATAAAGGGAATAATTCAATAATATCAAAATAGTATAGCAATTTGAAATTTGAGAAAGCATGATTTTCTCCCCATTCATCTTAGGGTGATGAAATGAAGAAATTGGGAATACAGCCTATTCCTATGATGGACAGAGACAAGAAGGATGAAGTCCCCCAAGGCCAGGTATGAATTATTAAAGTAAATTGTAATTGCTAAAGCCAAATAGTTTAAGGTGGGCATAAAATCATACATAAATGGAAAGCATGTCATCATATATTATGTTAAGGGAATGGGTTATTCCAGGCAGATCTGGTGATTAATATAGAAACTTCAGAAATTTATCTTACAAGATTGAGAACTAGAAAAAGAAAAACTGTTTACCCTGAATAATCATCTACTCAAATGAGCCTTCACTTGCTAAGACACTCAGAAAAGTAGACTCTAAAAGAGTTTATACTCTTAATCTGAGTTTGACGGCCAACTCTAACCACTGATTTTGTTCCCAAGGCTAAAAGCCACAGTGAGGAATCCTGAGGGTCTGGCTGCCTTGTGGACTGGAGGGACTTAGTGCTCAGAGGACAGAAGCTAGAACCACTTGAAACCTTCTCCATTTAGATGGAGTAAGACCAAGGTTAGGAAATCTCTGTGGACTGAAAGAATTCATACTACCTTGGCCACGACTCCTTTCTACAGCTGCCGTTGCAGTAAATAGGCTTTCTTTTCTGACTTGAAATAGAGGGGGTGGATGAATTTGAATTGTTTTATTTTTAACAAGCAGAAAATATTTTGTCATTGGCTAAACAAAGATATTTTTGGAGAGTTACATTATAGATTTTAATTCAGGTTCATTTTTTTCTGACAAATAATGCTTAGTATTTTAGTACATTTTATGTTTTGTCTCAACATAAATTGACATTAATTATCCTCTTTTCAGGTCATACTACATAATTTATTTTGCTTTTGAATGTTTTGAGAGGTCTTGTGCCTCGCTAGTTTTGCACATGTGTATGTGTGGTGTCATATATTTCTGAGAGTATGGCTTTCGTTAACTGTCTCATCTTCTAATGGCATAACAAGGAAGTTAGTTGTGGGCAAATAAATAATTATGATACAGATAAGTTTAACAAATGTTTAAAAAAGTCCACAGGATGGTGGTTTTTGATAAGTTCTCAAATTTCCCTACTTTATTTAAAATTGATTTATACAAAATTTAGACAAGTCCACAGCTCACAGAGGGTACCAGCACAACAAAGAGGCTGAATGAATGGCCATTGCCTCCACTTATGTCCCTGGCTAGGTTTTCTGATGGCATGGTCACTTTTCCCTCTTGATTAGAAATGGATCCTGAATACCTATCGTGTTTACTGCAGGTGTATTTTGAAGTTTTTGTCGCATTTTACCACTGTTCATGGAATTTTCCCATATATGGAGTCACAGCTGTTAGTCATTCCTGTTCGGTGTCTGCTTTTCATATTGTATTTGAGAAGTTCTTTCCCATCTTGAGAGTAAATATATTTGCCTATATTTTCTTTAGTTTCTTCTTGATTACTTTCCATTTGATTTATTGACTTGTTTGGAATGTATCTTGTTATATTATTTAAGATAGGGATCTACAATTTCTTTCCTTCCCAGTAGTTAACAGTCATCCCAAGAATGCATGGTATAGCTGGAAATTTCTCATTGATGCTGTCAGCATATGGGTTTTGCTCTAGTGTTTTTAACTAAGATAATCGTTTGTTTTAGAATAGTTTGATTTTCATTTACAGCCTAATAAAGGTTTAAAGAAAAATTTCTATGATCAGTTCATATTTTACCAACCATATTGCTTCTAAATAGTTGATGACTGTGAAATTATTTGCCATAATAATGAAATACTCTAATTTCTAATATTAGTATCTTTTCTGGGATCTTGTGCCCCATGACATCTGTTAAATATTAGAATAAGAAAGTCTCTGCATGAGCCATAAAGTTAAAAATGGAAATAACACAGGCGCTATTCTAGTAAGAGTGCTATGACGATAGACTTTATAACAGGAGAAAGCAAAAAGGAATAAATTTGATCCTTCTGTATGCTTCGATGCATATCACTGAAGTTCAGTACTTTCGAGAAATTGGTAAGCTGTGATTTGGGGTCACCTCTTCTAGAGAGCTATTTGTCTCGTACATGATGCAGCCACTTGGCCAGTGACTTATGACTAGACAAGCTGTGTTATCTGGCTGATAGTCACATATCTTTTACATCTGGACTTCAGTAAGCCAGTCTTATTTGCACAGTGACCCAGAATTCCTAATAAAATATTATTTATGTATTATTTAAAATACTACAGATTTTTAAACTTTGAAATGTGATATATTGGAAAAACAGTAAATGGGAAGAGCTGTGATAAAACCAATGACATTTATTTTAGTTCAAATAAGAGGGCTGGGAGGATGAGTAAATATTGGGACACCACACAAGGCACCAAAGCCAAGAGTAACAGACAAGCAGAAAGCACTGCTGTAAACCTGAGCACGAGGGCGGAAAGAGCCATATGTATGAAAGAATAGCAGGCTTTACGTTGAAGTGTCTGCAAGAAAGCACTAAAGGTGACTGGAGATAACACAGGACTTGAATGATCAACTGACTGATCTATTAGCGAAATGTCATTTAATGTACTTGGGTCTTAGATTTCAGTAGGTATTTTTTTTTTTTTTTTTTTTTTTTTGAGACGGAGTCTCGCTCTGTCGCCCAGGCCGGACTGCGGACTGCAGTGGCGCAATCTCGGCTCACTGCAAGCTCCGCTTCCCGGGTTGACGCCATTGTCCTGCCTCAGCCTCCCGAGTAGCTGGGACTACAGGCGCCTGCCACCGCGCCCAGCTAATTTTTTGTATTTTTAGTAGAGACGGGGTTTCACCTTGTTAGCCAGGATGGTCTCGATCTCCTGACCTCGTGATCCACCCGCCTCGGCCTCCCAAAGTGCTGGGATTACAGGCGTGAGCCACCGCGCCCGGCCAGATTTCAGTAGGTATTAACCTTTGTAATATGTTTTGAATCTTCATGTGTTTTATTTCTAGAATCCATTTTAATGCATTTTAAAATACAGTCTATAATAGTATTCATGGAACCCAGATATCACATACAGCAAAACTAGAACATGCAATTTTATAATTAGGCCTCAGAAACAGAACAGTCACTTAAGAAATATAAATATCACTGGAATTGCTAATGTGCACTTTTGTTTCTTGTCCGTGGTTTTTGCATGGAGGCAGCTTGGGTTCTACAATGCCGTGGCCATTCCCTGCTATACAACCCTTACCCAGATCCTCCCTCCCACGGAGCCTCTTCTGAAAGCATGCAGGTATGTACTATGGTTCAAGCCGTAAAAATATTGTTTCCAACAACACTGAGATCTGTATAGGATTTTTGTACCCCACTAGTGTGTTGTGGTCTGTGTGTTTGTCTAGATGTCGAGTTGTTGTGCTCAGGGACTCGGGGCCTCCTTACCTGGCTTCCCCAGGGCCACGACTTCTCCCCTTTGGTTCAATTCTCCTCAAAGACGAGCCTCAGGCACCTTGGGTGCTTGGGTAGCTTCTTCTGGCCACACTCTGAAGAGAGGGACAGTGGGAACAGGCTGGGGGCTGGGGCCAGACACAGTCAGGGCCCAGATGACCGAGTGACTGGGAGGGCCTCTGTCTCGGTGTGGGAGACCCTTCTCGCTTTCTTATGCCCACGTTCAGTCTGAGTGGGGTGCCAGGTCTTTCTTTGAGAAAGGGCATGTGTGTGGTTCTTGCAAGGCAGCTTGGTTTCAAGCCTAATGAGAGCTGCATCTGTGCTGAAGGGACCTTGTCCCTGGAGGTCCTCAGGCCTGGGATAGAAGCCCTTGGCCAGGCTGCCTTATTCTGCTAAGTGAGACATGGAGTCAGTCCTGCAAGAGGGGCCCCTGGCTCTCATGACTCGTACAGCCACAGTATGTCCCTATGTAGTACACTATGTATATGTGAAGAGTGTCTATTCATATCAAGTCCTTCATACACCAAAAAGGAGGAAGAAGTTTTTATTATTATTGTTATTTTGCAGAGGACCTGCCCAATGCTGTTTTTAAAAAGACAAGGTAATGGTGTCTATTGAGGATGCCTGTGCAGGAAGAGGCTGACTAGATCACACAGTTTGTTGTTTAAATGGAAGAAGGGGACCTTAAATTTTGAATAACCGCTTCCTCTTTAAGTCTTTTTCTCATTCCAGAAAGACATTTAAGCATCGTTATCTCTTCTAGATTCATTATTTCTCCCTATTCCATTCTTATCCTTTTTAAAGAGTGAACTCGGTTAAGAACCTTGGATATTTTTAAAGATTTTCATTTTACTTTATAAATTCCCTCTGAGGAAGTCAAAGGGTTATAGCCAGCAGCTGTGCGTGTGAGTCTTTTCTAGGTGAATTGGCTCCGGGCCATGTTTTAACTACTTAGCCATAGCTCTGCCTGGGGTGGGTTGGAGTGGATGCCCTGTGGGAGGACGGAGAACAGACACTGGCCAGAGAGTTTTACACAAAACCAGAAACTTAGTATACTCTTATCTTCTGCTGTTGAAATTTTTTTTCTGCTTTTTTCAAGGAAAGACCAATAAGCAATATTAAAAATTTTATATATATAATATTTAAGAAACGGTTTCTCCTTCCTTCCTGCTCCTGTGGATATAAACGTAGCATCCCACCTTGTTCTGTTGAGCCTTAATTGACCTTAATCCCTGGTTAGTTTATTAAAATCTTACCTTATTACAAAGGCCTAAGTCATAATGGGCAATATGGAGTGTGAGGCCAGATCATTCTTGAAGGAATTAGGTTATAAAAGTGTGTGCAAAATTAAAGAGAAAGTGGGATATCAATGTAAATTCAAAGATGTTGTTTAAACCAATATCTTCAAAAGTCCTTTCCTGTCCAGAAATTCTGTGTGTTTTATGCCAGGTACTTGGAAGCCAGGTCATGAGTGCTGACTGTGCATGCCCGGTGCTGTAGGGCGCTATGGAGGCGTGTGCCCGGCGCTGTAGGGCGCTATAGAGGCGCGTGCCCGGCGCTGTAGGGCGCTATGGAGGCGCGTGCCCGGCGCTGTAGGGCGCTATGGAGGCGCGTGCCCGGCGCTGTAGGGCGCTATGGAGGCGCGTGCCCGGCGCTGTAAGGCGCTATGGAGGCGCGTGCCCGGCGCTGTAGGGCGCTATGGAGGTGCCTTCCTTGTGGAGCTCTGAGAACACGGTGTCCACTGTGTGGGCAGCTCTGCCTCATTCCTGCTTCAGTATACTTGGCTGGACCACATAACTTCTTAAAGGCCATTTTAATCTTATTAACGCTTAAAAAGCGTATGATGTATCATCGGTGTCCAAGGAAACATACCAAAATTAGTGTATGGCTTTTTCCAATATATCAGAAGTCTCTAGGGTCTGGAAAAATAATACTTGATGATATGTTACAAAAGTTAAAAGGGCTACACTTTTCAGTTATATTTTAGGGTTTTGTCTATCTGAATGTGTCTTAGCATGTTTGCTAAAAGAAATTTGAGAGAATTTTAAAACTGTGTCTCATAGGAGTTTTGTATTTCCCAATGCCAAGATTCCCATGTGACTTCACACAGGAATGTGGCTAAGAGCTCTGCCAGGGTAGCCATGTAGAGTAAGATGGTTGTGCAGTGGTTGTGATCACGCAGTTAGAGAAGATGACGATGCCTGTGAAGCTTGAACCACAGACACTGAGAGAGAAAGATTAGAGGACTCGAGAAATGAGACTGCCTCGGGTGAGGACTTACCAGAGCACAAACACGGTTTTACTGTAACAAGAAAATTTCCGAAGTTTTGCCAGGTGTAACTTAGGATGACTTTGTACATACGACACACTGTTCAGAATAAGAACAAGTGTAAGATGATGAGGTTTAGGCCTCCTGGGAGATGCACTGTCGACATTTCTCAGTAGGAAGGTCCGTGTTGTCACCAAGTGTTCCTACTGCTCTGGGACCACCTCCTTTGCACGATCCCGCGTATTCCTCAGTAGTAAACCCTAGGGCTCTTTCCCTGTTCAAGTTAATCCTTCTTTCTAAGAAAGGACGTATGCTGAGCCCTAGCATTTCTGCTGCTTTCGCGGTCCAGAGCGGATGGACCAAGGTGCCCCTGACCCTCTGGCACCTCTGAATCTCTTTCCTGAACAGCCATCACAGGAACCTGCCTGGCCACGTCGTGCTGGTAACCATGTCGGAGGGCCCCACACAATGCCGTTGTGCAGAGCTGTGCCACAGGACTGTTTGGTTAGTTTTCAAGACAAAGTCCAGAAATCCTTTATTCAGCTTCTCCTGAAACTGCATCTTTTATCCCTAGGGATAATCTCAGTCAGTGGGAGAAGGTGATTCGAGGGGAGGAGACTGCAACCTGGATTTCATCCCCATCCGTGGCTCAGAAGGCAGCTGCATCTGAAGATTGAGCACTGGTCACCCTGACACGCTGTCCCACCTACAGATCCTCATCTTGCTTCTTTGACATTCTTTTCCTTTTTTTGGGGGGGGTGGGGGGAACCTGCACCTGGTAACTGGGGTGCAAACCTCTTCAAGAAGGTAACATCAAATAAATAAGTCAAGCAGAGGACTTCCTGCCAATCTCTTCTGTGAGGCATCATAGACACTGAGCAACCAGGACCACCCCCACGTTCAGAAATCAGCTGGCCAAGTGACTCCATTTGACTTGCAAACCAGCCTTTTCTAATAGGCTAATATTGCTGAGGCCTTAAAGGAAATGGACAAAAATTATCCAGAAGGGGTACTTTTCCATTGTATCTTTCTAATAAGGGTTTAAAATGGTACTATTATGGTATTGTACTTGGGCTTTAACATCAATGTTGCTTTGATGTTGTTGGATATAAATAGGAATTTTTACACATTACTATTGTGAATGGTGAATGTTCATGTATGACCTACTTGTAATTAACTTGAGTTGTAGTCCACAGCCTCAGGACAAATGTCGTTGAGGTTACAGAGTAAGAAATGATGGCAAAACGTCAAACTCTTATTTCAGAGCTTCATGAATTTAGTTAGACTAAACATAATTCTTTAAGTTCAACCTAAAGGGCTGAGATCAATAAATTTAACACTAGACGAAGTAGACTTCCTGTCTTTTTGAGAAGAGATGAGGTATATGTTACAATAAATCTCAGAACTTCAAGTAGCAGTTCAAAAGATGTCAGTTTTTAAAATTGTTTTTGTTGTTGTCTTGGCAGTTTTACTGAACCCTTTGCATAAAGAACAAAATAAAAGCTCGGCATTGTAATTTTTTTAATGGACAAGTCTTATGGATACGAAGGGTACATTTTTCATAATGATTCCTTTATATTTTCACTTTGTGTCATTGCAGAATTTTAGACTCTCATTCACAATGAAAAGTTTATTTTAAACATTGTTTAATTAAAATACCATACAGTTCTCTTTTAAACATCAAACCATAAAAAGTGTATTTTGTAATTTTACTCTGACCTGCCGCAGTCACCTCTCACTTATCTCTTCCACGTACTGCACGGTCGTATTTCATGAGCTTTCTGTCCATAGCACAGAAACAGAGCAGAAAGTAGTACAATCATGTTGGACCTTCTTTCTGTTCTCTTTACTCTTCTCACAGATCAGATCACTCCATAGAAGCCTGTGGGTTTCGATGGTTTCTTCTATACACCTTTTTGGTTGACCAGTATTACTATACAATGTAAGTGTTTTAAAAAATACGAAAGTAATACTCTGCACCCCTTCCTACAAAGATGATAAAGCAGTCACTTCTGGCGCATTTTAATAATTTAAAGATTTTTAGTGCAATGGCACGGTAACCTCCAAACCTGAATTAGACAGAGACTCACTCAGGAAGTGACAGGCCCATCATATCAAATAACTTATTCACTTTTCATGTGGCAGGAAACTGGAATATCGCTTTTAATAAAATGGAAAAATATGCTTCTACATATTTACCACCATAGGCGTTTTGTTCATATGAGCCTGGTTTGTGCAAAATTAAATCAGAGGCTTCTACAACATGGTTTATTTATGTTGTAGCAAAGTTGGCTCTACATAAACATTGTTCTTATTTTAAAATTAACACTATGTGTTCAGTTTTCTTGTGGGCTTCTGAAAGTTGCCATCTTCCCTCCGTGGAGCTCCATTTGCTATTTTCATTATACACTATGAGGTAAAATGTAATAACAAAAGAGAGAGAAGTACCACTGTGGCTAGATATATACACACACATATATATATGGATGGATGTAATATATGTAGAACACACACATAGATGTATATAGGATACACACTCATGTATGTAAACGTATACATATGTGTATATATGATACATACACATACACACACACGAGAGACAGAAGGAAAGAGAGGAAGAGAGAAGCAAACATGTAGGAAAAAATATAAATCAGCCCCATTCTCCCATTCTTTAAGAACAATGATTTTTCTTGATGGAAAATGCATATCACTTGACAGTTGACAAGAAAGTGTCATTTTTGTGTTAGTGTATCATATAATTGAATTTGAACAAGATACATATTTTTCTGCATACAAATTTATGAAGCTGGAGTCTACCAAACACAGCTTTAGTCACAAAAGTTAGTTTAGTTATCTCATTTCGCTTGGAGATGGAATTTCAGGAAGGGATATATTATTTAAGATTATTGTTTAATTACAAGAATTTTAAAAGAATGTATGAATTCTGTTTTTTAATATAGAAAATAATTATGGAGTTAGGAATCTCATGGCTACATTTACATTTTTAGGTTATTACAGAAAATTCTCTTAATTTATTATAGTCAAGTGTATTATGTAATCTCTATTTAGAACAGTTTCCCAAAGGAATGTGATTGGATTTACTGGTTGGTTAATTTCTTGTGAAATATTGTCATAATAGAAGCACAGCTTGAACAAAAGACTGAATTCTGATATAAACTGTCAATATTGCTTTTACCATGTGTAAGATTTACTTAGTAATCACAGATTTACCTAAAATAAAAGGACCCGGGTTGCAGTGATATTTAGTTAATGATTTGTTTTGGAAAACATGCAGTTAGGAGTATTTTTGTATTTTGTCAGATGTTTAGGAGACAGACTTTCGGGTCATGTTTCTTGTCTTGTTCCCAGATCTTTTCTTAAAAGAACAGTGTGACACCAGAAGCCAAGAGATGGTTTTTACTAACAACAGCTTTGATGAGTTCCTATTAAGGTCGTATTGTGTATTGTGCCAAATTTTCCACCCAGTATAAATTTAGTAACCCGCTATGAGCATATGTAGGATATTCAATTTGCAGATACTTTTGTTGGTTATGTTGGTTTATAATAGACAAGTTTTATGGTCATATGCAATTATTCCATTATCTTTTTGGACACAGTGAATATGTTTTTTAGCTAAAAATGTCCTTGGAAACATAAATGCCTGCCAATAACATGGAATATTGAATTCGGGCAATGTGAATTGATTAATTAGAAAAGGGTCAAAAGAAATACAATGGATGTGGAAACTAATTCTAAAAAATAGCCCTATTAATAGGGCAGAGACTCTGGTCCATTTCCCAGCTGTACTTCTCTCTAAGAGGTGTATGAAAAACCCATCTTGCAAAAGAGACCAAAATATTAGACACAATCGTTCCCATTCCTGACTCTTCAATGGAAAAGGAAGGTACAGATGTTTACAGTGGTGCCCCAGGTGACTCGTTCTCACCACAACAAAAGCAACTAATTGGAAACTAGATGTGTTCAATAATAGATTTCCTCTTTTTTGGCATGCTTTTTAGATTTTTTTTCATTTTGTAAAATCTCAGTTAATTTTTCTTTATTGGTATATTTGTGTATGCGAGACAAATCCTGTATTGTACAGGATATAAATAGATGCATAAATCCTTAGATACCTGGGTTTTTTAATAGGTTTAGGTTTGGGTATTGTGTTTCTGGTCTTTTAACTCAAAATTAAGGTTTGAGCTTTAATAGGACTAAATTATTCACCTGCCTTGGCCTGTGCCTTTATTTTAAATACTGCAATTTTACTTCTTCATTCATGTATTTATTATTTTGCTTTTCTTGCTTAAGTATAATTGAAAATATTTGCAGGAACGCACAATTCATTTTATCAAGTTGAATGAATAGGACCATTCTCTCCTCATCAGATTTCTGTTCTTTATTTGACTTCATTGACATATACCCTGGTGACTATAACCAGTGAACTGTTCAGAGTCAGTCTTTTCGGCAAGAACTTCAGAGAACTGTGACACTGGTTATGATGTGATTTTGGGGGGTTTCAGGTACCTAAGCATGATTTTTAAAATCACTTCTCTCTTTACATATTTCGAACATATGTTTGCTTTCTACACTTTGCAGATTTTATTTAGGATTTAATTCTTTAAAGACTATATTCATTTAGTCACTATAGTGGATCTCTTCTACTGCAAGTATTCATCTGATTTTTAAATTATGTAAAATGTAAATCAGCCAAGTATGTCATCCGTTATAGTTTCCCCATGCTTTCAGCGCATGGCCATGAGATTTTTACATGTGCATAAGTATTTAGCCAATACACATTTTGCTGACTTCTTTAACCATTTATATTGTTTAAATTAGTAATATCCAATGCAGTGCACACTTTTTTGTCTTTTTTCCAACGGAATATTTTGGTTGTCTGTAGCGTTGGAAGCATTTTATATGATAAAAATAGCAAGAAAAAATTAAAAAGTGTCAACGGTGTGCTGGTTCTAAATTAAGAAGATAGAACAAAGAGAAAGACATTAATGTTACCTAAGAAACACATTTAACATCCGAAGAAGCAATGCTGTCCTCACTTGATGTTTCTCTTCTCAACCCAGCAATGGAGAGCAGGGCTTGCAAAGCCGTACAGAGCCTACGTGCTCTTTCCTGCAAGTGGGAGAAAACTAATCAATGGCACACAGGGCCAGGTGTGGCCCTGTGAGGCAAAGGATAATGTCACCTCAGGACCAAGGTGGAAACTTACAGCTGAATCCAGGGCTTACTAAGTAGGGAAGTCAGTTTACATATTTCAGTTTTCCTCTGATGTTTTTGAGGTACTGTGTATTTGCAGAAGTTTAAGCAGAAGGGTTTTGTTTCTATTGTAAGTTAGGTTCTAAAAGTGTATAATCTGATACTCTAGCCCAACTGAAATATTATATCTTGGGCGTTACAGCCTTTGTCTTTTTCTTTAGTCACCTTAATACCCAGTCCTATGCTGTATCTCTGATAGCCTATATAAATGACATATAGGAATATTATTTTCCATATGATCTGTTGTATGGTGTATATGCTATGTGTTCATTTCGTGTGCAAGTTCAGAGTGTAATAGATTTACCCAGAGAAGGTGTTTCTATACAATGCCCCTACCTATTTGAAATTACATGCTTGCCCAACACACTGTGAAATAGTTACCAAAATTTGTACAAATGCAGCATCTTCATTCTTTCTGAGAAGACAAGATGGTTTTCTTTACATGAACAAATGAACAAAAGAGATCCTAGATCCATAACGTAGCTAAGGCATCTAAGAGTTTGCTGTTGATAATCTTGCTGACCAAAAACTACTGGAGAGTAACACAGGTTATATGCCATCACAAATACAATGCTCATGAAGAACTGATTTGTAGAGTCAATGAACCTGTGTCCAGAATTTTAATAGGCTCTCTATTGGAAGGAGAAAGAATTTCAAGTTAACAGTATCTAACTTTATCATAGTTGATGTTAGTAAATTTTAAAAAATGATTTTATATGTATGACAAAAATCTTTGTAAAATGCGCAAGTGCAATAATTTAAAGAGGTCTTAACTTTGCATTTATAAATTATAAATATTGTACATGTGTGTAATTTTTTCATGTATTCATTTGCAGTCTTTGTATTTAAAAAACATTTACTGTTATGTTTGTATAATAGAACAGTAATCATTTATTATAATCTAGGCAAGTTGTAAATAAATTCATAATTCAAACAGCCAGTATATATGCATATATGAGTGTTATATTGCAAAATCTTTGTTTTACTTACATGGTTAAAGCAGCAAGAATTCTTTTGTTGATATGTAATTATACACATAAAATATATATATGTATGATACATGAAATATATTTAGAAATGTTCATAATTTTAATGGATATCCTTTGGTGTGAATAATTGAATACAGAGTTTTTAAAATATCTTTCACGTATATCACTTGCTCTCATTTGTGGGGAAGATAATAGACATTTCACAGAAGGTCATTTGAAAACACTCCAGGCCTTGTTTGCCTAGAAAACACCAAGTTTACATTGAATTAACATGTTGTGTTTGCTTCACCCATTTTCTAGCAGACAGCACAAGACAACATAAAATGTTAAATGTTATGATTGACTAACTCTAAGTCCATTCTGTAGTTTTAAAGATTCAGATACTGTGTAGGGAACCCGTGGTGCCGCAGTGATGGCTTCAGGTTACTGAGCCAGCATCCCTGAGTGCCAACCCGCAGGCTTCCCCGGGAGCTTCCGTGGCCCTCGGAGTCTTTGGGGCAACAACGCAAATGCACACTCACTAAAAGCACACCCTCCTGAAAAGAGAAGTGCTGGGCAAAACACAGTGGTGCATGTGTGTTTATGTGTACGTGTTGGGATTCTTTCTGCTATAGGAAAGAACACATTCAGGGCTAAAACCTCACATACTGTGTACACAGTGATAAGTATACTCATGGTCTTATCTTTAAAACTCTGGGTAAAGAAATTATGTTTTTATTTTGACTATCTCTGTTTGCCATCAAATGAGTAGGCAAATGATAAATATGTAAGACCAAAAAGTTAAATTTTATCCCTGATCCTCTCTAACCTTAAACATATTAGAGTTAAATGTGAGAGGCTTAAACATATGAGTGTCCACAGCCTTGTGAATTAGAAGGAAAAGGAATTCTTCTCCAATACCAAACTCTTACTAATGGAATGCCCTCCGGATGCATAGCACTATACATAATGGTAGACAGGATTTTTGTTAAATATTCATTTCCTGTGAAATATTCATTTCCTGTGCTAAAAATAAATTTCATGAGCTAATATATCCATAAAGTTATTTAGTTATTCAAGTTGCAGATTGGCACTCTGTAAAGCTGATCTGAATTTGAATCCTCATCTTAACTGTGCATACCTTTGATTTTTCCATCACCTGTAATGCAACAGTGTTGAGAGTAAAACTTCTCCATCACATGTATTTCCTAATGCAAGAAGAATCCTCAAAAGCAACACTTACCAAACAAACATTTATTCAACAAGCATTTATTAGGCACTTAGTGTGTGGAAGGAAAGAATGGAAGGAGAAGAGATTGGAAGCAGAGGACGGGATGTCATGTTTCTGTAGGGTTGGCCCTCACACCTTCATCTTGCCAAAGACAAAGTCACTTAGCCATGGATTCCTGTGCACTTGTGCCTTTCCGTAAGTACTACTTTCATGATCGTAGTTACCGCAGTGTGGAAGAGAAAGCACACATTTAAAGACCTGAAGATCTCAGATATTTAATTACAATTTTTAATTTCAAAAACCCGCAATTGATTCCATTCTTATAAGAGGAAACGAAGCTTGATGAGACAGAAACCAAACAGAAGCATGCCCCTGCATGTCTACAGCTTTTTCCTCTCCCACACCCTTCGCCCACTATCAGAAATAAAAAGATGCCTCCCACGGCAGATCTAGACGTTTCCTCGACAGTGAAGAGCAAAGGATAGTGACTAGAAAATAAAATCAGGAATTTATTTGAAATATCAACTTCCAAATTCTTAGCTGGTAGTTGTATATATTCAGATAATGTCTAGCTTTTTTGATGTCTATGTCACTAATTAGAACTCCTGCTCAAAAGGATGACCTTACAGCATGGTAAGTAGTCATTAAAAAGAAAACAGATTCAAACATTTTAACATACAGAATGACTGAGGTACACAAACATATTCATATACATTAAGGAAATGTTTACCTGCTTTACTTTGCATTATCAAAAAAAGCAAAATATCAGACCACCCTGTTTCCTAAGTCTCCTGCATAACTGGATTATGCCTGTGAAATCAGGAATGTTAGGGATTGGACTCAGAGGTCATGGGTACAATCTCCCATCAGCCAATGCAAAATCCCTTACTTGCCATTTCTGGTAGATGCTCCTTCAACAAACCACTCCTGAGTTGGAAAACATTCTACCGTGAGGCAAACCAGACCGCTGGTTGACAGCTGTAGTTGCCAGGAAGTTCTATCCAAAGTTGAGCTGAAACCTGTTGCTTTATGATTTTTATTCCAACATGCTAGTTCTGAGCTTGTAGTCACACAGAGAAGTCCACTTCCTTTGCACCTGACAATCTTCCAGTTAATTGAAGAAGGCTATCATGCCTCCTCATGCTGAACCTCATCTTTTTTTAATTGCTTTAAAATATAAGTTGGCTAAGGCACCTGCAGTATTCTTGACATTCTCCCCTGAGGAAAGTGCCAGCAGCCTGCTACTGGGCCCTTCCTTACTACAGAATAACATGTGGCTGAAGTGCCTCAGCTGGCACTCAGGTGACCTCCTACCTCCCATGGCCTGTGGCTCAGTCCTGGGGAAGTCACACCATTCCTTGAGCATCCCATGTCCTTTAGAGAATGTCACATACAATTCTCTCTACTGGAGTGACTTCACTCTGATTTCTGTTTGGTCAATTCATTCTTGAAAACATAAATTTGAGAATCTCCTCTACTTGAGAGCCTGTTTCTGCCGGTCAGTGATGTGCCCCCTGAATGTGCTCCCTTGACCCCCCTGCATGATGAAATGGGGCTGTGATGTGCACCCAGCCCAGGCGGAAATAATAGAGGTTAACATCTATTGAGCACTTACTATTTGCAGGCACTCTTGAGTCCTACTCATCTGAACTCAATCTCACAACAATTCTATGACTTATGTGTAATAGGGCCCCTCTTTTAAAAATCAGAAAAATGAAATGCAGAGCGGTTCAGTAGCTGGTAAATGAGGATGTAGGGGTATGTACCTGAGCCCACCGAGGCTCTGAGACTCCATCTGTAAGCTCTATGATGTCCTGAAATGCTCCTTGCTTCAGTACCTGTTTGTAAAGGTTGCATCTGGCTAAAGTAAGGCACATAAAACATTCACGTTATCCATCAGGATCCTCGTCCCAAAGCATCGAGTTCCTCATGAACAATGCTCCTCTTCACTCCTTGCCTGGAGGAGTGCAAGAGTAGGAAGTCTAAGAGAAAGAAACAAATAGCATTCCACTTTTCCTTCTCAAAATATAATTTGGAAATTCACAGTAGATGAAGTATTGGGAGAAGTTTTCGTGTTTACAGGGTAACAATCTGGCTTAAACAAGATGTTTTCAGGAGCCCCCAGGACTGAGGGTTGCCTGAACTGAGGAAGGAAGGAATGTGAGAAAGAAGGCAATTCACAACAGGCTGTCTCCAAAAACAGGCCCAGCCCTGCTCTCGACCAAGGTGGGAACCTTGGGGATAGAAAGGCAGGGCAGAAAACCCCCAGAGCAGGTGCACAGAATAACGCAGAGGGTCCTTGTGCCTGCTTTTGTCCTAGAGCTCAGAGCCTGTGGTACATCCCAAACATCATGAACAGTCCAACATGGCAGGGGACAGAAATGACCAAGAGCAGAGGTGACCAGGTGCACCAAGTCTGACAGCTCTGTGCAGGCAGTGGCCCCAAAGGGAACCAACTCGTGGTTATGACGTGGGGTCCAGTTCTTCATGGCCCCAATGCCATGGGTTTGAGGTCCAACGGGGTCACACCGCCTCAGTGAACACTGGCTCAGATAAGCATAGGCTGACGCAGAGTACATCAGTGAGGACAGATGGCAGAGGCCAGAGCCAGCGAGGGCCTTACAATGGCAGTCATGTGGGCAGCACAGCAGAGCAAGGGTCCTTACTTACTCCTGCTTCAGAGTCCACATTCAACCTCCAACCTCCTCGAACTCACACCCAAAACTCAGACGGGAGAAGAATGTGGGAAAAGGCTTTTAAATGATTTAAAAACCTAAATGAATTCAAGAAGCAGTGAGTTTAGAGAATTTACCTGAACATGGTGACTGAATTAAGTTTCTTGCATTAGATAAATTAGGAATTCAAAGCAAATTAGAGAAATTAGGAATTCAAGGCAAATTAAATACAGTTCTAGAAAAGTAATTTTTTTTTTTACACTTGCATTCGAGACCAGTGAATTCCATATTTGCTATACAGGTGTAGCCAATTCTGCCTCTCCCATTCTTGGTTCTAGTAGCTTAGCGATTTATTTAACATGAAGCTGGTGACTGGTGACTATGCAATGGGAATAACACAGAATTTACTGTGGAGTTAATATGTAAGTACATGCATTACAGTATTGAGTCACAACAAGGTGCTATTATTCATGTATTATCAGTGGCTAATTTTTCCTCAGTAAAGGAATTGCTCATTTTTTTTGTAAGAGTTGCTTTTCCTTCAGAAGAAAAGTGCTACACTTATCCAATGATTCAACAGCCTATTAACTTTGCATTAGTCTGTTTTCACGTTGCTAATAAAGACATACCCAAGACTGAGTAATTTATACAGGAAAAGGTTTAATGGACTCACAGTTCCACATGCCTGAGGAGGCCTCACAATCATGGCAGAATGCAAGGAGGAGCAAGTCACGTCTTACATGGATGGCAGCAGGCAAAGAGAGCTTTTCCAGGGAACTCCTGTTTTTAAAACCATCAGATCTTGTGAGACTCATTCACTATCACAAGAACAGCACAGGAAAGACCTGCCCCCATAATTCAATCACCTCCCACTGGGTTCCTCCCACAATGTGTGGGAACTGTGGGAGTTACAATTCAAGATGAGATTTGGGTGGGGACACAGCCAAACCATATCAACCTTCATGGTCCATTTGGATCTAACCAGGTGTATTAGCTTTCTCTTATTCTCTCTCTCTATATATATATATTGTCTGTGATCTCTGGAGAGACAGAGAGAGTGAGATTTATTATAAAGAATTGGCTCACACAGTCACAGAGGCTGAGGAGTCTCATGATCTGCCATCTATAACTGGAGCCCCAGGAAAACTGCTGGGAGAAGTTCTAATCTGAGTCCAAAGACCTAAGAGTCAGAGAGCCAATGGTGTGATTTTCAGTCCAAGAGCCAGGAAAGAATGATGTCTGAGCTGTAGCAGAGAGCAGATTGTCTGTCTCCCGCTCCTCCTTTTGTTCTATCAAGGCCTCTAACAGACTGGCTGGGGCCCAGCACATGGGATGGCAACCTGCATTACTTGTTCTACCTGTTAGGGTCTGAGTGTTTGTGATCCCTTTGAAAAAGATTCATTTGCTGAACTATTATCCCCAGTGCGATGATATTTGGAGGAGAAGCATTAGGAAGGTAATTATGTCATGGGAATACAGCTCATAAGAGCAGGCCAGAGAGTTAGCTCACTCTATTTCTGTCATGTGAGGCTACAGGGAGAGGTCAGATGTCTGCAATCCAGAAGTGGACCCTCCCTGGCACTAGACCATGATGGTATCCTGACCTCTGGCTTCCAGCCAATGGAGCCATGAGAAATGTATTTCTGTAATTGATGAGCCACTCTGTTTATGGTATTTTTGTTACAGCAGTCTGAGCTGATAAAGACATTACTCATTCAAACATTTATCTCATCCAGAGGCACCCTCACAGACACACCCAGAATAATATTTAACAAAATATCTGGGCACCCTGTAGTCCAGTCAAGTTGATGTGTGAAATTCACCATCACACCAGGGATGCCTCTCTCTTCTGCCAGGATACTTACTGTTATTTGTAAAATAATTTTCAATTCACAAAGTCCTTGGACACATGGTCTTTAACAATGATGTCTGTTTTGTCTTTGTTTTTTTTTGTTTTTTTTTGGCTTCTTTTGCATTCCTCCAATGTGTTTAGCAGAAGCTCAGCTGCCTAATTTCCTTGCTTCATAGGAGGTGGCATTGTGTGCCGCAGCTCTGCCTGTGGACCAGTTGCCTTCTCTTTTCTCTGCCTATCATTTCCTCAGCTGTGGGGAATACATAACAAGCCTCACTCTATCCCAGCCACCAGGCATCCAGCCATGCACAACAGGAATTTAAAACCCTGCTGTCAAAGAGTGTGTGTTCTTGAGTAGAAAGACAGATGATTAACATGCAATGATTATGTAAAGTGTCAGGCGATGGCAACAGCAATGAAAAAACATAGGGCAAGGGAAGGGACAAAGGCTGATGGACAGTGATAAACACCTCTGATGGATGAGATGGCATTTTAGCAGAAACCTGGCCCAAGTGACCGTGGGGTCTGCAAGTACTTCCTAGCTATGACAACAATGCTACAAGCAACAAGGGAATAAATAAGACAAACTTCATTAAAATTAAAATCCTTTGTGAGTTAAAGGAACCCATCAAAAAGTAAAAAGTCAGCTCATAGATGGGGAGGAAATATCTACAAATCCTTTATGTGATAAAGGACTCATATCCAAAATATATACAGAGCTCTCACAGACATATAACCCCACTAAAAAAATTGACAAAGGGTTTGAATAGACCTTTCTCCAAAGAAGATACATAAATGGCCAGTAAACTCATGAAAAGGTGTTCAACATCATTAGTTATTGGAAAAATGCAAATCAAAACCACAGTGACATACCACTTCACACCCACTGCGATGGCTAAAATAAACAAGATAGACAATAACAAATTTGGTGAGGATGTGAAATAATTACAACCCTTATACACTGTGGGGATGCAAAATGATGCAGTCACTTTGGAAAAGTTTTTAACCTTTCCCTAAAATGTTAAAAATCGAGTTCCACATAACCCAGCTATTCCACTCCTGGGTATATACCCAAAATAAATAAAAACATATGTTCACACGTCCACACTAAAACCTCTGCAAGAATGTTCATACAGCATTACTCATGTAAAAAATGGAAAGAATGTAAGTGACCATCAGCTGAGTAAATGAACACTCAAAAGTGGCCTAGCCATACAATAGAACATGATTTATAAAAAACTGAATAATCGATACATGCCACGACATGGATGAATGTTCAGTGAAAGACGCCAGTCACAAAAGGCCACATTTATGTAAAATGTCCAGAATAGGCAAATTCATAGAGACACAAAAGTAGATGAATGGTTCCCAGGGCTGGGGCTGGGGGTGATTGCGCATGTGGATGGGTTTTTTTCTGGGGTAATGAGAATGTCCTAAAATTAGATAGTGGTGATGGCTACAAATCTCTGTGAATAGATCAGAAACCACAAATTGTACACTTTTAAAAGGGCGCATTTTATGATATGTTGAACACATTCTCAATAAAACTATGAAGATGAAGAATGACTGTGATTGTTTATATTACATTAAAAAAAGAAAATCCACGTCCATAATAACGTTCAAAATAAAAAGAAGGAATACATTCATTAGGTGGTTTTAGAGGTGACTACTACACCAATTCCTTACTTCAAAAGCAGTAACTATAGAATAAAATATTTCCCGATTTAGGAGATTACATACCAGATTGATGAGGGAAAGCTGTTTTTCAGAATGACATTATGACATCTCAACAATATGGAAGAAATGATAGTCATCAATATGGAAGAAATGGACATTTACAAACTCCCTTGACTTAAGGATTCAGGCAAGGAGCATGAATGGAGGTGGCAGGTGCTCAGGGAACTGGGGAGTTTCATGAGTCATGTGTCACCCTGCAGCCTCCCTGCTAATTGCAAAGGGGAAAGCTTACTGTTCCTGTAACAGGACGTGGTGGCCGCCTACCCCCTCAGGAGTGAGCTGATCTAATTTTGCATCACTGATAGTGTTACCAGTGCAGGGTGTCCAGGTTCTTGCCTTCTTGAACAAAGAATTGATCAGAACGCACAAACAAAGCAAGGAAAGGATGAGGCAACAAAATCAGAGATTTATTGAAAATGATAGGACATTCCACAGGGTGGGAATGGGCCTGAGCACAGGGGCTCAGGAGCCCCATTACAGAATTGTTTTGGGTTTAAATACTTTCTAGAGGTTTCCATTGGTTTCCTGGTGTACACCTTATGTAAATGAAGGGATGAAGTAAAGTTACAAAGCCATTTATGTGGTGTACACCCTATGGAGAGGATATTTCCTGTCACAGTTAACGGGGGTGAACTGGCCTTATGTTCCCTGCCTCCATACTCCATTCTCCTGCGTCAACAGTGGGAATCACAGATAATCACCTGTGAAGTGTTAGCAAACTATTCAACCTAATTATAACCAATTGAACCTCAGACCAAACTTCCATTTTATTGATTTAGAATCAACCAATGTAATTTCAACCACAGCACAGAATGAAATAATCAGACAAATCCCAAAAGTAGACAGGGTATAAGACAACCAGCCTGGTCTTTTAAAAATGTCAATATAGTTTTTTTTAAGTGTGACTGTTTCAGGTGAAAAGAGCAGGACTCTGTGACTATCATGAAAACCAGTACATAATGCACTGTAGATGGCTGGATTGTATGTATATAAAGAAAGTTGTTAAAAGGGGGATAGACTGGATAAAGAAAATGTGGCACATATACACTGTGGAATACTACACAGCCATAAAAACGAATGAAGTCATGTCCTTTGCAGGGACATGGTTGAAGCTGGAAACTATAGCTCTCAGCAAACTAACACAGGAACAGAAAACCAAACACCACATGTTCTCAATCGTAAGTGGGAGTTGAACAAGGAGAACACACGGACACAGGGAGGGGAACATCACACACCAGGGCCTGTCGGGGGGTGGGGGGCAAGGGGAGGGAGAGACTTAGAACAAATACCTAATGCATTCGGGGCTTGAAACCTAGATGACGGGTTGATGGGTGCAGCAAACCATCATGGCACATGTGTACCTATGTCACAAACCTGCATGTTCTGCACATGTATCCCAGAACTTAAAGTATAATAAAAAAATAAAAATAAATAAAGGGGGTAATAACCAAATATATGGATTCTTATTTGAAAACACAGCTATAGAAGAAATTTTGTGGAAAGTGGGAACTGTGAATATTTGCTAGGTGTCTGCAGACAGAAGTCATGACTTGGTTTCTTCAGTAACCATGGTCTGTGGTTTAGAAAGAGAATGTCTTTACTTTAGCAGACCTGCTGAGTGCTGAATTATCTAAGGGTAAAAACTCATAACTTTACTACCAACTCAAAGATTTCAGCACAAAGTGTGGACGGAGAGACAGATAAGGAAGTCGGAGTATTAATTTTGTCACCTAGGTGGCAGGCATACGGTCGCTCACTCTGCCGCTCTTATTTGGAAGAAGAGTACATGTGGCTTGTACTGGGCATCTGCCATACTCTACAGTCCAGGTGGAGGAAAAATGTTCAATTCATTTGCAGATCTCAAGTCTGATGACTCCATTTTTGCTAGGTGGTGGGAATTTTTATCGCACTCATCTCCAAGGACGTCCAAGGAGACTCTCAGGTTTGTTCCAAGCGTTCAAGGAAGGCCTCTCTGCATTCCTGCGAAGCTGCTCCTGGCCTGGGTCCTGATGACAGATGCCCCCGTGGAGGGCAGGCCAGCGCAGCACCATCGCTGAGGCAGGAGTCCCCGTCCACCGTCCACGCTGGTGTTCTCTTTCCAGGCTGGACTCCCCTCTCCTCCTCCCCTTCTCAAAGGCCGCTGTGTCTCCTTTTCCCTCCGAGAAAATCCTTCAATATAGTCGATGACATTCGGCTTCCAAAACAAACACCAAGAACAAGAAAGGAGAATCATTCCAAATGCCTGCTTTCTGCCTGTGTCATAAACCCCTCTGGGATTCGGGAATGAGAAGGGAAGCCCAGAGTGGACAAAGCGAAAATTACAATGGCTTTAAATTATCCTGTGCCGCTCCCTCCCCCCAAAACACCCAATGTCGGTGTCATTGTATTTAGGGGAAGAGGGTGGAGAGAATAAAGGTTAGCGTGTCTCCAGGCATGCTTCCAATCAGTTCTGTGCCTCTGAGGAGCGGGGGTGGGGTGGGGTGCAGGCTTGTGTAGATAAACGTGGGGAATTCTAGAAGGAAAGAATTGACGCGAACCCTCCAGGTGTTGAGTGGCACTCTTCTCAGCACAGTGCAGGGCGGTCAATGGAGGCTACTCTGGGTTGTGGTGCTGCATAGAGAAGGGAGCAAAGGGCACAGAGAGATCAAGGAAGCGCCCAAAGTCTCCCAGAGGCCATCCCTCCCCCGCCAGCCCAGAGGGTGGCCAGTAACCAGGACTTCAGGTCTTCCCCCTGACAGCTCACATTTCCTAACCTTAAGAATTTAAAAAGTCAACCATGTTTGTTCTTATTTGGACAACTTCAGGCTTTTTTTTAACTAAGTAGCGATGTTCCCCCACTCTAGGTTCTACACACAGAAAATCCTTCTGTCTGCCGTACTGCTGGGAAAATCCCTGGGGGAAAGACAAGCCTTGGCCACCCATCTACCCTGGAAGGGGAAGGTCTCCACTCTCAAGGGCGGGGAACAACCCTCAGCCTCAATGGAAACGCTTGTGGAAGTGGGAAGGAGCGGACAGCTCCCGGGGAGGCGCCATTCATTCCTTTCTAGCCCTTGTATTCAGGAACCACTAGGCCTCCCATTATTTCATTTTTAGAAATGTGAGCAACCATTTGTTACCAATGAATATATCAGCAATATGAAACAAGGACCAGAAACAGTAAATAATCAGCAACTCCAAATATTTTGAAAAACAGTTGGTAGGAATCATGTCTTGTTTCCCCACAGATGCGGGTTTGATTGGACAATCAGACAGACTCTGCAGCCAGACCATGCTGGGGTTCCCGCGTTGGCGCTGCGAGCTTGCAGAGGTCACCCTGCGTTTGCACTCGGTCAATTCCACTCCCTGCGGAAATTCAAAGGGCATAGTATGAGGGCCTCTGATTTCTGCAAATCCAGGCTGGAGAGGGCCACGTGCCCCACGTGCAGTGCCTGGACATCATCCCCCGGGAGCCACATGGGCCTCGCTTTTAGGTGTGCTTTCCTAAGAACTACATTAACATCAGGATGACGGAAAGCATCTGGGGAACTGGACTACTCCACCTCTGGTTTGCTTTTGCCTTCCCCAGCAACAGTGAATTTCTTTCCCCCTTGTCTATGGCAAGATTCCCTTGGAGCAGGTCACACACACCTTTTATCTATTTCTTTAGTTTTAAATTTACTTGTATATGTATGTATTTATGTATGTATATATGTATTTATTTATTTATTTATTTATTGAGACAAGGTCTTGCTCTGTCACCCAGGCTGGAGTGAAGTGGTGTGATCTCGGCTCACTGCAATCTCCACCTCCCAGGCTCAAGCAATCTTCCTGCCTTAGCCTCCCAAGTAGTTGGGAACCACAGGCACACACCACCACACCTGGCCAATTTTTTTGTACTTTTGGTAGGGGTTTTGCCATGTTGCCCTGACTGGTTTTGAACTCCTGAGTTCAAGTGATCCGCCTGCCTTGGCCTCCCAAAATACTGGGATTACAGGCGTGAGCCAATCCACCGAGCCCAGACACACCTTTTAGACACATACCAAGTCATGAAATCAAATGTCGCCTATTTCCCAGACTTTCAACATTTTTCACTCCACTGGCCCCATTCCCTCAACATGGGATCCCTCCAATCTCTCTAATCATAAACAAATCGACCAATGAAACACAAACAACAAAAAACAGACAACGATTTGAACCATCTCCCCCATCCCTAGCCAATGTTCTACCTCCAGTGTCAGGCCACACAGGAGTTTTGGAAAAGGGGGGTCAGGTCTGCACCACATTCTCTAGCTTGATGCCAAGAATTCTCTTCCTCTGGCTCTTTGTCACCTCCTCTGGAAGGTTGCAGTCAAAGAGCGCCACACTCTAATCCCCAGAACTGGTGAAGATGTGAGCTCACTGGGCAGAGAAGATATGGGGCTGCAGGGGGGATCAGGGCTGCTGATCAGCTGGGCTTAAAATAGGAAGACGAGCCTGCACTATCTAGGCTGGAGCAGTGCCATCACAGGGCTCCTTTTATAGAGAACAGGCCAAGTACGGTGGTTCACGCCTGTAATCCCAGCACTTTGGGAGGCTGAGGCGGGCGGATTCCCCAAGGTCAGGAGTTCGAGACCAGCCTGGCCAACATGGCGAAACCCTGTCTCTATTAAAAATACAAAAATTAGCCAGGTATGCCGGTGGGTGCCTGTAATCCCAGCTACTTGGGAGCCTGAGGCAGGAGAACTGCTTCAACCTGGGAGGCGGAGGTTGCAGCAAGCCAAGATGGTGCCACTGTACTCCAGCCTGGGTGACAGAGTGAGACTCCATCACAAAAAAAAAAAGGAGAGAACAGAGAGGCAGGAGGGTGTCTGGGATGTGAGAAAGACTCTCCCAGCCTCGCCGGCTTTGCAGATGGAGGAAGGGCCCAGGAGCCAGGAACCAGGTGGCCTCTAGATGCTGAAAAAGGCAAGGAAGGGGACTCTCCTCAGTAGCCTCCAGGAGGAAGCAGCCCTGCCCACTGCCCACACCTGGATTTTAGCCAGTGAGAGCCATTTCAGACTTTGGACTTCCAGCAATGTGAGAAAGTAAATTCATTGTTTCTTTCAAGCTGCTAAGTCTATGGTTATTTATAATGGCAGCCACAAGAAACAAATAGAGGCCTTCCCTGGTCATCTTATGTAAAATAGTTTAAGACTCACCACTGCAGTTACAATGTACTTTTATAACATCTTAGGGTTTTTTTTTTCCTTCACAGTTTCATTGTAGATTTTCCTTCTCTCTTGACATCTTGTTGGCAACCTTGTATTGGCAAAGATCAGACAGTGTGGTGACTTTGTGTTTGAAAATGCCATCTGGTAATGAAGAGGTGGAGAAGCAGGCACTCTCATTACTGCTGGGATTGAGCAAACTGTAATAACCCTTCTGAGAACAATTTGATGCTCTTTCTCAACATCCCATGGGCACAAACTTGGCGACTCCACCCCAGGTGCTCAAGTTCTGTGTTTACCTACAGATTCACACACACAGGAAGTGACTGGAGGACCAGCAGTGGGATTTAATAGCAGAAGAATGGAAAGAGCCTATATGTCCATCAGTGGTCTGTGGCTGGAATAAATCACAGTAGAGCCATACAATGGAACACTGCCCAGACATGTAAAAAGTCAGGTGCTCTTTATGCACTAGTCCGGAATGATTTCCAAGAGAAAAAAGCAAGGTGGAGGAAGTGGGAGTGGCCCGCTGTCATGGTGGAAGAGAGAGGACGGAGAGATGGTGTGAGTGAATTTTCTTGTCTACACGGGCTGCCTGTGGGAAGTCGTATAAGCAGCTGGTCAGATGGGTGGTCTCTGAAGGGAGTGACCAGAGGCTATGGGGTGTGCTGGGGGGATTTTCATGGCCCACATACCTCTCACTTAATGGGGGAATCATGATGTCTCCTGTCTTGACCCAAGATGCCCAAATCATTTTCACAGTTGAAAAAATAATGGAGCTTTTGGAAACAGGTGTAGATGAGTGATAAACAACAGTTTGAAAATAAAGAAATGCAGTTTTTATGCACAAATGTCATTGAATGAAGTTTGTTTTACTTTCCAAAGGAGGAAAGAGACTTGCTGGGGAGTTGGGGCGTGGGGAAGGGATGTTAGGAAGCCCTTCAAGAGGTGCGTTCTGACTGCACCATTTCTTCATCGATTTTTCAAACTTCCAGAGTCTTATAGTTATTTTGCCCTCAAATACCACCCAAAAATGAAGCTATATTGCAGAAAATTACTTTTAGGGCAAAATCCAGGCTCCACAGGAGAAGCTTTGGGATAAGTGGAAATAGCCCACCTGTGCCACAGATAACAGTGCCGTAGGAGGCTCCCTCACAGAGAACGCAGGTGGACCGAGAGCTTCGTGTTTCCTCCTCCTTGGCAGGCTGGCCAACAGCTTCCTTGTGACAGACTCTGACCTGGATCTGTTGTATGGAATACCTGCCTTAGAGAGGTGTAGAGTCAATGCAAAGGTCTTGTTTATATGTGTTTTTGAGATGAGAAAAATGAACATGTTAATTTTCTGATAGAAATGTTCCTATAGAAAAGCAAAGATGAATGATGCAAGAGAGAGATGGCGAGAGTGAGAGAGAGGAGAGGAGAGGAAAAGAGAGACAGATGGAAAAACAGACCAATGAACCGGGGCCCTTGAAAAAGCAAGAGGGCAAGAGAGCCCAGGAGCAAAGCACTTTGGCCTTGGATGGGTGAGAGGCTTTTCCCTGACACATCAAGAGGAGGGTGGAGAATTTGGAGTGTCACTGCCAGCCACCATTGCTTACGTGCCTAGAACTGGAGATGTCATTCTTGGCTCTTAGCCCTGTTCCCTTCATTCTCTATGAAGTATAGCAACAGTCATTTCTCTAGAAAGAAGTGATGATACCCCACTCTGTAAAACATTTTTCAGTGACTCTTGATGACTCTTCAGCCATCTTCAGGACCAAACTGAAACTCCCTCCGGACTCTGCCCCTGCCCCATCCAAGAATTCTCATCCCACCCCCAACCCCACATCCTCCTGCCAGGCCAGCATTTGCTTTGCATTCTATCTAAAATTTCTTAAAAGCATTATTCAGTTTCTCCAGAGCTTAGGAAGCACAAAGATGTTTTAAGTTATTGCAAGTCGGTTCATTTTTGCACAGCAGAGTCTAATAGCTGAAAAGCAGTAACTGGAATCACTTATTTGTGACCTCTTCCCTTTTGGAACCCATCAGTTCTTCTGACTGATGCTCCCCGACCCTCCCCCATGATTGACAAGGAACTCCCGCTCGCCCATCCTGCACACCTGGAACAGGTGGTATTTCTGGAAGCCTCCGCAGCCTATGAGATGTGAATCCTTCACTCCTTCCTCTGCCGGTCCACGCCCATCTCCACTGCTGCTCACATCACACTGCATTTTACTCCCCAGTGGTCTCCTCTTCACCGAGCATTTTTAAAGTAGGGGATTCATTGTGCATTTCTGCAGTCCTAGCAAAGAAACAATAGTAGACAAAGATTTTTAATTTTTAATTTTTTTTCTGGAATGAGGGGTAGGATGAAAGGACGGGTGGATGCGTGGATTAGTTGGGATGGTAGAATGGCCTCACCCTTGGGTTGCATTCAGTGGCCAAGTGTTTTAGGATGTGTTCAAGCGCTATCTGGAGTGGATAAGCAAAACAGCAGCCATAGTCACTGAAATATGTGCAGACGCAATTTGCCTGCTGAGTAGTTCTTGGCTATTTCTACATAGAAGTCTGGCCTCAAGGAAGATCCAGTGTGTTTCTGGCACATCAATTCATTATGCTGATAATGTTGTCGTTAAGTATGTTTCTGCCTCAAATGCTTTGATGAAATATTTAGCAATAGGAGAGCCACAGATGGGCTTTTAAGGCCTGATATTGATTTGATCATTGACTTTCTGATCTTGATAGCATATAAGTAAGGGGTGGATGAATTAATTTAACTGCATTTGTGTTCTGCCATAAGGGATGACTTGGGAGAAACTGAGGCCCTAAAAACAAATTATTTTCTTTTGATCAAAACCAATACTCTGCAATTCCACATAATGTCTACGCTAGGGAGCAGGAGTGAGGGTAGCACAGGCTGAACCCCAGAACTGAGCAGCTCTCGTGGTGGGATGCACTCCTCATCACTATCCCTCCCAAGGCCGGCAGAGGGGCCCTTTGTCCCTCCTGCCCATCTGTGAAAGAAAAGTGGAGAACACCTATTGTCACCTCTCTGCCTGACTGCGCAGTGTGGAAGCGATGGACTATTTTAGAAGTTATGAGATTGACTAGTTTACTAAGGATTTCTGAGCATAGAGGTTCATTTCCTCATCTCTAATTGTTGGTTATCTAAAAACCTGGCCTGCTGCCCATGTGAGCCTACTTCATAATGAGCTGCAGGTGAGGGGCACACAGTGTTTCCTCTCCGCTGCCCATGTGAGCCTACTTTATAACGAACTGCAGGCGAGGGGCACACAGCATTTCCTCTCTGGTGCCCATACCTAGACATCCTTACGCAGCTTGGGCATCTTCATGTCGACCTTTCTGTCATAGTTAAGATGCCTAACTACCATGCACGTTCCAGAGAGACAAGCAGTAAACACTCCGGTAACCTTTTCACAGGTGGAATTCCAATGCACCTGGTGATGAAGCCACCTGAGCAGGTGAAGGTCCTGGCAGCTTCTTGGTTTCCAGAATGTTCACGTTTCAAGTATCTGTCCAGTGTTATGTTTGGAAGGGAAGGCAAGGGTTAAAGAGAGATAACTGGCAGCTCTCCAGCGATTCGGGTTCTATGTCCAGCCTAAGACCTGCAGAGATGGGGGACCAGGTTAATGCCAGTGCTGACCGCCGCTTATAGGCTGGGGCAATTATAGGCCTGGGCGGGAGGGGACTAGGGGGTATAGCCTGCTTCCCAGAAGATGTTGATAAGATGTTCCATGACAAGGTGGTTTGGCCCTGTTTTTGGGGGGATGTGATAGAATGTTCCTGTTTTGGGGGGCATGTGATAGAATGTTCCTTGGATCTTTGCCCAGCAGAGGATATGATGAGGATGTTCCTTCAGCTGGGGCTTTGCCGGGCAGGGGATAACAAGAAAGTCAGGTGGTTGGGCAGGACATTTCTCGTGGTCCGACCCCCGTGGAATATTTCACTTTGACCAGGGTCTGCGAAATGGGGCTGGGATTACAAAATGGTGCAGTTTGAACTAACAGGCAGCATCAACAGAAACAAAGAAACAAAAAACACTGTGTGCCCCCCTCATTCACAGTACCGTGTAATTCCATCCTCACAACCAGTAACGCCTACATCACCGTCTTTCTCATTTCAGAGCTGTAAGTAGTAAGGGTTGGCGTCAAAGTTACTTCTAAGAACCAGCAGAATCGCCCTTCCAGTACTCTCTTTCTGGCTGCAAGACATATAAACAGAATTACAGTTTTCAAAGATAGAGGTTTTAGCTTTTCCCTCCCTTGGCACATGGGATCGCCTGAGGAGAGAGGATGGACTTTGCAGTCATACAGGTGCGCACTTACACATCTGTAAATTCCACTGTCTGCTAACTGACCTTGGGCAAATTACCCCACAGGATCTCAGTTCCCCATTAGAAAATACATAGATAATAATAAAAAGTGACTAAATGATCACTTCGTGACTGGCACCTACTCTGTGCTGGACCTCCAGGTGCAGTTGGGTGGGTTACGCACTGTCCAACCTGCACATTTCTATAGCAGATGCCTGAAGACCAGTTATCTTTTGCCCCCTGGGCTTTGGAAAGGATTAGGGAATGCGAGGATACTTTGATATTTTTCAGATCACGGAAAGTGTTTCACTTATTTCATAAAGCTGATGTACCTTTAAAAACAAATGTTTTATTTACAGTATTGTATGGGGGATGGGACTGGTTCCAGGACCACCACGGATGCTCAGACCCAAAGATACTGTAGTCCCTTATATAAAATGATGCAGTATTTCCATATAACCTATACGCATCCTTCCATATGCCTTACATCATCTCTAGATTACTTGTAATACTTAAGACAACGTAAACGCTATCTAAGTAATTGTTATACTATAGTTTTATTTGTATTTTTATTGCTGTATTGTTATTTTTAATTTAAAACTTTTTTCCAAATATTTTAAATCTGTGCTTCGTTGAATCTGTGGATGTGGAACCCAGACAAAGAGCACCGGCTGTATTAAAATTAAAAAAATTATTAACCAAAAAAAAAAAAAGTAAAACAAGCAAGCAATCACCAATACTCTCTGTTCCAGAAGGCACAGAAGAGGGGAGGAGTTGGGGGGAGGTTCCGCAGCAGGGGCTGTGCCTGGTTGCTCAGCAGTGAAGGAAGCCAAGGAGGGCTTAGAATGTTTGTGGTTTCCACGGCGACAGCCCAGCCCAGGCAGCTGGAGGGAAGGAAGCGATGGCGGAGGAGCGGGAGCCTGAATGTAAGTGGCCTGGAGCGGCTCTTGCTGGCTTGTGAGATTTGCTTGATGTTCAATTGTGGAGGGATGGGCTTCTGAAGACTGATTTGAAATGTGAAAATCTTTTTCTGGTGGCTGCACGCCGGCTCCAGGGTCACTAGGGCTGAGGACTGGATTGGGGTTGTGCTGCCTCCTCAGAGAATCTGAAACCAGCGCGCAAAGCACAGAGGTGGGGGGTGCGCGCCATGTGGGCGTGGGAGCCAGCGAGTGTGGACCTGCGCGGACGGACGCGCCGTGTGTTGGAGTCTCCGGAAGCCTGAAGAGGAGGAGGAGGAGGAGGGACGAAGCGGCAGGTTGCAGGCTGTTCAGAGGGTGATTTTAAAAAGCCGCACTTCAGAGCATTCCCTGGCATGCTGCCTTTCCGCGCTCCTATAAATGACCACAAAGCTCAGCGCGTCCACATTCATCAAGTCAGAAGTCCTTTATTTTGTCTCTGTGACCCTGAAGGCTGGTGCTATTAATGTGATTTTACGCATGGGAGTCTGTGGGGAGGTAAGCCCAGGTCTTTTGACTTCGAAGCCTTCGCTTTTTCCCACCACCCGCCATGTGCTGGGACTGAAACAGGACTACCGACTGATTCAGACGAAATTTGGGCAGAGAGAAAACTTGTTAGACTGAGCAAAGCAGTCTCAACAAGAAAATGATTTAAAAGAAATTTTATTGTGTGATATCAGAATGCATTTAGTGCTCTTCATGTACAGGTGAGTGGGCAGGTTGAGAGCGTGGTCTTGGAGGCAGCTGACCATCTGACCACCTGAACCTCAGTTTCCCCTCCTGTAAAGGAGGATGGGACGGCGCCTACCTCCTGGGCTGTTGTGGGGATTGAATCAGCATGCCGCACACCGGCTGTGGAATAGACAGTGGGAGTCATTTTAAAAAGGGGTCTTTCAGTCCTTGGGGAGTTGTCTTTTCTCTTCTTTGTATACAAAGAGCTTCAGGCTGTCACCAGGCTGGACTCGAGGGTAAGGTCAGTTTTGCTGCTTTCTAGGGGATCTGGGGAAGAACCCCTTCCAGGCCCAGTGGACTTGTTGGCATGACCCTGTCGCTTGTGGTGGGGGAATTGTGGGTTGTCAGCAGGGGCCCTGGCCCTAGGAAGTCGCCTCCTGTCTGGCCTGTGGCTTCCACCTGGGATCCAGCGAGTCTGGAAGCTTCCTTTCCTTGCAACTTCCCTGACCCCCTTTCTTCCACCTCTCCCTTCTGACTCTTGCCAGAGAAACTTCTCTGCTTTTAGGGGCTCACGTGATTAGATTAGAGCCCTGACCATCCAGACTAATCACTTTATTTTAAGGCCCATCACCTGAATTCAGCTGGTAAAGTCCCCTTTCCCTGACCTCTGGCGTCAGGGTGGCCAGCTCTGGGTCCCATCATTCTGCTTCCACATTTCACCCTGAGACAGAGTCCATGTGAGGCATGTGCTTCTCCCTTGGGCTCAGGTCCCCTGTGGCCCTGGGTCTGCATCTCACTCCCTGTGGGATTTCCAGGTTCCTGGGGGCTCACATTCATCCCACCCCTGAAGCACACAGTGCAGCGTGGGGCAACAGATGTTTATCCGTGGGTTCAGGAAAGGCCAGATTGCAATCTCAGTGGAGTCTGAAAAGATTCTCCGGCTGGTAGGATGGACACAGGGGAGTGATGGACGCTCTTTGTGAGTTCTGCAACGAGTTCTGTGAGGGGAGCCCAGGACTCGAGGACAGACCCCCACTGGCCAGGCCTGTCCTGAGGCTCCCGCTCTCCTCCAGCAGAGAGCCTGTGGGTCTGGGCCTGCTGCTCTGTTCTTGGAAGTCTTTCCAGAAGTACATTTCTTAGGATGTGCACTGACTTTAGGGTAGGAGCAGAGAAGGCAGAGGGCAGAAACGCAGAGGGAATATGAATGTTCTAGAATGAGACCAAGGAGAATTTCCATGGGATTCTCAGTTTCCCAGAGATCTGACAACATGGGACAGTGATTAAAAAAAATTTTTTTTTTTTTTGAGGCAGTCTCACTCTGTCGTCCAGGCTGGAGTGCAGTGGTGCTATCTCGACTCACTGCAACCTCCACCTCCCAGGTTCAAGCAATTTTGGTGCCTCCGCCTCTGAGTATCAGTAATTACAGGTACCCGCCACCATGCCTGTCTAATTTCTGTATTTTTTGTAGAGACAAGGTTTTGCCAGGTTGGCCAGACTGGTCTCGAACTCCTGATTGCAAGTGATCCACCCGCCTCGGCCTCCCAAAGTGCTGAGATTACAGGCGTGAGTCACTGCACCCAGCCTGAGTTGTAATAATTTTGACATTAAAGGCCTATTGTCCTATTCTGGGGTTGGTGGGGTGGGGGGGGTGGGGGGATGGATACATTTCCAAAGAAACAAACAAATAAAAAACCTCTGTTTAAAAATGTTTAATACTAAATTTTGGCAATATGTATTAACCCAAATGTAGCCTAAGACCTATTACTACATGTTCCTATTCAGTACACATTCAAAACTTGGTTTGGTTTTACTGACAGCAAATTTGTTTTCAAATCTTTGTAAGAGAGTCATAATTTCCAATAAATTCTTAAAACTTTCTTTTTTGTTTGTTTGTTTTCTCTCTCAGGCAGAGAGGCAGGATACACACACACACAGACACACACAATGTTTTCAGATGGGAAAATGATTAAAATATTTATTGCCACGATGGGGATTCATGGCATATATTACAAGAATGTGGCAGACAGAAGTGGAAACTTCTGTCTGGAGCAGCTCTTACTACAATCAAAAGAAAAAGCATTTGAAGTGGGAAAATGATTGTGTTGATTGACTTGCTGATGGCTTCAAATCCTTCTTGGAAATAAAATAAACAAAGGATAACACAACAGCAATGAAGTCGCCTCCTTCTTCCATCTTCCATAGAGTTGGTACAAGGTGCCTTTTAGAGCTTTAAGTGTTCATGCCTTTGACGAATTACAATGATTGTTGCCTTGGAGAATTTGTTCTGTTAATCATTTCTTTTTTTTTTTTTTTTTTTTTTTTTTGCATTCACCTAGAAATTCCATTTCTATGAATATTATTCTTTTTTTTTTATAATTTTTTTTTATTATACTCTAAGTTTTAGGGTACATGTGCACATTGTGCAGGTTAGTTACATATGTATACATGTGCCATGCTGGTGCGCTGCACCCACTAACGTGTCATCTAGCATTAGGTATATCTCCCAATGCTATCCCTCCCCCCTCCCCCGACCCCACCACAGTCCCCAGAGTGTGATATTCCCCTTCCTGTGTCCATGTGATCTCATTGTTCAATTCCCACCTATGAGTGAGAATATGCGGTGTTTGGTTTTTTGTTCTTGCGATAGTTTACTGAGAATGATGGTTTCCAATTTCATCCATGTCCCTACAAAGGACATGAACTCATCATTTTTTATGGCTGCATAGTATTCCATGGTGTATATGTGCCACATTTTCTTAATCCAGTCTATCATTGTTGGACATTTGGGTTGGTTCCAAGTCTTTGCTATTGTGGATAGTGCCGCAATAAACATACGTGTGCATGTGTCTTTATAGCAGCATGATTTATAGTCCTTTGGGTATATACCCAGTAATGGGATGGCTGGGTCAAATGGTATTTCTAGTTCTAGATCCCTGAGGAATCGCCACACTGACTTCCACAATGGTTGAACTAGTTTACAGTCCCACCAACAGTGTAAAAGTGTTCCTATTTCTCCACATCCTCTCCAGCACCTGTTATTTCCTGACTTTTTAATGATTGCCTTTCTAACTGGTGTGAGATGATATCTCATAGTGGTTTTGATTTGCATTTCTCTGATGGCCAGTGATGATGAGCATTTCTTCATGTGTTTTTTGGCTGCATAAATGTCTTCTTTTGAGAAGTTTCTGTTCATGTCCTTCACCCACTTTTTGATGGGGTTGTTTGTTTTTTTCTTGTAAATTTGTTTGAGTTCATTGTAGATTCTGGATATTAGCCCTTTGTCAGATGAGTAGGTTGCGAAAATTTTCTCCCATGTTGTAGGTTGCCTGTTCACTCTGATGGTAGTTTCTTTTGCTGTGCAGAAGCTCTTTAGTTTAATTAGATCCCATTTGTCAATTTTGGCTTTTGTTGCCATTGCTTTTGGTGTTTTGGACATGAAGTCCTTGCCCACGCCTATGTCCTGAATGGTAATGCCTAGGTTTTCTTCTAGGGTTTTTATGGTTTTAGGTCTAACGTTTAAATCTTTAATCCATCTTGAATTGATTTTTGTATAAGGTGTAAGGAAGGGATCCAGTTTCAGCTTTCTACATATGGCTAGCCAGTTTTCCCAGCACCATTTATTAAATCGGGAATCCTTTCCCCATTGCTTGTTTTTCTCAGGTTTGTCAAAGATCAGATAGTTGTAGATATGTGGCATTATTTCTGAGGGCTCTGTTCTGTTCCATTGATCTATATCTCTGTTTTGGTACCAGTACCATGCTGTTTTGGTTACTGTAGCCTTGTAGTATAGTTTGAAGTCAGGGAGTGTGATGCCTCCAGCTTTGTTCTTTTGGCTTAGGATTGACTTGGTGATGCGGGCTCTTTTTTGGTTCCATATGAACTTTAAAGTAGTTTTTTCCAATTCTGTGAAGAAAGTCATTGGTAGCTTGATGGGGATGGCATTGAATCTGTAAATTACCTTGGGCAGTATGGCCATTTTCACGATATTGATTCTTCCTACCCATGAGCATGGAATGTTCTTCCATTTGTTTGTGTCCTCTTTTATTTCCTTGAGCAGTGGTTTGTAGTTCTCCTTGAAGAGGTCCTTCACATCCCTTGTAAGTTGGATTCCTATGTATTTTATTCTCTTTGAAGCAGTTGTGAATGGGAGTTCACTCATGATTTGGCTCTCTGTTTGTCTGTTGTTGGTGTATAAGAATGCTTGTGATTTTTGTACATTGATTTTGTATCCTGAGACTTTGCTGAAGTTGCTTATCAGCTTAAGGAGATTTTGGGCTGAGACGATGGGGTTTTCTAGATAAACAATCATGTCGTCTGCAAACAGGGACAATTTGACTTCCTCTTTTCCTAATTGAATACCCTTTATTTCCTTCTCCTGCCTGATTGCCCTGGCCAGAACTTCCAACACTATGTTGAATAGGAGCGGTGAGAGAGGGCATCCCTGTCTTGTGCCAGTTTTCAAAGGGAATGCTTCCAGTTTTTGCCCATTCAGTATGATATTGGCTGTGGGTTTGTCATAGATAGCTCTTATTATTTTGAAATACGTCCCATCAATACCTAATTTATTGAGAGTTTTTAGCATGAAGGGTTGTTGAATTTTGTCAAAGGCTTTTTCTGCATCTATGGAGATAATCATGTGGTTTTTGTCTTTGGCTCTGTTTATATGCTGGATTACATTTATTGATTTGCGTATATTGAACCAGCCTTGCATCCCAGGGATGAAGCCCACTTGATCATGGTGGATAAGCTTTTTGATGTGCTGCTGGATTCGGTTTGCCAGTATTTTATTGAGGATTTTTGCATCAATGTTCATCAAGGATATTGGTCTAAAATTCTCTTTTTTGGTTGTGTCTCTGCCCGGCTTTGGTATCAGAATGATGCTGGCCTCATAAAATGAGTTAGGGAGGATTCCCTCTTTTTCTATTGATTGGAATAGTTTCAGAAGGAATGGTACCAGTTCCTCCTTGTACCTCTGGTAGAATTCGGCTGTGAATCCATCTGGTCCTGGACTCTTTTTGGTTGGTAAACTATTGATTATTGCCACAATTTCAGAGCCTGTTATTGGTCTATTCAGAGATTCAACTTCTTCCTGGTTTAGTCTTGGGAGAGTGTATGTGTCGAGGAATTTATCCATTTCTTCTAGATTTTCTAGTTTATTTGCGTAGAGGTGTTTGTAGTATTCTCTGATGGTAGTTTGTATTTCTGTGGGATCGGTGGTGATATCCCCTTTATCCTTTTTTATTGTGTCTATTTGATTCTTCTCTCTTTTTTTCTTTATTAGTCTTGCTAGCGGTCTATCAATTTTGTTGATCCTTTCAAAAAACCAGCTCCTGGATTCATTGATTTTTTGAAGGGTTTTTTGTGTCTCTATTTCCTTCAGATCTGCTCTGATTTTAGTTATTTCTTGCCTTCTGCTAGCTTTTGAATGTGTTTGCTCTTGCTTTTCTAGTTCTTTTAATTGTGATGTTAGGGTGTCAATTTTGGATCTTTCCTGCTTTCTCTTGTAGGCATTTAGTGCTATAAATTTCCCTCTACACACTGCTTTGAATGCGTCCCAGAGATTCTGGTATGTGGTGTCTTAAGTGGTTGCTCTGAAGGACTAAGCTGATCAACAGCGGCGATTCTCTAGCATCCCTCTGCTGAAAATATTGGCTCCAGTATTCAGCCGCCTTGGTTGACTCAGGGAAGGATGGTTTGCTTCTCAATGGACAGAGGAAGTTTCTCTGAGGAGGGTATGGATGGGCCTGCTGCCCTTTGGCCATCACAGTACACAGTGTCCCAGAAAGAAACTCTCCTTCTTAGGTTAGAAAACAGCAAATGAAGGGGGCAAATCTGGGCTGCTCTTGTTCTATCTGAAGTGTTCAGTAACGTGTTACCTGTACTATAGACCTGCAGCAAAAATGGGTAGAATTTATGAAGCGTCTCTTCTAGGCCATGTGCCTCTTTGCCAAAAGTGGTTCCACCTGGGTGTCAATCAACAATTTTGATTGAGATGATGACTCTGATGTTGCAGAGGAGGCAACTGTGGTTCAAAAGCCCTGGGGGTTGGCTCTGTAGGGATGCTGCAGGAAGAGGTGTGTGTGCCATTGGTCATTGAGGGGTTTAGTCAGGGACTGCTGAGACAGTTTATCATTAAGTGAGAATACCCCCCAAACCCTTTCTGAATTCCCCGGCCGGTGAAATACGTTAAAGAAGACATCTTTAAGCATCATCATTAAGAATTATAATTAAGATTGTACACTTTTCTTTCAGAGCCTTTGCTAGTATTGTAAGAAATACTCTGCCAAATCAAGATAGTCTGTCTTTTTCTTATTGGCTTTGACGGTCCTGAGCTTTCGGGTTGACTTGCACATCCTGGGGGCCTGGGCGCCTCTCATCTGCAGCAGCACACTGGGCCGGGCACGGGTGCCTTTGACTTTTAAGGGCTGGGCCATGTACTCTGTTCGTCTGTTTCTCCATAGACCCTCTTTTGGTCAGGGGCTACGCCTCTCAGCCAGTGCACCAGCTGACTTACTGTGGAACTAAGAGCGATCCCTAAGAGCCTCCTTTTCTTTTCTGACCAGTGTACCTGAAGTGGAAGCACTGCGAGACGCCAGGCGTGAAGACCCTGTGTAATCTGAAGCACTGCGAGACGCCAGGAGTGAAGACCCTGTGTAATCTGAAGAAACTTCTGAATCGGCTTCAGAAAGACCACCGGGAGGACGTCTACCTCTACATCTCTGGACACCTGAACCCCAACAAGCTCTACCAGCCTCCGGAGACGATCTTACAGCACTGGCCCAATGCCCACCGGCCCAAGGGGGAGCGCGCCTCTGAGGTGGGAGAGCCGCCCGCAGGGAAGGTGGCGAGGATGAAGGAGGCCCTGGCCCACTTCACCATCCACACGGCCCTGGTCCCCAGTGAGGCCCAGGACACCCCGCTGTTCAGGTACCTGAACCCCCAGGCCTCTCTTTCCCACACTTCAGAGGAGGATTTCCTTCCAGTGGAGGCTGTCAGAGAGGGGAAGGAAGAAAAGAAAGGAGGCCCTCCTGGACGGGGCCCTCCTGGATGGCGCAGGAGGGAAGAACTCCGGCTGCCCGACTTGAAGGTGCTGTGCTACCAGGAGGCCGGGTCCAGAGGCACCAGGGACCGGCACCACTATGTCAGCTCCTACCTGGCCGGAGCCACCAGCGCAGACAGGTACAGGATGTTCCTGCGTTTCCAGAAGGAAGTGCTCGCCAAGCAAGATCTCCTGAAGAATGACTTCACTGGGAGCAAGGCGGCCGCGGGCCACGAGAGAAAGCTGCAGCAGGTGAGGAGGGCAGCCCTGCGGTGGTCTCAGGGAAGAGCTCTCAGGGCATAGCTCTCGGTGCAGTGCTCTCAGGGCACAGCTCTGGGGCAAACCTCTCGGGGCAGAGCTCCGGGGCATAGCTCTTGGGGCAGTGTTCTCGGTGCAGACCTCGCGGTGCAGTGCTCTCTGTGCAGTGCTCTCGGTGCAGTGTTCTCGGTGCAGTGCTCTTGGTGCAGCCTCTGGGTGCAGTGCTCTCTGTGCAGTGCTCTCGGTGCAGTGTTCTCGGTGCAGTGCTCTTGGTGCAGCCTCTGGGCGCAGTGCTCTGGGTCAGGGACAGCCACGACGGTGAGCTGAGAGGCTCGTCCTCTGAGGCTTCCCGGATACGTCCAGGCAGGATGCAGCACTGTACCAGGTGCCGAGAGCATTAGCACCTTCAATGGGGACAGTTTGGGTGAAATGAAGGAGGGCGCCTTCTGGGAACTGGTCAGCTGGGGGAGGCCCATAGCGGACGCATTGGAGGCCATGTGGCTGCAACAGTAAATCAGATGTTCGTAGGTCAGCAGAGGGGTCTGAGAGAGGGCTTGCCTGGCTGACGGTGGAAGAACCGTGAGGGCAGAGGGAGAGCTGATGGGCACTGTCACGCCCTGAGGTATGCCCAGGCAGCACATGTGTACAGAAGATCTACGGTAGGCTGCCGACTCAGAGGAGAACAGCTGACTGGAGGCATCACCTCCAAATGGGGACGATGCACGAAAGAGAAGAAAATAGCAGGCCCCCAGGAAGCAGCCAGGCCTTGGGGTTGGAAGAGAGAAAGGGCCTTTGGGGACTGTGGAGGCGGAGAGTGAATGCTTGAGCACGGGGAGCAAGGGAGTCAATAAAGAAGAAAAGATTTTTTTAAAAAAATCCCACATCTTGGGTGACCAGGGAAACAAAGAAGCTCAGCAACTGGTGGGAGGGATCAGAACCCCCGAGACTGGCCCCCTGTGCCGCCCCGCCCACTCGCCAGGGTGATGGCAGCTGTGTCCTCACTGACTCCTGAGAAATTCGGTTCTGGAAGAAAGATGAAGCCACCCTGAAATGGGCTGACTCTGTTTTTCCTCCAGGAGCTCCAGAAAATTTGCACGTGCAGCCCCCAGCAGTTCAACAGACTGCACGTCTTTGGAAAAGTCTTTGAAGATATTTGTAACAGTTCTTTGATATTTGGTGATCTCTTGAAAAAAGTTAAGGTAAGAAACATACATCTTCAGCATAACAGTTGAGAAGCTTGCATGAGGTTCTGTGTACAAGAATGATCTCAAGCCGCACTGAAATTCTGCTAGGTATCACAGGCCCCCTTCTACAGACAGGGACCATCACTCCCAGAGACTCGAGGTCATCTGCCTGCAGGCACGTAAATTGTAAGGGGCCATGTGGAATCAACACCCAGTTAACTCATTCCTCAAACCCATATTTTCCCACTAAAGCTTCCTAATTATGCATAACCGTTTATAAATTTTATATAACTTAATTATAATTCTAATAAATTAATAATTTAACTTTACATGTGTAATGTTATTTGAATCCTTATGGAATTATAGGTTTGTTGCAATTTCATGATGAAAGTGATTTTTGGGTGCTGTGGCTCATGCCTGTAATCCTAGCACTTTGAGAGGCTGATGCAGGCAGATCACTTTAGGTCAGGAGTTCAAGACCAGCCTGGCCAACATGGTGAAACCCCATCTCTTCTAAAAATACAAAAATTAGCTGGGCGTGGTGGCACATGCCTATAATCCCAGCTACTCAGAGGCTGAGGCAGGAGAATCGCTTGAACCGGGAGGCAGAGATTGCCTCAATATTTTATATTTTATTGTATGGTATTTTATGATATTCTGAGGTAATCAATACTTAATGCTCAAATATGCTTCAAAGATGGTGTGATTTTATCAATGTGAGCATGTATACCGTTTAATGCATTGTGGGAACATTTTATATTTTTCTGAAATGATCTAAATGAACATTCTTGACTTCCGTATTATTTATACACGTGAAACACCTGCACTGTGGCCTCCTCATACATGGCCAGTGGACTTTTGTTTGTTTCTGTACAGGATGAATATGAACTCTACATGGCAACGCTCCTGGAGTCCCAGCCTGCAGCACAGTACGAGGTGACGATCGATCACAAAGAGCCTGAATAGAGCCTGCTTATCCATAGCTTCATATTTCATGAGCAGTGGAAACCTTTCTGAATCCAAGAAGCCCCATGTGTGCCCCATAATTTAGAATAGCTGATATGTTCTTTGTTATAGATGAGTTTTATACTGCCTTAATAACATTATTGATAAAGAACTTTCCTTTTGATTGGCATAGCATTATTTATACTCCCAAACAAGCGACATAACTATCTATGTATAAATTGGGAATATAAATGGTTCTCTTCCAGTAATTTCCAAAAACCACTGTCCAGCCATTGTCCTGGCGAAATCACTGAGAATGCATTGTGATGGCTGGTGTGCTGTAAGCTGACTCAAACCCCATGATCTCTTTGTTTAACGGGTGACAGCGTTCCAGGTGTTCCCTTCCAGGGTCGGGTTAAACATGTGATTGGTCAAATAAGAAAATATACTGCAGGAATAACTTTATCACTTATAAAACCTAAGAAAATCTAACACTGTAGCTAAGATAGCTAAGATAACTTTGGTATTTTGAATTCAATACACTTTAAAGATTAATTTTACTTCATAAATTAGGAAAGATAGTTGCTTCTTTTATACATGAGCAAAAGATCACAGCATTGCAAGGAGATCAGTTCTAGTTTGCTTCTTCATGTAAAATAAGATGTGAGTACCATTTTCTTTGTGCTGAGCCTTTTCATAACACAGAAGCAGCCTTTGTCTTCACAAGAATGAGCAAAGCCTCCAGTGGGGAATTTACCTTGTTCCTTACGTTTTGAGATTGAGTCATAAGTGGCATACGTCCCTATCTCGGTCAAATGTGAGCATGAAAAAATTCCCAGGCCAGCAGGGCCCTGGATGCCTCTTTCTGTGTCTGTAACCCTGGCAACCCATCCCCTAAGAAGCAGAGATCTCTGTTGCTCCCCATTTGAGCACAGCACTGCTTTACATCTGCGGATGGCAAGCACATTCACATGGCTTCTCATTCACCTAGAGGAAACGATTGCGGTGCCACTGACAATGTGCCTCCAGGACTTTATCCAGTATGTCCTTCCCCCCACACGGGCCAACAGGGAAATTCCCTACCATCTTTCCATTTCTTAGAAAAATAAACTTTTAACATATTGAAAAAGGTATTTTACCGGGAACTTCACTGATGGGCCATCCCTCCCCCAACGGCCCTCCCTCCCTTAAATCCTCCCAATTTACCTATTTTAACTAGAACTTATATGTTAACCCAGGGCACCTTGAAAACGCATTAATGACAAATAAGAAAGGGAGTCCTCCCGCCCTCCCTGTGTGCTTGTCTCACCTCATGTACCTGGTCCTGCCTAGGCTCTTCTGGCTCAACTCAAGGCGCTGGGGCAGAGGCCGGTGAAGACGGCGGACATGGATCTCGCCAGGGAAGAGCTGAGGATGCTCGTGACAGCCACAAAAGCAGCCCTGGAGCAGAATGATAGGTGAGGCATGAGGGACGGATCTGATCTATGTTTAGATTCTTCCGTAACAAGGTCTGAAACCGCTGTGACAAGCCTACGGTTACATTGATTTCTGCGTTGCTGAAAACATGCTACTTTTGCTAATATCATGCCTGTCATCTGGCTATTTCTACAGGCCATCACCTATGTGACTAAGACATTCTGCTAAGTATGGTGTGTCCATGGGGGGAGTTTGGGCAGGTTTCTCAAGGAATTGCCTGTCTTTTCTGGTGGTCCCCTGAAGACTGACTGATAGGCGAGAGGGCTGCAGATCTAAGACACCTTATATGAATGCCCCTATTGTTTTTTAACTTACAAAGCTCTTCTAATATAACCTCTCTGTATCATTTTCCGGGGTCGAATAACAATTGGATAGGGCATACTCTTTGTATGATTTGAAAAAAGATTAAAGGAAATCTGCAACATCCAAAATATCTTCAAGAGCATGAAACAAGAAACAAAACCAAAAAACAAAATTTGGCTTCTAGTGTAACCAGAAGACAGAGAACTGTTGTATTTGTTGTTCCAATTTGTTCTTCTTTTTTTTTTTTTTTTTTAATGGAGACTTGCTCTGTCGCCCAGGCTGGAGTGCAGTGGGGTGATCTCAGTTCATTGCAACTTCCATCTCCCGGGTTCAAGCCTCCTGAGTAGCTGGGATTACAGGTGTGTACCACCACGCCCGGCTAATTTTTGTATTTTTAGTAGAGACAGGGTTTCACTGTGTTGGCCAGTCTGGTCTTGAACTCCTGACCTCAAGTGATCCACCCATCTCGGCCTCCCAAAGTGCTGGGATTACAGGCATGAGCTACCACACCTGGCCTCCAATTTGGTCTTAAGGTCTCTCTCACAAGGGTGGCTATGAACTCTAGCCCTCCCCTGATGGAGCTTTGGGGGCTGGTGGAGGATATTCTCAGGGTACCCTTCATGGGATGTGTCTTCATCCTGGCCTTCAGGCTTAATGTCCAAGTGTCTGACCTGTGACCAGATATTCCTCTCACAAGAAACCCGACTATACTGGCAGAAGCCCTCGTGGTTGTTGTCTGGTGTGTATCTAGTTTATTCCTACCAAGATAGCCAGTCTCTAGGGGAGCCCTGGCTGGTAAAAGGTGACATTCAAGTGTGTCCATCAGGTGAGGCACAGAGAAGGCCACAGAACAAAGCACATTAAATAGCAGATTTGTTACTTACGGATCCCAGAGAAAAGAAGGCAGCGTACCTCTCAGGGGTGGTAGGAAGTGGGGAGCTGCCTGAAACACACTCGCTCCACCAGCAGGTAGGGGAGCAAGAGAGAGAGTGAGGACCGATGGACCAAGTCTTTTGTTTGGGTCCAGAGCGGGACCCAAGCGGGTTTTCCATGGGGAATTCTGATCGGTGGGTTTAGGGCAAGAAGGCACGAGTTCTGTGGGGTCACACTGTGATGGAGAGTGCTTTCTGGGTCACTGCAGCATATTCTCATGGCCCCTACAGGGTGCGGGGTCAGTGGGTTGAGGAAAGTAGGTTGTATTTAGCTGTCTCATAGTGGGTGATCCCTGGGAGGTGGTTGTTTAAGGCAGATATCTGAACTGACCATTTTGAGGCACTGGGAGGAGGAGAAGCACGAGAAACTGTGTCAAGCAATGGTGACTGAGCCCTGCTTCTGGAGTGAGAAAATTAAACTTCTGTTCAAAGTGAATGCCAAGGCAAAAAAAAAAAAAAAAAAAAAAAAAAACAAAAAACGAAAACAACAACAACAACAACAAAAAACTGAATTCATTGCAAATGCATCCAAAGTTTAAAAATGACTGAAAATAGGAAAGAAAACATTCAGTGGCAGTGAACCAGTTGCCATGTTCCTGCTGCAAAGCTTTGTTTGTGAGAGCAAGTGAGGTTTTGGGAAAAGTTCATGGAAGAGAGAACAGTGGAGATAGATGGAGGCCTAAAATTGTTCCAAAGCCACTTCCAGAGAGAGAATCCACATAAGTGAGAAAGCCACACAACTGTCCTGCTGGGCTGATGGCAGCATTGACTATGATGGCAGGGGTGTGGTGGTGGGGGTGTGGTGGGGTGGGGTTACTTGGGAGAGGGTAGAAGTGAGAAGACAACTTTGAAATGGTAATAATACATGTGAGAAGGGGGTTAAGGGAAAGGGAGCAGCATCCTTTAGAAATGTCCAGTGAAGGCAATAGGGAGCAAGAAAGGAAAGTTTAGAAACCTATAAAAAGGAAAATCAGGGTGCACACAACCCTTCCACATACTGTCCTTTTCCCCTCTAAACAAGCAAGGTATCCAGGACTATAGAAGGAAATCAAAACAACACCGAAAAAAAAAAACAATAAATCAATAATAAAATAGTATAAATTGCTACACTGACGGAAAAGTATCCATTTGAATTAGCAATCTCACATACTACTCCAAATCACTAGTCCAGCTGGCAAAAATGCAGAGGTGTAAACAATCTTTGTCTATACAAACTACTATGAGAAAAGAACAGAAAATGAGAATCCAAATGATTTACCTGATGAAAGTCCCTGCCTTACCAAGGAATAGTAATAATAAAGTTGAACAAGAAGAAAACTGTAGCACAGCACTCCAAGCTAAATTACATGTTCCCAAAGAGCATTTCAGGACATGAAAACAATCTTGAGTCATAAATTTAAAAACTAAGGAGAGAAATCAACAACAATAAAGAAGAAATAAAACAAGATAAAAACCGAGGAAAAAATAGTTGAAAAAGTCAAAATTATATCATAGGTCAAGACTAAATTCTGAAATACCCAAGGAAGAATAGTTTTGAATGAAAACATAATAGGCATTGGGAAAAAGTAGAAAAATATTTAAAAGAATGTAAATGAGATACAGAAATCAAAAGTCAGAAAAAGTAGATGAAATAGAACATAAGCAAATAATGTCCAATTCACGTATAATTAAAGTCCCTGAAGAAGAAAAACAAAGCAATAGAACAAAAACCTAAGTAATATTTAAAACTATAATATGTAAAAATTTTCTGGAAATAAAACTTTCTTACTACATATATTGAAAAGACTTTCATCATTATTATTAATCCATTGAATCCCCAGTTTCTTAAATTTTTTTCTTTGAGACAGGGTCTTGCTCTGTTGCCCAGGCTGGAGTGTAGTGGCATGATCATGGCTCACTGCAGCTTCAACCTCTCAGGTGCAAGAGATCCTCCTACTTCAGCCTCCCAAGTAGCTGGGACCACAGGCACCACACCTGACTAATTTTTGTATTATTTTTAAGTAGAGCTGGGGTTTCACCATGTTGCCCAAGCTGGTCTCCAACTCCTAGGTTCAAGTGATCCACCTGCTTTGGCCATTCAAAGTGCTGGGATTACAGGCATGAGTCACCACACCTGGCTCCAGTTTCTTAAAATTGAGGGTCATAATAACCACCCTATTTCTCTCTTAATCTGTGATGAAAAGAACTAACATGTGTAAAACTCTTAAAATGTTAGGCCCTTTGTAGACATTTGGCTTTAAATTATTTGCATGTGGATGTTTTAAATCAAATCACAGTGTTGTCCTCAAAATATGTAATACCTGTTAGACTCCTTTTTGTTTTCTCTTTAAATCTATAAAACATAAGATAGCTGATGTAGGTTACTCTGAACCAAGCAGAGGAAACAAGGAGGTTTTTTTCTGTTTTTTAAAGTTTCTTGTATTATTTACTTATTTATTTACTTTTTTTTTTTTTGTTTTTTTTTTTTTGCTTTTTTAAAGACGGAGTCTGGCTCTGTCTCCCAGGCTGGAGTGCAGTGGCATGATCTCGGCTCACTGCAACCTCTGCCTCCCGGGTTCATGCCATTCTCCTGCCTCAGCCTCCCAAGTAGCTGGGACTACAGGCACCCACCACCACACCCAGCTAATTTTTTGTATTTTCAGTGGAGATGGGGTTTCACCGTGTTAGCCAGGATGGTCTCCATTTCCTGACCTCGTGATCTGCCCGCCTCAGCCTCCCAAAGTGCTGAGATTACAGGCATGAGCCACCATGCCCGGCCTCTTGTATTTTATTTTTAATTTAAACATAGTGAAATTTGTAAATCGTATCTGTTGCACAGAATAATAATACACAGGAAAGATGCCGTGTATTTCAGCATCAGGAAAGTCTTTCCATAGCCCTTAACATGTTGTTTGCCTCTGAGTGTAAAATGCTACGTTTTTTTAAATTATCTTTTTTAAATTTTTTTTGCCTTCTTCCTTCTTAGCAATTGCATTAACAAAAAATACCAATAAATTCTACAGGAAATCATTTATTTTAAATTAACTAACTCTTTAAAGGCTTATGCAATCTTGGTAAGACAGTATTATTTTGTTTAACTTGACTGATTTAGGCTGTCATTTAATAAATATCTTCAGAGTATCTGTCGTGTTAAAAGTAAGCAGATCTATTTTAATTTCTCAACTGTAAGAGACTTGTGGTGTAACCCAGACAAAAGACAAAAGATATAATGGGGATCTAATATTTCCCTATTGTTTATCCTCACATTGTAGACTCAGAAGTGAACTGGAGATGGAGGTGGCATTGCTGCAGTCTGCAAAGGAACGATCAGGCAGGTGTCTGTGTGATGTCCTTCCTTATGGGTGCTTTGCTGTGACCTTCATTATTTCAGCTGCTGCAGTGTGGCTGCCTGTCTGTCAACTTGGAAGATGCTGATGCTCCCTCTGAGTTTTGTTGCGAGAATTCAACATATTCACCCACATCACCCAAGATCACAGGGCCTGGCACGTGGTGGTGACTGCCTGTTTGTTCTTCATCTTTTCATTATTACATGTGAGGAAAAATACGCATTTCATGAGGAATTAATTGCATTTTATGAATATTTTATGAAATAGATATTAACATTTTACAAAATAGATATTAAAATTATTTTGAATGTATACAATTTAGAATGCAATTATATGATAAAAATAAGTTTAAGTATCTTGCTCATTAACTTTGACTGTTTTCCAACTTTAAATGAAATGCCATTTTCCCTCCAAGTTTGTTAAACACTCACTCATACTCTGTTTTTAGATACTTTTTCTCAGCGTCTGGTAGGATATGCTCACAGGACTATCCTGTTTTGAATTCTTAGTAGAGCTTGGCCTCGAAGATCCTTGCCAGAGTGCTTTTACCGCCTTTTTCCCCCTGCTGCCTGTTTCCTCTTTTCTACCTATGAGCAGCACGGGTGCTGTTAACACTGCTGGATCCTGCACAGGTTTCTTGTCGCCTGATTTGCATCCCCTTGTCCCGCCTGTTCTCTGTCCCAGGCTGACTCTGCTTCTCCTTCCATCCCTTCTCAGGGCTCAGAGGTCACCTGCTTCCCTCCTTCTTCCACCACGTTGTTCGTTCTTTGTAGAGTTCCTCTCACAGACGTGAAATAGGACCCATGCTTGGTGTTTTCTGTTTCCTTGCTTTCTCTTAAAACAGGCCCACGATTTAAAAACAAAACAAAAAAACAAAAAAGCAGAAACTTAAGGGCTTTACTTTACTGCTAGCCACTAATAAAAAAATGGCAAAGATTAATAAAAATAAGATGCAGTGACGAACTTTCCAGAGCTCTAGTAATCTTTCTTCGTGTTTGATCCTAGCCCACTGTTCCCATCACCCTTTCATTGCGATGGAACAAACCTGGTGCCCCTGGTTCTTCCTGCTTTATTATTTTCCCAAAGCTTTCTATCTCAGGAGCCTGCTCCTCCAATCATACACATTTGCTGTGGAATGTCCCCATTTTCATACCTCAGTCTTTCCCTATAGTTATGTCTTGAGGGTAGAAAAGGGTGAGGTGGAGGTCATTCCCTGGGCTTGACATTCCTTTTTGCCTCTTTGAACTCAGCTGATGGTTTTGGGCTGAAACCTTCAGCTTAGGTTAAGGCGGAGAACAAATACTTTATTTTGTAGTTTCTTTCAGTTTGTGTAGAAGCTTAACTATGACCATTTCTATCCCCTCAGCTAGCTCATCATGTGCCTACTTAATTTCCCCAAATTTCAAAATTTAATGTCAAAGTTTCTCCTCTTCCAAATTTGGCAAAGTTGAATGATGGCTGTTACTTCCACCTTGTTTACTATCTACCAGGAAGGGTTATTAATATTTCTAACTCTTTTGTTCCCATCGAAAAGTAGTAATTGTTTTTTTCTCAAAAAATTAAGTCTCACCACTCTAATTAGTATATAACTGTGTTGATTGATGACAAATTGGCCTTAGCAGTGGATCACTTGATGTCTCCATTTCCTTTCTGTACTCCTTAAATGTTGATATTCTTTGGAGTCCAGCATCTCTTTGGAAGAGTTAACATTTTTTTAAATTCCAAATCTATTTTACCTGCTAAAAACCCTTCTTTTTTGCTTGAGATCTGTATATCCAAGTGCCTATTAGACGTGGCCTCTTGAGTGTCCCATAGGTATTTCAACATGTCCGAGATTAAACTCATCATCTCCTTCTCTAAATTGGCATCCCCCTGGCTATTTCAATGGATGGTATCACCAAACACATGGAGATGAAAGCCATAGAACATGTGCCAGGCAACTTTCACTCTCCTACCCCTCAACCTCTTCCAACACAGCTTGAAATAAGTGGCCAAGGTGGGATTGAAACCAAGTTCTTTCTTACCTCCATGCTTCATTGAACTCATTGTTTTCTTTCTAGCTACAACTGAGCTAAAACCTAGGGCTTATTTTTGACATTGCCTTCTCTACATTGCCAGATCTAGTCAATTACTAAGGTCTATTTTCTTTTTCTATTTCCTAAATCGTTTTTTGTTGTTGTTGTTGTTCACTTCTCTTCATGCTGGGAGTACTATTCTGATATGGTTTGGCTCCGTGTCCCCACCCAAATCTCATCTTGAATTGTAGCTCCCATAATTCCTATGTGTTGTGGGAGGGACCTGGTGGTAGACAACTGAATCATGAGGACAGTTTCCCCCATACTATTCTCATGGTAGTGAATAAGTTTCACCAGATCTGATGGTTTTATCAGCGGTTTCCCCTTTTGCGTATTTCTCATTCTCTCTTTGGCTGCTGCCATCCATGTAAGATGGAACTTCCTCCTCCTTGCCTTCTGCCATGATTGTGAGGCTTCCCCAGCCACATGGAACTGTAAGTCCAATTAAATCTCTTTTGTTTGTAAATTGCCCAGTCTCAGGTATGTCTTTATCAGCAGCGTGAAACAGACTAATACATACCCTGACCCGATCAACCTGTGTGAATGATTGCCATAGCTTCCCAACAGGTCTTTCTGATTCTAGTCTTGTGCTGTCTGATCCACTTTCAGGACACAATTTCACTGGAGACAGTGATCATTGTCTGATTGTGTCTCTGCCCATATTAAAAGCCCTCAACATCTTTGACCGATTTCTTAACATAGGTCACAAATCTTCTCAGATCTGCCCCCCGTTTCCCTCCTAGGATTGTCCCTCAATGTCTAAATTCTGTCTTCTGCTCCCTTCCAAAACCCTTCTGCTTGTCTAACTTCTCTTTATCCTTTGTATTTCAACCTAGCCACACTTCTCTGGCAAAGTCATCCCTGAGCCTTCCTCCTGCTGTGTCTGATGTTCTTGCTTTGTCTTACCGTTGCACCTTCTGCTCTGCCACTGTCACTTTCTTGTTGTTTCTTGTTGGTCTGCACTGCTAAATCACACACTCTGGAAAGGGCTAATTCACCATTGAACCTTTCTACCTAGCCCAGTGTCTGCACAAAAATGTGTTCAACAAATATGTATTGATTAGAGGAATGAATTAAAGGAGGAATACCCTCATTCTGGGGTCAGATTATTTTTATTGACATGCTTCGAGTTTGAATTATATTTTATAGTTATATATACTATAGCATACATAATATTGTTAATAATACATAATGCTATTAATAATAACTGAGATATTAAACATGGTAATACTTTGTTTTAAAAAATATTTCCAGAATCATCTGAGAAACATATAATTGATGAAAACCGACTTACTCTTACTGAGAAGGTTGAAAAGAAGAGGTGTGAAATACTCAGTAAGTGGGATGAGATACAAGCTCTGGAAAAAGAAATTAAAACAACTTTGGTTCATACTGGAATTTCAGATATCACTGAGAATAGGATTAAAAGCATAGAGGTACGCAACTTATTTATTTAAATATTTACATTATTCTTTTGCTTGAAGACCTTGGCAAACACATGAAGTAATGTGATTTGGTAATAGGGTAAAAAAATCATAAAATTTGGCCCAAATGTACTTTTTATTTCAAAATGTTTGTAGCAAATAATCATAATAATTAAAAGATCTATCAAAATAAGAAAAAAGGAAAGTGATAAAAAAATTCTATAGATTTCTGTTAATAGCCAAAACCTAATTTTTTGAGTAACATGAACATACAGAGTGGAATAATAGCCATTGAAGACTCCAGAATGTGGGAGTGTGGAAGGGGGATGAGGGATGAAATACTACCTACTGGGTACACCGTACACTATTTGGGTGGTGGTACACTAAAGCCCACCATTACACATATATCCATGTAATACAACTGCACTCATACCCCTAAATCCATAAAAGTTAAAAAATTTAAAAACAGAATTTTAAATTGTGTAGAATATAACTCAATGTAACCTCCAGTTGTAGAGTATATAAGAAATACATGATTTTTTTTATTGTGGTTCTATAGTTAAATATATTTTTCCAGCACTACTTTTATTCTCTTTAGCAGAATTATAGAGCATATAGAAAGGTGTTGGTGGTCCAACCTTCTTTATGAAAAAATTATCTCTTTCTCTTTTACAATCATATGTTCGGATGTTCTTTTTTCTTTTTCTTTTTCTTTTTTTTTTTGGAGGGGGGACATGGCTGTGTGCCAATAAAACTTTATTTACAGAAATAGGTGCAGACTGGATTAGTTTTTTGACCCCTGTTTTAGAAGAAAATTATTTAAATATAGAGGAAACGCTATGGTTTACTGTTGTAAGAATGAAATACTACTGGATGAAATAATTGTACTGATTCTAGCCTTATTTTAACAGGCTAAGTTTTTACATTTATTTATTTTATTTTATTTTATTTTTTTCTATTTTAAGTTCCAGGGTACATGTGCAGGATGTGGAGGTTTGTTACACAGGTAAATGTATGCGATGGTGATTTGCTGCACCTATCATCCTATCACCTAGGGATTAAACCCAACATGCATTAGCTATTTTTCCTGATGTTTTACCTCCCTTCACCCTCCTGACAGCCCCCAGTGTGTGTTGTTCCCCTTCCTGTGTCCATGCATTCTCATTGTTCAGCTCCCACTTATAAGTGAGAACACGTGGTGTTTGGTTTTCTGTTCCTGCATTAGTTAGCTGAGGATATTGGCTTCCAGTTCCATCCATACCCCTGCAAAGGACATGCTCTCATTCCTTTTTATGGCTGCATAGTATTCCATGGTGTATATATACCACATTTAAAAAATCTAGCCTATCGTTGATGGGCATTTGGGTTCATTCCATGTCTTTGCTATTGTGAATAGTTCTGCAATGGACATATATGTGCATGTATCTTTATAATAGAATGATTTATATTCCTTTGGGTATATACAAAAGGGATTTGGGTTTGCTGGGTCAAATGGTATTTTGAGTTCTAAATCTTTGAGGAATTGCCACACTGTCTTCCACGATGGTTGAATTAATTTACATTCCTACCAACAGTGTAAAAGCATTCCTATTTCTCCACAACTTTGCCAGCATCTGTTGTATCTTGACTTTTTAACAATTGCCATTCTGACTGGTGTGAGATGGTATCTCATTGTGGTTTTGATTTGCATTTCTCTGATGACCAGTGATGTTGAGCTTTCTTTCATATGCTTGTTGGCCACATGTATGTCTTCTTTTGAGAAGTGTCTGTTCATGTCCTTTGCCCATTTTTTAATGGGGTTGTTTGTTTTTTCTTGTAAATTTGTTCAAGTTCCTTGTAGATTGTGAACATTAGACATTTGCCAGATAAATAGATTGCAGAAATTTTCCCCCATTCTGTGTGTTGTCTGTTTGCTCTGATGATAGTTTCTTTTGCTGTGCAGAACTCTTTAGTTTAATTAGATCCCATTGTCAATTTTTGCTTTTGTTGCAATTGCTTTTCATGTTTTCATCATGAAATCTTTGCCTATGCCTATATCCTGAATGGTATTGCTTAGATTTTCTTCTAGGGTTTTACAGTTTTGGGTTTTACATGTAAGCATTTAACCTATTTTGAGTTATTTTTTGTATAAGGTGTAAGGGAGGGGTCCAGTTTCATTTTTCTGCATATGGCTAGCCAGTTATCCCAGCACTATTTATTAAATAGGGAATCCTTTCCCCATTGCTTGTTTTTGTCAGGTTTGTCAAAGATCAGATGGTTGTAGGCGTGCAGTCTTATTTCTGAGTTCTCTATTCCGTTCCATTTGTCTATATGTCTGTTTTTTGTACCAGTACCATGCTGTTTAGGTCACTGTAGCCTTGTAGTATAGCTTGAAGTCAGGCAGCATGATGCCTCCAGCTTTCTTCTTTTGGCTTAGTGTTGTGTTGGCTATAGGGGATCTTTTTTGTTTCCATATGAAATTTAAAATAGTTTTTTTTTCTAGTAATGTGGAGAATGTCAATGGTAGTTTAATGGGAATAGCATTGAATGTATAAGCTACTTTGGGAAGTATTGCCATTTTCATGATACTGATTCTTCCTATCCATGAGCATGGAATGTTTTTCCATTTATTTGTGTCCTCTCTGATTTCCTTGAGTAGTGGTTTGTAGTTTTCCTTGAAGAGGTATTTCACTTCTCTTGTTGGCTATATTCCTAGATATTTTGTTCTCTTTATGGCAATTGTGAATGGGAGTTCATTCATAATTGGGCTCTCTGCTTGTCTGTTGTTGGTTTACAGGAATGCTTGCAATTTTTGCATATTGATTTTGTATCCTGAGACTTTGCTGAAGTTGCTTATCAGCTTAAGAAGCTTTGGGGCTGAGATGATGGGATTTTCTAGATGTAGAATCATGTCATATGCAAACAGAGACAATTCAACTTCCTCTCTTCCTATTTCAATACCCTTTATTTCTTTCTCTTGCCTGATTGCCCTGGCTAGAACTCCCAATATTATGTTGAATAGGAGTGGTGAGCGAGGGCATTCTTATCTTGTGCATGCCAGTTTTAAAGAGGAATGCTTCCAGCTTTTGCCCAGTCAGTATAATATTGGATGTAGGTTTGTCATAAATGGCTCTTACTATTTTGAGATGTGTTCATCAATACCTAGTTTTTTTGAGAGTTTTAAACATGCAGGGATGTTGAATTTTATAGAAGGCCTTTTCTGTGTCTGTTCAGATAATCATGTGGTTTTTGTCTTTAGTTCTGTTTATGTGATAAATTTTACCGATTTGTGTATGTCAAACCAGTCTTGCATCTTGGGGGTGAAGGCAACTTGATTGTGGTGAATAAGCTTTTAGATGTGCTGCTGTATTCGGTTTGCCAGTATTTTATTGACGATTTTTGCATCAATGTTCATCAGAGGTATTGGCCTGAAGTTTTCCTTTTTTGTTGTATCTTTTCCAGGTTTTGGTACCAGGATGATGCGGGCCTCATAAAATGAGTTAAGGAGTCCCTCCTTTTCAATTGTTTGGAAGCGTTTCAGAAGAAATGGTGCCAGTTCCTGTTTGTACCTCTAGTAGAATTCAGCTGTAAATCCATCTGGTCCTGGGCTTTTTAAAAAAAATTTGTGGACTATTTATTACTGCTTCAATTTCAGAACTCATTATTGGTCTATTCAGGGATTCACTTCTTCCTGGTTCAGTCTTGGGAGGGTGCATGTGTCCAGAAATTTATCCATTTATTCTAGATTTTCTAGTTTATTTGCATAGAGGTGTTTTAGCATTCTTTGATGGTTGTTTGTATTTCTGTGGGGTCAGTGGTGATATTCCCTTTATCATTTTTTATTTTGTCTGTTTGATTCTTCTCTCTTTTCTTCTTTATTAATCTAGCTAGTGGTCTATTTATTTTATTAATTTTTTTTTCAAAAAAACCATCTCCTAGATTCACTGATTTTTTGAAGGTTTTTTTGTGTCTCTATTTCCTTCAGTTCTGCCATGATCTTGATTATTTCCTGTCTTCTCCTTGCTTTGGGGTTTGTTTGCACTTGGTTCTCTAGTTCTTTTAGTTGTGATGTTATATATTGATTTGAGATCTTTCTAGCTTTCTGATGTGGGCATTTAGTGCTATAAATTTCCCTCTAACACTGCTTCAGCTGCATCCCAGAGATTCTGGTATGTTGTCTGTTCTTATTAGTTTCAAAGAGCTTCTTGATTTCTGCCTTAATTTTATTATTTACTCAGGAGTCATTCAGGAGCAGGTTGATCAATTTCCATGTAGTTGTGTGGTTTTGAGTGAGTTTCTTAATCTTGAGTTCTAATTTGATTGCATGTGGTCTGGGAGACTGTTTGTTATTGCTGAGGAGTGTTTTACTTCCAATTATGTGATTGATTTTAGAGTAAGTGCCATGTGGTACTGAGAAGAATGCATATTCTGTTGTTTTGGGATGGAGAGCTCTGTACATATCTATCAGGTCCACTTGATCTGAGCTGATTTCAAGTCGTGAATATCTTTGTTAATTTTCTGTCTCTATGATCTGTTTAATATTGACAGTGGGGTGTTAAAGTCTCCCACTATTATTAGAGACTTTGTAGGTCTCTAAGAACTTGTTTTATGAATCTGGGTGCTCTTATACTGGGTGCATATATATTTAGGATAGTTAGTTCTTCTTGTTCAATTGAACCCTTTACCATTATGTAATGCCATTCTTTGTATTTTTTTATCTTTGTTGGTTTAAAGTGTGTTTTGTCAGAAAGTAGGATTGCAACCCCTGCTTTTTATGATTTCCATTTGCTTGGTAAGTTATCCTCCACTCCTTTATTTTGAGCCTATGTGTGTCTTTGCATGTGATATGCGTCTATTGAATACAGCACACTGATGGGTCTTGACTCTTTATCTAGCTTGCCATTCTGTATCTTTTAATTGGGGCATTTAGCCCATTTACATTTAAGGTTAATATTGTTATATGTGAATTTGATCCTGTCATCATGATGCTAGCTGGTTATTTTGCACACCTGCTAATGTAGTTCCTTCATAGTGTCATTGGTCTGTGTGTTTTTGTAGTGGCTGGTAATGGTTTTTCCTTTCCATGATTAGTGCTTCCTTCAGGAGCTCTTGCAAGGCAGGCCTAGTGGTGACAAATTCCCTCAGCATTTTCTTGTCTGAAAAGGATTTTATTTATCCTTTGCTTATGAAGCTTATTTTGGTTGGTTATGAAATTCTGGGTTGCAAATTATTTTCCTTAAGAATGTTAGGTATTGACCCCCAATCTCTTCTGGCTTGTAAGGTTTCCACTGGGAGGCATGCTGTTAGTCTGATGGATTTCCCTTTCTAGGTGACCTGGGCTTTCTCTCTGGCTACCCTTAACAATTTTTTCCTTCATTTCAACCTTGGAGAATCTGATGATTATGTATATTGGGGTTAATCTTCTCATGGAGTATTTGACTGCAGTTCTCTGGATTTCCTGTATTTGAATGTTGGCCTGTCTTGCTAGGTTGGGGAAGTTCTCCTGGATGAAATACTGAAGTATGTTTTCAAACTTGGTTTCATTCTCCCCATCTCTTTCAAGTACCCCACTCAGTGGTAGTTTCAATATTTTTACATAATCCCATAGTTCTCAGAGGCTTTTTTTATTCCTTTCATTCTTTTTTCTTTAATCTTGTCTGCCTTTTTTCAGCAAGATATTCTTCAAGCTCTGAGATTATTTCCTCCACTTGGTCTATTTGGCTATTGATACTGGTGGTTGCATTGTGAAGTTCTTGAGTTGTGTTTTTCGACTCCATCAGGTCATTTATATTTCTCTCTAAACTGATTATTCTGGATAACAGCTCCTATAATGTTTTATCATGGTTCTTAGTTTCTCTGCACTGGATTAGAACATACTCCTTTAGCTCAGTGAAGTTCGTTATTACCCACCTTCTGAAGTCTAATTCTGTCAGTTCATCCATCTCAGCCTCAGCCCAGTTCTATGCCCTTGCTGGAGAGGTGTTGAGATCATTTGGAGGAGAAGAGGCACTCTGGTTTTTTGAGTTTTCAGTTATTTTGCATTAATTCTTTCTCATCTTCATGCACTTATCTATCTTTGATCTTTGAGAGTGCTGACCTTTGGATGGGGTTTTGGTGAGGTCTCATTTGTTGATGTTTTTCTTGTTGTTGCTTTCTGTTTGTTTGCTTTTTTAACAGGCCCCTCTTCCATAGGGCTGCTGCAGTTTGCTGGGGGTCCACTTCGGACTCTATTCACCTTGGTCCCTCTAGCACCCGGAGGTGTCAGAAATGGAGGCTGCAGAACAGCAAAGATTGCTGCCGACTCCTTCCTCTGGGAGCTTTGTCCCAGAGGAGCACCAACCTGTTTACAACAGAAACGCTTTTGTATAAGGTGTCTGGCGATCCCTGTTGGGAGGTCTCACCCAGTCAGGAGTGCTTAACGAAGCACTCTGACTGCCCCTTGGTGGAGCAGGTGCACTGCGCTTGGGGGAGTCCCCCTTGTGCAGACTGACTAGACTCTTCAGAGCCAGCAGACATTCTGTCTGTAAACCCCTGCTTGGGACCCAAGACCCTGATGGTGTGGGCTCACGAGGGGATCTTCAGATCTGCAGTTTGCACAGATCTGTGGAAAAAGCATGGTTTCCTGGGCAGGGTAACACAATCACTCACTGCCTCCCTTGGCTGGGAGCGGAAGGTCCCCTTGCGGCTCCCAGGTGGGCCATCTCTTCACCCTGCTTTTTCTTGCTCTCTGTGGGTCGTGCCAACCCCCTAGTCAGTCCCAGTGAGAGAACCTGGATACTTCAGTTGAAGGTGTAGGATTCACTTGCCATTTTCGTTCTTCTCTGTGGGAGCTGCTGACAGCAGCTGCTTCTAGTCGGCCATCTTGGCCCCTCCCTGCAGATTTTCTTCGCGGTTTTTGTTTAGGGTTTGATCTCCTTTATTTCTTTCAGAAAATAAATGTCCTCAGGACAAGCATCAATTTATAATTGCATTTTAAAACAGTAATGGGTTCTAAATTTAAATATTGAAGCATGATATAATGTCAGAACAATGTAAACTATTCTTTCATAATTAAAACCTCCTTAGATAAAACAAGTCTAAGAAATAGAAAACTCCCTATGAAGATTCCATATCACTAATTTATATTACTTTAACTACTTCTTATTTATATTTGGCTGCTTAATTCAAATACTGGAAAATACAATAGAATTGCCATTGTTATTCTATTATGTAATTGGTATCTGGTTCTAGATTTCAAATAGACTATTTCCAACCAGGAAAAAAAAAAAAAAGAGCTGAATGTATTGAGGATTTACAATGTATCAGACACTTTTATGAACATTTAAAAAATATAATTTCATTTAATTTGCAGCAACCCTAACAGGTAGCTGCTATTATTAATCCTCTTTTTGAAGTACAGAAATGAAGCACTAATATGCTAAGTAACTTGATTGAGGTCACAGTTAGCAAGCAGTAGACTTAATATTGAAACTCAGGCTTGGTTCTTAATGATACCCCATGCAGCCTAACTACTAAAATTGCTAATACTTTTCAACATATGTAATATCTGAAAGAGCAAGTCTTTATACCCTCTGCCCATCATTATTTTGTTCACAGTTATCCTGAATACTTTCATTAACACTATTGATTAATTTTTGAAGTTCTAATAATAATACTTTTGGTATTTTGAATTTATAAATGCATTTGGGAGAAAGTGACAGCTTTACAATATTAATACTCCTATCTGGGATTATTTTATACTTACTTAATGTATTTTTATAACTTGGTGAAAGATAATTATGTTTGTTCTTATGAGTTTATGGGATGTATTACTATTATAACTGGTAATTTAAAAATTTCCCCTTACAGTTTATAATCAGTTATTGCTGATATATATGTGATTTATTGATATTTGTATTTTTATATTTTTCCAGCCCCCTTAACAAATTCTATCATTAGTTCTGAAAAGTGAAGAACCCTTCACTTCTGGAATTTCCCTAAAATTTTCTGATATTTTGAAACATCAATTTCCTCCTCTCCTAGTTTTTTACCGGGAGGACCAGGATCTTTCCTTCTCATTAATTGTCCTTCATTTTATGCTTTGTTTCTTCATCTGTTTTTAAGTAATGTGCTATTGAGTACTCTTGAAATTATAATATCATTCACATAATCTTGTTAAATAGAGAAAAATAATTAACAAATATTTTTAACCAAGTATATTGTGTTTAAAACAACTTCTCTTCCAGCATGAAGCTATACAATTGGAAACAGAAAATATGATTTTAAAGAAGAAAATAAAAGTAAGTTTTTTGTGTGAATCAATGTTTATCAATAAAAATATTTCCTCTGGTGACTGCTTGTCCTGTGTAATAAGCATGACCAACTGATCGTAATTCTTTGTAGGTTACTGAAAACCATGTGAAGCAGATCATAGGAAAGATCAGTGAAGAGAGGCAGGAGTAAGTATTGACATCATGATAAAAGAACTAGAGCAGTATCATGCTGTTCTCAAGATCAGTTATTTAAAACTAGATTAGACTAGATAGACCTTTGAAGGGTTCACACTCATGAATGCTTACATTAAATACACATGTTGCATTCTTTTCTGTGCTTTGGAATGCTCAGTCTAAGATTTAGACCTCAATCTGTACACTTTATTTAGTCATATATAAATGAATTTATTGGATAAAGCTGGAGGTGAGGGTGAATTCACATGGGCAGGAATCAGGAACGTGGGAAGGCATGGCTTTATTTTCTCCAATTATATGGCTTTTAGTGATGTTAAATCTTTGAAAACTCCTATGCATATATTACTCTGAAAATTCTAGTTTAAAAAGTAAGTAGCTGATTTATATCATTTGTTTATAACTAAACTTATTGGTATAAACATTATTATTTACATTATAAGCTTATACTTCGCACAGTTACTTTTCTTTGAGTTGGTACTATAGTTTGAATCTCAGAATGTGGTATTATTAAGAGCAATGGAAAACCATATGATGATTTAAATAGGGAAAGGCTTATTTGTATCAACAGGAAAAAGATTTTTAGGTGTAGGTGGCTTGGGCTCAATGACATCATTAAGGAACTAGGGCTCCTCACCTTTCTTCCCTGCTTTCCTTTGAGTGTGGCTGCTGCCTCCTCGGGGTCTCAATATGGCTGCCTTCAGGCATTAACTGGGTCCGCATTCCATGGATTAAGAAAGGGAAATGTGAATGACAGATGGCAAAGAGCTTCTCATTTTGAGGCTTTCCATTTTATTCAGGAAGGACAGTTCTTTCTAGGTGCTCCTACCCACATCTCATTGGCCAGCACCATGGGCCAAGGTCACTCTCAGCCGTAAGAGAGGCCAGAACATAGAGCACCCCACTCTCCAGCTTATGGGGCAGAAAAAGCCATGGGAGAAAGGGATTGGATAGAGTGCTGAGCAAGCCATACAGGTGGATCTAGGTTTTGTGGTTCCTTATATCATGTTGGGTGTTCTTAAAAAGAGGGAATAGAGTTACAAATACAAAACTGGGGAAGCACCTCCCATGGCCTTGGCAATGAAAGTGAATGGACTCAAGTATATCATTATGTTCATGGTACACCTACTTCCCATGCCACACTATATGCTACAGGGGAATCCATCTATCTATTTAGAGAATCTGTTACATTCAAGGCCAAAACTCCCTCAAAATATCTGTTTTAAAAAAGTAAATGATTACAAAGTCTCATCTTGTCTGTTTTTGGGTAAATGTGTCTAAAATAGATGCTTATTTTGAAATTTTATTTCATGCTTAATGTATTTTTTTCTAACCTATGGTATTCATTTCTTATGTATTTTAAGGGGCCTTTGGAAATTTATCAAGGAATTTGTAAAATCAGAGGAAACAGAAGATAACGCTCAAGTGGCTGAACAAATGGCCAGTGGAAATTCTTAACTTCCATGTATGTAGCATGGATATTTGCAGATGCATATACATTCATAAAGATACATTTCATTTCATCAGCTTTAATCTCTAGTAAAATTAATGTGGTATATGTATCCTACTCAGGATACTGAAATACACACATGCGTACACATGATTAGTTTCTGTTGCATACATATTTACAACAATACTAGTTCTTAACGTATGTTTTACTTTCATTTAATAATGTTCAACTTTGGAAAATACTTTTGATTATTTGCTAAGAATAAGGAATTCAGCGCTGCTTGAATACAGCTCAAATTTGTTTATTTGCCAACACAAGTTTACATATATGCATTTAATAAAATTTTATAGTGATTTAATAATTCCATTTAATTAAATAATCTTTACTGATTGAAGATGATACAGTGCTCCGGAAACATTACACTAGCATTATGTTTTGTACTGCATCTATCTTGGCTGATTGTGATCCTGATGACAACGTTGTGACTTAGGATTTTTATGTATTCCCACTTTGCCTATGAACTAGTCTAAACATCTAGAGTAAACGCAAGCTTGATTCCTTTGGACAATCCTATATAGGGCGATTTTTTTTTCTTTGAGACAGTCTGGCTCTGTCGCCCAGGCTGGAGTGCAATGGCATGATCTTGGCTCATTGCAACCTCTGCTTCCTCGGTTCAAGCAATTCCCCTGCCTCATTCAGCCCCCGAGTAGCTAGGATCACAGGTGTGTGCCACCACACCCAGCTAATTTTGTATTTTTAGTAGAGACAGGGTTTCACCATGTTGGCCAGGCTGGTCTTGAACTCCTGACCTCAAGTGATCCTCCCACCTTAGCTTCCCAAGCTGCTGGGATTACAGGGGTGTTCCACCACGCCCGGTCTACAGGGTGATTTTGAAGATCAAATGTAACTGGTAAAGTACACATATGAGGGATTCGATCCTAATTTGTAATCGTAGAGTTTGAGGTGAGAGAGATAGAGAAAGAGAAAGAGAGAGAAAGAGAGAGAGAGAGATTGGCTTTCTACAGATCAGGAGGTCATTGTCAGGGAGGTGAGCTTCTCAGATTCTGTTTAAGATCCATTAGTTCTTGCTGAGGAATGACTCGCTCTGCTTTTAGAGGTAAAATTGTGGCAGCTACTGAAAATGTTTCCCATATATAGAAATCAACTGGACTTTGTTAGCGTACATTGAGTTCTCTGTGTTCCAGTTGCTTTCTATTGGTTATTCATGTCCACTGGGTACCATCTGTCTCATACAGGACAGAGAACTGATATATGAAGTGCTGAATTGATTTGCTTCAACTACCTTGTAAACGATGGAGCTGGGATCTGAACCCAGGTTTGGCTGACCCAGTTACTAAACTTTTATCACCAAATCATGCTGCATCATTTACCTATATGACCAGGAGAGACATAGGAAAATGAATGTATGCATTGCCAAGCAGTGGCATAAAGACCACTAGAACTAAAATCAAACAAATAGTGCTGAATTTATTAGCTTGCCAAACAGGAGAGAGCTGTATACTCAAGAGGTTCAGGGAGTCTCCAGTTTGAAAGAAAAGAGCTGGATATAGAGGGAAAGGGGGTGCATTATTCCATATTAACAGGGCTTTAGGCAAAAGGGGTGCATTATTCCATATTAACAGGACTTTGGACAAAAAGGATGTGTTATTCCGTATTAACACGGCTTTAGGCAAAAGGGGTTTATTATTCCATATTAACAGGACTTTGGGCAACAAAGGTGCATTATTCCATATTAACAGGGCTTTAGGCAAAAGGGGTGCATTATTCTATATTAACAGGACTTTAGGCAAAGGGAGTACATTATTCCATATTAACAGGGCTTTGGGCAAAAGGGGTGTGTTATTCCATATTAACGGAGCTTTAGGCATTAAATTTGGAATGGATTTGTGGTGGAGGTCAGGGGGCTGGAAATTACTTTTTTTGGATTGGCTGTTATTCTGGATAAAGTCACAAAAGCAGAGTTTTCCAAGAGATCTGAGGAGGGTTATAGTAAAGCTTTGTCAAGATCGAAGTCCTGTGGCAGGTGTTTTGATATGTGCATTCTGGGAACTCATAAGTTTTTCCTCTAAAAACAGATGCGTAATCCTACCATTTATTCATTTTCTTATATACATTCATTATATTAACATTCAAGTATATTTCAGATTACCAGTAGTGAGATGTATAGAAATTAAGAAGACATGGTTCCAATCTTTAGGAAGCTTAAATTTTGTTGTACAGACATGTGAGAATAACAACAGCAAAAAAGCATGAAGAATGCAGATAGGCAAACTCTTACCTACTACTGGAAGAAGTGTGAATTGATAAGGAAATTTAGCAAAGTAATTTGACAACAAGCTGCGTGGATCACTGAGTATGTGTGTGGGTTCCCAATATAGCCCAGCCCTCCTTGCACTTAAGCAGGACGATGTAGCTTGTTTGGGTCAATATTGGTTCGTTGTGATAATGCATTATAAGAAAGAGGGTGAGCTTATACAGACAGATCAGCTTATTTGTAAAAGGAAATAAAAAATACAGAGTCAGAAATCTGGCTCTCTCAGTGTGAAAAACACTGACTACTTTTAGCCCACAGATTTAAGGGTTGAGATTTTTAAATACCTGTAATCTGATTAAATGTCTGAAAGAGTAGATTACAGGTGGGGCCTTTCCATCAAAGCTCTGCAGCCTAGGGAGGGTATCTTTGACTTAAAAGTGAGAGATGAGGGCCCGATGCAGTGGTTCATGCCTGTAATCCGAGCACTTTGGGAGGCTGAGGCAGGCGGATCACAAGGTCAGGTGTGCGAGACCAGCCTGTCCAACATGGTGAAACCCCCATCTCCACTAAAAATAAAAAATAAATAAATAAATAAAAGAAAAATCAGCTGGGTGTGGTGGCAGGTGCCTGTAATCCCAGCTCCTTGAGAGGCTGAGGCAAGGAGAATTGTTTGAACCTGGGAGGTGGAGGTTGCAGTGAGCCAAGATTGCACCACTGCACTCCAGCCCAGGAGACAGTGCGAGACTCTGTCTCAAACAAATAAACAAAAAAGAGTGAGAGATGAGAAATGGGAATGAGAAAGCAAAGAAAAAGATCTGAGAGCTTCGCTAAGTGAGCTGTGGACACATGGAACTGACAGAGAGCAAAGAGACTGGAAGGCTACTGAGTTTTCGCAGGAGTTCTACTGCCGAGGAAATCAAGGTAAGAAAAGCTCATTACTGTTCAAAACCTAAAGCAATCCTTGGTCCCCGACCTTCCATGAGGATGAGGAGGAAGGAAGTTGAAGAATCTGTATGTCTCCTCGGCGCATTCCCCAAGGCCCATTTCCATTTCAGATGTGTCCCGGGGGAGACAAGCCCAGCCCAGGGACAAGGACAATGAAGAGGGGGCTTCGTCCAGAGCCACATCAGGGCTTAATAACCAAGGAGCACTGACTGCTTCTTGCTGGGGGACCCCGACAGTGTCTTCTTGATAGGGCTTTAGAAATTTTACAGGCCAAGAACTGCTGTGTGGTGGGGGTGGGGTTAGTGGTGGTGGAGATAGAGGTTATGGTGATGGTGCTGGTGTGAGTTTCTGTGTGTGTGTGTGTGTGTGTGTGTGTGTGTCTTATGGTGCTGGTGGAGATTACAGGTAGGGAGAGCAGGAGTTGAAGGTACAGATATCAGGTGGAGGCGAGAAGGAGTTGGTGGTACTGATTGTAAGTGGAGAGGAACAGAAATAAAAGAGATAGAAGCTAGAAGGGGTCTGGGCGTGGCGGCTCACTCCTGTAATCTCAGCACTTTTGGAGGCCGAGGTGGGCAGATGACTTGAGCCCAGGAGTTTGAGACCAGCCTGGCCAACATGGTGAAACCCTGTCTTTACTAAAAATACAAAAATTAGCTGGGCGTGATGGCAGACTCCTGTCATCCCAGCTATTTGGGAGGCTGAGGCAGGAGAATCGTTTGAACCTGAGAGGCAGAGGTTGCAGTGAGCCAAGATTGCACCATTACACCCCAGCCTGGATGACAGAGTGAGACTCTGTCTCCAAAAAAAAAAAAAAAGAAGCAGGAAGGGAAAAGTTGATGGGCGAGATGGTAGTTGTCGGGCGCAGGAGTTGAAGGTGGAGAAGGAGTAGAAGGCAGAAAGAGCAGGACTCACTGCTGGCTAGGGTCTGAAGTTTGAGAGCACCAAATCAAGGGTGCCTTGGAGCTTTGTGTCTGAGCGCTGAATTGGAGCTGACTTTGGGAGGTGCTGATTTTAGGAGATGGTGGAGAGCATGGAGTGGGAGAGAATCATGAGCTTTTAGTTAATTTGTGAAGACGCTTAATGGTGCTTTAAAATGAAATTTTATCTCACCATTTTAATTCAATATCTCTGCTTATTACCAATACTGATTGTCTTAAAATATTGTCTTAAAATATGAAGCCAAGCCCAATTAACTCAAATCACACTTTAAATGTAAATGTACTCTACCAGGGACATAATCCATAACTCACTTAAAAATGACATACTAGTAATGTTAACACTCGCATTTTTGGGTTGATCTCTTTGAAGTTCATAGTTTAAAATAATGTTCTGTCTGTTTATGTGTGCAATGGGACGCAGCATCTAATGCCTTTCATATTCTCATAAAAGGATCAGTTTGTTAAAACTACAGATGAACTTCTCTCAAACTACTGAAAGTGTTTTGGTGTCATAGAAATGCAAATACTATGTTCAATGGATTTAAATTTTTCTTCAAAACTGAGCAACTTAAAATATGTTAGCTATTTTTTCTTTCTTCGATGAATTTTCTGGCACATCGCAGATACAGTACTCAATAACTATTTTTAATGGACTGACCGCCCGTATGTGTCATACCATTTGTTTTATGGGTTTTTCGTTTTAATTCTATGTAGCTTGGCACATTTACATTGTGTAGCATTCAGCAAATACAAATAATTGAATTCTATGTGGAATAAGAGCAATTTAGACAATTGGATTTAAGTTTCTTAAGTAATCATAAATCTGTTTACCTGTGAGTAATATATCAGATGTGAAGTATTAGTTGCTATTTTATTTCTTTAAAACAACAAGAAAGATGAAATTTGTTCTGTTTATGATTTTGAAAGAAAGCTCAATTTTTTTTCTAAGGTGCGTACCTGCTTAGTGGGGCTGTGATGTACTTATGGATATGAGGATTTTCACTTTGCTAGATCAGGCTAGTTGCCCAGCTTAGCTGGCTGGCGTACAACTGATTATATGTGTAATTCTGACCAGCCATCTGGTGAGTGGGTGTCAGCATTCATCAGGAGGAATAGGAGAGCTGTAATATATTCCTAGGTCTCAGAACTTTTAGAACCTCTTGGATGCATCTGGCTGGCCCTTCCCTCAGAAGAATCATGTCCTCATTTTACAGAGAACGTTTTGGCCCAGCCATGGGGGGCTGAAGCCCCAGGGATCAAAGGTGGCCCAGCAAGGTGGACTCAAGTCCTTACTACTACTGAACATAAATCACATGTGTCCCCCGTGAGGGTCACGGATGAAGGGGGTCATGGACAAAGGATGTCAGAGGAGGCCAGTGATGCAAACGAGAGGTCTTTTCACTTGTCCTTCGCTGAAGGGACACCTCCATGGCCCCACCTCTACCCTGCAGCCTCACTCTCCCCTACTGACCTTGATTCTTACTTTGCAGAAAGCGAGCACTGAGGCCATCTGAGAGGAGTGCTCTTCCTTATGTGCCTTCTCTTCCACTCTCAGTAATCCGTCCCCATATTCACAGGGGCCCCCTGCTTTGCACTTTCCAAGTAACATGATCATAATCGCGCAGTGCCATGCTCACCGCTCTAAAGACACTGACAAGGTGCTATTATTATTCCAGTTTCACACACAAGGAAACCGAGGCCCAGGGAGGTGAAGAACTTGCCTCAGGTTGTAGAACTTTGAGAGGCTGAGTCCAGCGCTCTGGTTCCAGGCAGCTCCTCTTAAGGGCATCCTGTGTGGCCTCTGGAGCCTCAAGCCTCCTACCAAGGCAAATCTCTTCCCTAAATTCCTCATCATATTGTCTCCTGTTCAGAATCCTCCACTCGGCAGGTTAATATTTCCCTAGATCATGAGATTCTGCTTTTTCATTCATTCCTTCACATTAGAGTAACGATATCTAAATTTCTCCTATTAAAAATAAGAGGAACAGAACATCTTTACCGTATCTTACCCTCTAGGGACAGATCTTCCTTTCAGAGCTAACCTTCTTTTCTGAGCCTTCGCTTTGGCAGTCTATCAACAGAGAGCCGTGCACTCTAGGCTGAGACTGAGAGGAGACTGCAGGCACAGTGAGGGGGCGAAACAGTGTGGGGTCCCCGGTTGGAGCTCATGCAGCTCGAGAGTCTACTGTGGAAGAGAAGCATGAAAAATGTCGTTAGTATTATTTGCCCCACGAAACACAAGAAATGCCACATTGCTCTGTTTTTAAATCAAATTAAATTTGGTTCTGAGCCCCACTCATATCCATCTGGTGGTAGGATAGCTCAGTTATTACTAGAGTTTCTCTCAGCTCCTCTCATAGATATACAAATCTCGGAGGTGACTTTTTTTTCTAGAAATTGACAAAATAATTTTAAAATTCATTTGGAAAGGCAAAAAAAAAAAAAAACAAACAAGAATCAAGTATATACCCTACCCAACTTCAAAATGTACATGATGTTAATCAATAGAGTGTATTATTGGCAAAATGATAGATCCTCGAAACAGTAGAAAGTCCAGACATAGATTCGCCCACATGTGACTAACCATTTTTTGAAAACAGTGCTAAAGAATTTCATGGGGAAAGAAAAATATTTTCTTCAACAAATGGTCCTATAACTACTACTTATATGTAGGAAAAGAGCCCCACTTCAAGCCCTCCCCTTGTTCTCCCTCCTCCCCTGACCCTTCAGGCCTTCTTTTCTTCCTTTCCTCTCTCCTTACCAGTTTTAATACCTGTTTGTGCAAAGCACGCTCTTGGCTTTCCTCTGGTTATTTTTATTTGTATCTTTTCCTAGTCTTCTCCTTTCTGAAAGAGAGAGAGAGAGAGGAGAGACAGAAACAGAGAGATGAGAAAGAGAGAGAGTGATGAGAGAAAAAGAGAGAGAGAGAGCACCCTTATTTGCACCCTCGAGGCCATGATCAATGGACCATGGTCTCTTCCTTCAAGAAGTCCAGCATCCAGTGAGGAACAGATGCATACGGAAATTAGCAGAGTGGGCGTGGCAAGTGCTCCAGTGGAGTAAGTGCGATAGTGCAGCATCATCTGGAAGGTTCAGCTCTACTGGACGAGACAAGAGAGGCTCCCAGAGAGACTGAAGCTCCTTCTGATGCCTTCTCCACCACCTTCATAGATCCTCAAGAATATTCTCCAGGATTCTCCTCTGTCTCCATATGATTCCTTGCACGAAAACCAATGATTTAAAATCCCCACAGTCAGGGATAGTTTACCTATATTTGTAAATATAGTTATTTACTTTTAAAAGTAAACAATTTTTTTTAGAGGAGTTTTGGGTTCACAGAAAAATTTAGTGGAAAGTACAGGGAATTCCCATATATTCTCTACCCCCAGGTAAGCACAGCCTCCCTATCAATGTCCTCCACCAGAGTGGAGTGTTTGTTACAACTGATTAACCTGCTGACATTGACACATTATCATCAGCCAAACTCCATAGTTTACATTGAGGTTCACTCTTGGTGTTGTATACTCTGTGGGTTTGAACAAATGTATAATGTCATGTATCCTTCATGTTAGCATCAAACGGAAGAGTTTCATTGCCCTAGAAATCCTCTGTGCTGCACCTACTCACCTCTTCCTTTCTGTTAACCACTAGTAACCACTGCTCTTTTCGCTGTTTTACCTCTTCCAGAATGTCATAGTTGGAATCATACAATATGTGGCCTTTTCAGATTGTTTTTTTTTTTTGCTTAATTGCATTCACTTACTTTTCCTCCACTTGTTTTTATAGTATAATAGTTCATTTCTTTTCTATCGCTGAATAATATTCCATTGTCTGAATTTGCCACAGTTAATTTATCCATCCATCCACGTATTGAAGGACATTTTGGTTGCTTCCAAGGTTTGACAATAATGAATAAAGTTGATGTAAACATTTTATGCAGGTTTTTGTGTGAACACAAGCTTTTAATTCCTTTGGGTAAGTGCCAAGAACTATGATTGCCGGATCATATGGTAAGAGTGTGTTTGTAAGAAATTGCCAGTCTTACAAAGTGGGTGTGCCATTTCTCATTACCATTAGCAATGAATGAGTGTTCCTGTTGCCTCACTTCCTCATCAGCATTTGATGTTGTCTTTTTTTTTTCTTTTTTTACATTTTGGCCATTCTAATAGGTGTGCAGTAGTATTTCATTGTTCTTTTAATTTTAATTTGCAATCCCCTAAGAACATGTAATGTTGAGCATCATTTCATATGCTTATTTGCCATCTGTGTCTTCTTCGGTGAAACTTCTGTTCAGATAAATGACCATTTTAAAATTGGGTTGTTCATTCCTTATTGTTGAATTTTAAGAGTTCTTTGTATATTTTGGGTTACAGTCCTTTATCAGATATATCTTTTGCAAATATTTTCTCTCCATCTGTGGCTTAGCTCCTCATCCTCTCAATAATTATTCACTTGTAACATAAAATTAAGCCATTTGAAAAATCTTTGAAAATGGATTAAGCAACTAACACAGTTTCCACCTAGTCCCACACTGCTCTAGTTTAGAAACAAGGAAGTTGAGTTTTCCTGGATGGAGAAAGATAAAACTTCAGAATATATACATTATTTTCTGAGAGTGTGTGTTTTAACACTATAAAAGTAACACCAACTCCTCTGAGAAATTTTGGAAAACACTCGACGATTTAAAAAAGTAGAAAAATGTTCATAATTATGTCTACCCAGAAGCTGTCTGTATTCATATTTTGGCATGTTTACTTATTCCTGCCAGTCTTTTCCTTTCTAGTACATTAATTCAGTATTTTAGAAAAAATAAATATCTGGCCTTATTATCTGGCCATATTGAACAGTAGTTTAATATGTTCCCATGTCAACTTTTCTCAATAATAAGCAATTGCTTAGCACCACTTCTTGGATGCTCCTTTCATCAGAATGAAAACATAGCTACTTGTAACATTATGTACTTATTTATTATTATATTTTAGAATATATGCATACGTTATATATATGTATAGTACATATATATGTGTGTTTATAGAAAAAAGTGTTTGATCAGATCACATTTTAAACTTCTCTTCCAATTCTATACATTTGTGGATTCTAAATCAAAGCCCTAATTTTACAGATTGAGAACAGAAAAGCAATTAGATTAAAGGATTTGTCCAAGGCTCCATAGCAAGTCAAGGGAATAATTAGAAATGAAATTGAGATGATCTAACATCTCAGACCATTTGTTTAGCAGATTTCCTATCTCTAAGAAGTAGCATCCAATATTAACTCATCTTCCTTCCTTCCTTCCTTCCTTCCTCTTTCCCTCCCTCCCTTCCTCCCTTCCTTCTCTCCTCCTTCTCCATCTCCTTCTCGAGACAGGGTCTCACTCCATTGCCCAGGCTAGAATGCAATGACACCTTCATAGCTTACTGCAGCCTCAAACTCTTCTGCTCAAGTGATTGTCCCACCTCAGTAAGTCCTTCTCTTTCAGAGCATCTACTGGGATGTGTGCATAGATAGACACAGGGAAACCTTGACCTGAATACTGTAGGTCCCTCTCCTGTCACTGCGCTGTGGGAAACAGAATAAGAACAAAAGACATGAGCAGTTGGAGTTTAGTAAATGTTCATACCATCACACTGGTCTTTAAGTAGATGAAAAAAGAAAAAATGTTCAAGGATAAAGCATTACTAGCAGAATAGAAGCATAATTACATGAAAAGGTTTTAGTTGATGTTTAAAATTGCATAGAATCTAAAAATATTCCTGAGAATTTAATATTTCATCTCAAAGGATAATTTATTAAGTCAAACATACCCAATATGTATTTCTTTCAGAGAACTGGGAACACAATATATAAAAATATTCTCATTCGAAATGGTAATAAAAAACATAAAATCATCAGAAGGAGTGAAATAACGATAACTTTAATCAAACGCCGTGATCTTTTTTGTGAAATATTTTTATAAACCCAATTTGAACTTAGAGTTAGTGAGAAGAAGTTAAACTTACTTTCAAATATTACTTTATGTTTCGTATCCTAAATAAATACGATCTTAACTTGGATTTGGTCCCATTATCTAGTTGGCTCTTGGGTCCACTAACAAATGTACAACTAAATTCTAAGGAAGAGAAATTATTTTTTGAGAGTAAGCTGTAAGACCTCACAGTCTCCATTTATTACTGTTGTGGAGACCTGACCCTAATACATTATCATCAAAGTTTGCTCAGCTGTGGCTCTCAGTCCAGCCTTTTCATTGTTGTGTTTAAATAAAATATGTTTTATATTCAAATGTGTATAAATCTCTTCCATCTGATTCATTCAAAGTATATATTATTCAAAGATGTGTTCATGGGTGCAACCTCAAAAACCATTTGATTTGGTCTATGGACATGCCATTTAACCTGGATTTTCTTCTTGCAAAGTTTAACAGGAGAACTTTAGTTCCAAGGTCTTTTCCAGATTGCGCTGCTAGTGTGTGTTGTAGATTAGTGCTTGCATCTTTCTTACTAGGAATAGTGAGAGGCAGGCCGCCCTGAATAGCTTTCCCATGTTCTGATGATGCAGGACTGTGTGCTCCTAGGAAGAACCATCCGGCGGAAAAGCACTACCCGCAGACAGAGGGAATGACAACCCTTGCTGTTAGAGAAACCCTCGTAGATCTGCTCTCCAAGGCCCACCACCAAACAAACACACTGCCTGATGCCTTCCTGTTGCTAAGCAGCAGCTCCTCCCTGATCTCAGGGTCTGTCCCTTATTTGCAAACGACTCCAAACACACATTAGTCAGGCTTCTAAGCCCATTTACGTTGATGTGAATTCCACATCTCCCTTGTCCCACTGATTGTACTCTATCCTTTCCTTCCTTCTCCCCAAGGTCTTTTGCCTTAAGTTAGTAAGTTACAGGCATGCCCAAGTTTTCATCTTACAAACATAGAGGAAGGAAAACCACAAGCTTCCCTGGCTTTATCCTTCTAGAGTACTGGCTGCCTACCCAGCATGCGTTACTCACTTCTGCCTGCCTAAAGGAATCTGTGTTGTTAACTTATTTTATATTTATTTATTTTAGCAAATACCCACCTCTCCTGTGTCATAGGCTCATAACATAGCGGACCTGACCTTCCCTCTAGCTTTAAGAGTAGAGCCCACATTAGCCCTGTTCAGTGGTTCTCTATTTTATCTGCACATTAGACTGACATGGGGGAAACTTCTGAAAAAATATGGATGCCTGGGCCTCAACTCAGACCAATTAAATCAAGAGTTTGGTGGAGCCTGGATACTAGCAATTTTTTTTGAGACAAAGTCTCACTCTGTTGCCCAGGCTGGAGTGCAGTGGCACAATCTTGGCTCACTGCAACCTCTGCCTCCCGGGTTCAAGCAATTCTCCTGCCTCGGCCTCCCAAGCAGCTGCGACCAAAGGTGTACCCCACCATGTCTGGCTCATTTTTTTATATTTTTTAATGGAGATGGGGTTTCACCATGTTGGCCAGGCTGGTCTCAAACTCCTGACCTCGGGTGATCTGCCTGCCTCGGCATCCCAAAGTGCTGGGATTACAGGTGTGAGCCACCATGGCTGGCCAAGTTTCCCTAGTTATTCTAATGTACTAAGCTGGCTGTGTTGACCTCATCCTTCCCAGCATTTGGTCAGGATCGCAGGTTTAAGCTGGGCGTGGGTATTCCCCTTCACCTCTTATTGGTCTAGGAATGAGAATAGGAACTAAATTGGCCAAATCAGACAAAGAGAAGGCTTTCACTGCACAGCTGGGAGTGGGGTGCTCTAGAATGACAGGGAGTCCTCCAGATGACAGGGAGGCAGGCTGCCCTAGTGGCTGCTCACCGCTATCAGGCAACTGATATGAGGAAGGATGTCTAGAAGCTGATGTAGACATGCCCAACTGGGCATAAGTAGGGCACTAGCCCATAGACTGAGTCAAGACCCTCGTCATGTTCTCCCCAAGCCACCTACCTCTGGTCCTTTACCATACGAGATGTTTTCTCATCCCTTAAGCTCTGTTGAGTTGGGGCATTCACTGCCTGGAGCCTAAAGCATCCCGAAGCACCTTCTTCCCCTCACTGCTTCCTTCTCACTAGCAAGCTTCCCCTAAGGAGTGTTTTGTGTCATTGTCGTTCCCCTTCCTCACTTCTAACCATGGGTGCTGTCATCGGCCTTGTCTGTAGCACTGGACTGACCCACTCTTGGTAAAACTGTTCACCATTTCCTTCTAGTTCCCCTGTGCATCCTGTCTCAATCTTTTTCTCACAGCACCCAGCATCCTGGCCGTACAGACAACCACAGGTTCTGTCATTGACCTGACGGGAAGGTTTTTCAGCCTACAAACACCCTTCCCTTTTCCCTTGTTTCTTCCTACATTAAATAAGCTTTGTCTTTAAGAGTCAGCTCAGATGTCCACATCCTCTGGGAAACTCCTTTATCCTCCCAGAGCAGCCATGGAGCTCCTCCTGTGTATGCAGCATCACAGATGGCATATATATTTGTGATTTATATCATATATATATATGTGTGTGTCTATATATATATAATTTCTGTGTCACTGACTCCTGGATGGACAGGAGGGGAACCACTTGAGGAAGAGGCCAGAGTAGTCATATCTGTACCTTCAGCATCGTCACTATGTTTGATGCATTGGTGACTGTTATGGTTTGAATTGTGTCCCTTCAAAAGATGAAGTCTTAACTTCCAGTACCTTAGAAAATGACCTCTCTCTTGACATAGGGTCTTTGCAGATGATAGGTTAAAATGGACTCGTTAGGGTGACCCTAATCCAATATGACTGGTGTCCTCATAAAAAAGGACACAGATGCCATGTGATGATGGACGTGACACTGCCATGCTACAGCTACCTGAAGCTAGGAGCCTGATCCCTTCCCAGCATCCTCAGCAGGAGTGCAGCCCTGCCTGCACCTTAATTTTGGACTCCTGGCCTCCAGAACTGTAAGGGCATAAACTTGTAAGTCACTCAGTCTGTGTTACGTTGTTATGGTGAGGAATCCATGTGTCTGTGCTGGATGACTGAGTGGAGGAAAGAAAGGGGATATCAAGTCTTAACCACAGGAATGCCACTCTAACCCCAGCTCCAATTACACCCACAGGGTGGGGCAGGCACATTGAGGGCAGGGGTGTTGTATTAGTTAGGGTTCTGTAGAGAACAAGAGCCAATATGAAATGATTCCATATATGTCTCTAGAGGCATCTGTATCTATATCTATTTACAAAGAGATTTATTACAAGGAATTGGATCACATAATAATGGACACTGAGAAGTCCCATGATCTGTCACATGTAAGCTTGAGACCCAGGAAAGCCAGGGTGTAGTTCAAAGGCCTGGGAGCCAGAGAGCCCATGGTGTAGATTCTAGGCAGAGTCTGAGGCCTGAGATCCAGGAGCACTGAGCACCGGAGAAAACAGATGTCTCAGCTCAAGTTCCCAGGCAGAGAGGAGTCACCCTGTCAGTGCTATTTTGTCCTTTTCAGGCCGGTGGTGCGTTGCTGAAGGCCCACCCATGCTTGGAGGCCATCTGCTTTCCTCAGTTCACCAACTCAATGTCAGTCTCTCTTGGAGAAACACCCTCCCAGACACACCCGGAAAGATTAAGCCAGGGATCTAGCTGGGCGTACTGCTGCCCACCTAAGTGGACACACACAATTAACCATTACTGGCATGCTCTGAGATTCCCATCTAGCCCATCCTTCCTCAAAAATAAATGTTGGATGTGACTTTTTACACATGACTTCAGATACTTCATTTTTACTTAAGAAAACTATCTCTGAATCCAGCCATTAAGGATAGGGATTCATTCTGAGAAAAGTGTCATTAGGTGATTTCCTGGGTGTGTGAACATCATGGCATGTACTTATACACACCTAGGTGGTAAAGCCTGCCACACAGCTAGGCTGGATGGTATAGCCTGTTGCTCCTAGGCTACAAACCTGTGCATTATGTGACTGTACTGAATACTGTAGGCAATTGTAATGCAATGATAAGTATTTGTGTATCTAAACATATCTCAACATAGAAAAGGTAAAGTAGAAATAGAGCATTATAACCTTATGGGACCATCGTTGAATATGTGGTCTGTCATTGACCAAGGTGTCATTATGTAGTGCATGACTGTATATATTTTATTTGGATTTCTTATTGGCTTCTCTTTTACCAAATCCTAGACTTTTCTGAAATGCTTGCACCCTTATAAGCAATTGCATATTTAAAATCTATTTGAAGGTAATTATTTGCTTCACTGTCTTTTCCATTTCAAATCCTCTTGGGTCATTGAAGGTAATTCAGGTTTACCCTCTGCTCCTGACAATGCTTTGCTACACATTTTCCTGTGCTTTCAACACATACTGAACTTAGAATTTTTGGCAGAAATGATAAAATTGTGGTAAAAGTTTCTTTTAGTAGCAAAGTAAAACTGATCTCTTATTGATTTCTTCCAATATCAAGGATTTTGCACACATATAAAATTGGTTTATACTCTAGTAAAATGGACGAACATTTATCATCTAATTGCTTCAGAAATGTAAATATTAGCTATTCTTTCTTAGAACACCACTATTCACATTTCTAATAAGCCTGTTTGACCACTGTATTTCCTTTATTGATGTGCGAGGCTATAAATGACTTTTTTAAAAAATTTATTTTTATTTTATTTTTTTTAAATTTTATTATTATTATACTTTAAGTTTTAGGGTACATGTGCACAACGTGCAGGTTTGTTACATATGTATACATGTGCCATGTTGGTGTGCTGCACCCATTAACTCGTCATTTAGCATTAGGTATATCTCCTAATGCTATCCCTCCCCCCTCCCCCCACCCCACAACAGTCCCCGGTGTGTCTTGTCCTCATTTAACTCACTCACTTTCAAGTGTCCTTGGCGTGTGAATCACATGACTTTTGAGCTAAGGTGCCTCTCACTGGCAGAATATCCAGAGTACAAGGAAGAACCCCAGGTGTTTGATGGAAACTTCCCATCAGTGAAGCAAAAGCGGATACATGTGACCTTCCGGCCCCAGCTGTGTGCCTGGCTGGACTCTGGGTCTCGGGAGAAAACTGAGCCGCGTGAGACTTTGCCTCTGTTCTGGTGCCTCAATGCTTCAAGTCTCCCTATTTCAACACTGGAAACGATGGTAAAGACAACTCAAGATAACGAATTGAAGATCAAGTCTGATGAGACTGTTCTTCTGAAGACACCAATAACTGCAGTGATCCCCTGGGGCACCTCAAGAGACTATGTAAGACATCCCCAAATGACCATGTCATGCAGAGCAGAAGTCAAGACAATTATCCAACCAATGCCTGTCTTCCACTGGCTGGGGAGGTAAGGAAGTGCTCCTGGGGGTGCAACATCACTCCCATCCCCCTGCATGAGCCTGCAAGCCTCTGTGGCTGGGAAAGCTCTCAGGCAGAGAGGCACAGGACAGGGGGAGAGTGTGGAAACTGCCCGCCAAGATGCAGATGGCATCCAGGGTTAGGGGAGGGACCTGGGTAGGTGCTGGCCATATCTGCACCTACAGTGAAGAAGGAGAGCCCATGAGAAGCAGGAAAGGAAGGGATGGACATGCCATGTGGCCTCTGAGTGGTGGAAGTTGGTTCCTGACCCCACCAGGCTGAGTTCACATGGCCCCTGCCTTGGATGTCTGAGTTCTGGCCAGCAGAGCCTTCCTTTGTTTGCTTAGGCCAGTTCAGATGGATTTCCGTTCCTCACACCCAAGAATCTGATCAGAAAGAACATTGTTAATATTTCATGCACTCAAGCATTTATTCATAAAACTTGACTGAGTGCTGACTGTGTGCAGGCCAGTGCTGGGGAAACAAACATTGATAAAATACAGGAATTGTCCGGAGTTGCCTACACTGTGTAGAGCTGTTTTAACTCAAGACTGTAATTATTCCTACAAAAAAGAATGAGATTTTAAAATATGAAGAAATTATTTGACATATGTTTGAAATTCAGATTTATATATTAGCTTCCTTGAAAAGGAGCACACCTAGAGCAGAGTGTATTTATTGCTCAACAGAGAGCACAGTGACGCTGACTCCTGCCTGGTTCAGCTTGGCCTCTGGCCGCAGACTCTGCGCTGCCTTCTGTCACCCTATATGGAGGGTTCTCAGAAGCATGTTTTTTCCTGCCTGTTATCAAGCTTGACTTTCTGCATCTGTGTGGATCGGTCCTGAAACTAACCAAGAGGAATATTCTGATTTTGGTATTTGTATCCCTTCTTCCACCACACCCTCAGAAATTCTTAAATTTCACCAAGAAAAGTAATATTTCTTTTGGACATATGTTCACCTCTCTCTAGAAACATTGTTCTAAATATCTAACCTACAGCATGTTTGCTGCCGTTTAAATAAGTTTTAATTTTTTATTAATTTTTAGTTTTTTTATTTGAGATGGATCTCACCCTATCCCCCAGGCTGGAGTGCAGTGGCACAATCATGGCTCACTGCAGCCTCGACCTCCCAGGCTCAAGTTTTCCTCCTACCTCAGCCTCCTGAGTAGGTGGGACTACAGGGTACACCACCATGCCCAACTAATTTTTTCATTTTTGTAGAGACAGAGTCTTGCTATGTTGCCCAGGATGAGTTTCTATTTTTAATTGTCTTTCTGGATGAGGATCCCTGAGAAGTAGCAATTCTGAAAGGATTCGCATCCCAGAGTCCCTCCCATCTTTACACATTTCACTGAAACTGAAGCCCAGAATTGGAATCCAAATGATATCTGCTTGACTAAGGATGCAGTAATACAAATCCCACACTTCTTTCTGGGTGGATTGCTTCAGTGAGAGGCGCATTGTTGGTTGGGCTTTAGAGAATTCTGTTGCAGACTCAGGCTGGGTGCCACAGCTGCTCTCCAGCCTGCCCAGCCACAGTCAGGTGTTTGCCTTATTGACTTATTGTATGTTCCCAGGTCTCTCTACTATGAGAAAATGTTAATACTTTGCAAACTATATGAAATATGTTAATTAAACTTTTAGTGAATATATTTTCCCGTATGCATAGGTAATGTCATGGAGCACAGACCTACAGATCATTTACCTCTGCAGGATTCGAGAATGAGCAACCATGCCAGCAAAATGCCTTATGGCTATGGTCAGAAGTAGCCTGGTTGCTAACTCTCTCTGCCCACCACCTCTGCTCATCTTCTGTGATAGGAATTCATCAAGACAGCTATGATGGATACTAATGTTACCTTCCCCTGCTAAACACAGCTCCATTTGCTTTATCTTCAGAGAAGCTTCAGAACTTCACTGCCATTCAAGGCACTACTGCAGGCTGAGCCATCAGTGTATTTTGCCTGGAGTACAGGCCACCTCCTTCAGTCCCCTGCTTCTTTCCTTTGTTCCCCCAAGTTCAACACCCTGTGTGTCTTCCTAGAACTTGAGGCCACCCCATGACACCCACTGCCTCAGAGACCAGCTATATTAGTCCATTTTCATGCTGCTATGAAGAACTGCCCGAGACTGAGTAATTTATAAAGGAAAGAGGTTTAATTGGCTCACAGTTCTGTAGGGCTGGGAAGGCCTCAGGAAACTTACAGTCATGGCAGAAGGGGAAGCAAATGTGTACTTCTTCACATGGCGGCAGGAGAGAGAAGTGTGTAGAGCAAAGAGGGGAAAAGCCCCTATAAAACCATCAGATCTCGTGAGAAATCACTCACTATCATGAGAACAGCATGGGGGAACTGACCCCACGATCTAATCACTTCCCATGAGGACCTTCCCCCAACACGTGGGGATTACAATTCCAATTACAATTCAAGATAAGATTTTGATGGGAATACAGAGCCAGATGATATCACCATCCAAATTTCTTACAGTGCCTCCAGGCTCCCCAGGGCTCCTACACTGAAGGCTCTGTGGCCCTTCCTCCTGCCACTGTCCCCTCATTGATTTCACTCCAAGGAAAGTGGCCTTTCTAAGGTGCCCAGACATTCTGCCACACTTGGGCCTCAGGACACTGCCCTGCCCCTCCCTAGAATCTGCAGGCCCTCTCTTGAGGACTGAGCTGAGCGTTTGCTCAGAGGTGCCTTCCATGACTACCTTATTCAAAATCACAACCGCACCTCTGCTATCCAACATGCCTGCTTAATTCTTCCCCAAAACATATCTATTATGTAATAATCTATATATTTTACTTATTTATTTAGTTTTTTGCCTGTTTCCCCTTGCTTGAATGTCAGCTCCAAGAGTTCCAGGATTTAACTCTGTTTTGTCCACTCTGTCCACCATGCCTGAAACAGTGAAGGGCACCGTGAACTTGGGAACACCTATTCTGATGCTCTAAGTGCCTCATGTAAGTTAATCTGCTTAATCCTCATACCTCCCATAAGAGTAGGTACCATTGTCATTCTCATCTTACAGAAAGAACACTAGAGCAAGCACTGTGACGCCAACAACATGGCTGAATTCATAGTGTTCATGAGTGTGAGATGGGTCTGGCTCCAGAGTCTGTGTTCTTCAACATTGCATGACGACGAGAGCCAGGAGATACACTGTTGGCACAACCACTATGGAGAACAGCGTGGAGGTTTCTCAAAAAACTGAAAATAGAACTACCATATGATCCAGCAATTCCACTCCTAGGTATATATCCCAATGAAACAAAATCAGTGTCTTCAAGAGGTATCTATATCTATCAAGTATCTATCAAGAGATAAATGAATAAAGAAAATGTGGTCTATATAAATGATGGAATACCATTCAGCCTTGGAAAATAATGAAATCCAGTTATTTGTGATAACACAGATGAACATGAAAGACATTATGTTGGATAAAATAAGTCCAACACAGAAACACAAATGTCACATGATCTCACTTACATATGGAATCTAAGAAAGTCAAACTCATAGATGCACAAAGTAAAATATGGTTGCCAGAGGACAGGGTGGGAGATGGGGAGGTGTTAATAAAAGGGTACAAAGTTTTAGGTAGACAGGAGGACTATGTTCTGGAGGTCTTATTTTTCAGCATGGTGTCCATTGTTAATAATGTATACTTAAAAATTGCCAAGAAGGCAGATCTTAAGTGTTCTTACCACAAAAAAAGATAAATATATGAGGCGATGGATATATTCAAGCTTAATTTAGTCAATTTACAATGTATGCACATATATCAAGACATCACATTGTACACCAAATTCAGTTATGCATTGCTTAGCAATAGGGATACATTCTAAAAAATGCATTGGTAGGCAATTTTGTCATTGTGCAATCATCATAGATTGTACTGACACAAACCTAAATGTCATAGCCTACTACACACCTAGGCTCTATGGTATAGCCTATTGCTGTTAGGCTACACACCTGTATAGCATGTTACTGCACTGAATACTGTAGGCAGTTGTAACACAAAGTATTTGTGTACGTAGACATATCCAAACACAGAACAGTTAATATGTTGCACTGAAATCTTAGTACAGTACTGGAGGCTAGAAAGTTTTCAGTTCTATTATAATCTTATGGTCTGTCTTTGAAGCATCCTTATGTGATGCGTGACTGTGAATACAATTTTAATTTGTCTGTTATATACTTTAATAAAGCTGGGGTAAAAGAACTAGTAGGTGTACTTCATTCTTCCTATGATAAGAGCCACTAGCTTCAACACTAAGGCCTTGGCCTCAGCTCAGTTCATTGGTGCAGGTTTCTTTTCCATGTTGGTGGACATGAGCCAGTGGTGGGTTTGCTCTAGACAGACATGTTCACAGATATTTAAAATAAGACAATTATGTATTTTTTTTACACATTTCTTAGCTTCTTTTGATATGGTGGTCTGTGTCCCTGCCCAAATTGCATATCAAATTGTAATCCCAATGTTGGAGGTGATGGTTGGTGGGAGATGATTGGCTAATGGGGGCAGATTTCCCCTTTGGTGCTGTTCTTGTGATAGTGGGTAAGTTATCCTGAGATCTGTTTTTTGAAAAGTGTGTAGCACCTCCCCCTCTCTCTCTTCCTCCTGCTCTGGCAATGTAAGACGTACCTGATTCCCCTTTGTCTTCGGCCATGATTGCATAATAAGTTTTCTTAGGCCTTCCCAGCATGTTTCCTGTAGAGCCTGCAGAACCATCAGCCAATTAAACCTCTTTTTTACAAAACCATCAGCCAATTAAACCTCTTTTTTTTAAGTAAATTACCCATTCTCGGGTTATTTATTTATAGCAATGCAAGAATGGACTATTATAGAAAATTGGTACCAGGAGAGGGGTATTGCTGTAAAGATACCTGAAAATGTGGAAGTAACTGTGGAACAGGGTAATGGGCAGAGGTAGGAAGAGTGTGGAGGGCTCAGAAGGAGATAGGAAGATAAGAAGATGAGGGAAAGTTTGGAACTTTCTAGAGACTTGTTAAATTGTTGTGACCAAAATGCTAATAGTAATTTAGACAATGAAGTCCAAACTGAGGTGGTCTCAAATGGGGATGAGGAACTTATTGGGAACTGGAACAAAAGTAACTTTTGTTATACAATAGCAGAGAAGTTGGAGGCATTGTGTCCCTGCCCAAGGGCTCTGTAGAACTTTGAAGTTGAGGGTGATGATTTAGGGTATCTGGTGGAAGAAATGTCTAAGCAGCAAAGTGTTCAAGATGGGGCCTGGCTGCTTCTAGCAGCCTATGCTCATATTTGTGAGCAAAGAAATGACATAAAACTAAAACTTATATTCAAATGGGGAGCAGAGTGTAAAAGTTTGGAAAATTTGTAGCCTGGCCATGTGGTAGAAAAGGAAAACCCACTTTCAGGGGAGGACTTCAAGTAGGCTACAGAAATCTGCATAACTAGAAGGAAGGCAGGTACTAATAGCCAAGACAATGGGAAAAAGGCCCTGAAGGCATTTCAGAGACCTTCATGGAAGCCCCTCCAATGAAAGGTCTGGAGGCCTAGGAGGGAAGAATGGTTTCATGAGCAAGACCCAGGGCCCCACTCCCCTGTGCAGCCTTGGGGCACTGCTCCCTGCATCTCAGCCACTCCAGCTCCAGCCATAGCTCAAAGAAGCCCAGGTACTAGGGTTGCTCAAAGGATGCAAGCTGTAAGCCTTGGTAGCTTCCACATGGTGTGAAGCCTGTGGGTACACAGAGTGTGAGAGTTGAGGCTTGGAATTCTCTGCCTAGATTTTAGAGGACATATGGAAAAGCCTAGATGTCCAGGCAGAAGCCTGCTGCAGAGGCAGAGCCCTTATAAAGAGCCTCTACTAGGACAGTGCGGAGGGGAAATATGAGGTTGGAACCTCCACACAGAGTACCCACTGGGGCACTGCCTAATGGAGCTGTGAGAGGAGGGCCACCTTCCTCCAGACCCCAGAATAGTAGATACACTGACAGCTTGCACCCTGTGCCTGAAAAAGCCACAGACACTAAATGCCAGCCCTTGAGAGCAGCTGTGGGGGCTGAGCCCTGCAAAATCACAGGGGTGGGGCTGCCCAAGGCATTGGGAGCCCACCCCTTGCATCAGAGTGGTCTGAATGTGAGACATGGAATCATGGGAGACTATTTTGGAGCTTTAAGATTTAATGACAGTCCTGCTGGGTTTCAGTCTTGCATGGTGCCTGTAGCCCCTTTCTTTTGGCTGATTTATCCATTTTGGAAAGGGAGTATTTACCCAATACCTATATACCTATATCCCTATTGTGTCTTGGAAGTAACTAACTTGTTTTTGACTTTATAGGCTCATAGATGGAAGAGATTGCCTTGTCTCAGATAAGACGTTGGGCTTTGGACTTTTCAGTTAATGCTGGAATAAGTTAAGACTTTGGGGGACTGTTGGGAAGGCATGATGGTATTTTGCAATGTTAGAAAAACATGAGATTTGGGAGGGATCAGGGGTGGAACAAAAATGGTTTAGGTTTGTGTTGCCACCCAAATTTCATGTTAAATTGTAATCCCTAATGTTGGAGGTGGTGCCTGATGGGAGGTGATGGGATCGTGTAGGGAGATTTCCCCTTTGATGCTGTTTGCATGATAGTGAGTGAGTTACCATGAGATCTGGTTGTCTGAAAGTGTGGAGCACCTCCCCAGCTCTGTCTTCCTTGTGCTCCAGCCATGTAAGACTTGTCTGCTTCCCCTTTGCCTTCTGCTATGATTGAAAGTTTCCTGAGGCCCCAGAAGCCATCTTGCTTCCTGTGTAGCCTGCAGAACCATGAGCCAATTAAATCTCTTTTCTTTATAAATTACCCAGTCTCAGGTATTTCTTTATAGCAGCGTGAGAATGGACTAATACATTCTCCTTCTCAACAGAGCAAGAGGTCTCATCATATGACTTCTTCACCTCATTTTCTCCTCCTAAATCTTTATTGTGAAAACCTTGACTGCTGTTGTGCCATCTGCTTTATGTTCCATCTCTACACTCAATCCTCGGGTTTCCCTTTTCTAATTATCTGCAGGAAAAGACAATGGAATTCCATACATATTGGAGTTGAAATTCTTGTCAACTCCAGTGAAATTCTTGTCACTGTTGTGAAGATATTCATAAATACATTTTTGCATACTAGAATTTTGCCTAACAGCAAATATGTGGTTGTAGATTATTTATTTATTTATAAATCTAATTATTTATGATAACACTTTTTAAGTTGAATATAAAAATTGAAGTGTAAAATAACCATAAATTCTGAACACAGTTAATAATCATTAGAAAAGATCAAAGAGATACAGTAGTCACATATTAACAGATTTCTAAATTTGGATTATTCAATTTAATCTGTTGATTGTTTTTCTCCAACAAATTCCTTATATCTCTGCTCTATTCTCCCATTTTCATTCTGCTATGTGACCTTCCTCCTCTCATCCGCTTTCTCTTGCTTTATTTTCTTTCCCTTGAGTATTTATCATCTCCCAACACACTATATAATTTACCTGCTTATTTTCTACCTTCTTTCTGCTAGAATGTAAGCTTCTTGAGAACATGCTTTGTTTGTTTGTTTGTTTGTTTTACTTGCTGATGTATTTCAAATGCCTTGGTGTGTACCTGGCATGTGACAATGTGGTATTTAATAAATATTTGATAAAGGAATGAATTAGTTGTCAAAGTATGGGTGTTCATTATTTATAATAACACTCTTTAAGTTGAAATAATCTTGTAACCTTGATCAAACCAAATTAAAAAAAATTCTGTAACTTATCAACAATTAGTCCTCTAGTGCATGGACTTAAGAGGGTGCCAAAATGCAGACGCTTCAGATAAAATTTTCTGAAATGGTTAGTTAGGTTTTTATTTTCTAGTATAGCTTAATTACAAACTCTTCATGCAAAACCCCATAATTGAACAAAATATATTGAAATGTGCAACTTATTTTTTCCTAGTAAAAAGGTAAACCTCAGCAAATTTGATTGATTAAAAAAACTAGAATATTTTCTAATTAAACAACATGTTGCAGAACTTTCTTAGATGACTTCAGTAATCTAAGTGAAAATGAACATACATTGAATATGATTAAATACTATGAAAAGATTGACTAAGGAAGGAAAAATATTGGGATGAAATAAAAGTCAATCAATATAAGACAAGAACAATTTCAATTAAACTCCAGACACATTTACTGATGTCTACTATGTGTAAAGCACTGTATTAGTGCCTGTGGAGAATACACATGTGGAGAACGTGAGGCAGAATGAAATAGTCTGTTGTTTAGGTGTCATGAATCTTAAAAGTTGAAATGGCATACACATTTTATGTGAAAGGGCCAAGAGAGAAAAACGCTCAATGTTCAATGCATGATGAAATTTATAGATATTTGGGAGACAATCTGAGAGCAAGAACAACAATGATAAATAATTGAAATAAGGATGATATGGCAAAAAAGACATCATATTCTACTATGCATAGTTTCTGATAAGAAATCTTTCGTAATTCTTGTTGTTCTTCTGTAGGTCATGAGTCCTTTTTTCTGGTAGCCTTTAAGATTTATTTCTGATTTTCAGCAGTTTGAAGATGATATGTTAAAGCTTGAATGTGTGTCCTCTAATTTTTGATTAAATGCTGAACATCATTTGTAGACCACTAAAGACTGAGGTAAATGGTATTGATGCTTGTAAATGGTCCATCCTTTTCATCTAAAAGGCTTTTAGTATGGGCCCTGGAGTCAATGTAGCCAGTGGCTAAGCTGGATTTACATTTTGTTATGGTTCTGGTTACATTCACTGCACCACTGGCTTCAAATTCCTCTACGTTACCTTGTGTTTATGGTGGTGGTTGGTATGCTGAAGGGCTTTTCTCAGTGTTTCTTCCCCATCATCAGCTTTCAGTCTTTCCTTTATACTTATGTCTTATATGTGTCAGGGGAAGGGTGTTACTAGTTTCCCATGGCTACTGTAAAAAATTACCACAAAGTGGTAGCTTACAACAACAGAAATTTATTCTCTCCCAGTTCTGGAGACTAGATGTTTGAAATCAAGGTGTCAGCACAGCCATGTTTCTTCCATATCTCCAAGGAAGAACCCTCCGTGCCTCCTCTAGCTTCTTATAGCCCCAGGCATTCCTTGGCCTGTGGCAGCATTGTCCCAGTCTCTGTCTCCACCTTCACGTGGCTGTCTTCTATGTCTCTGTGTCCTCACAAGATGTGCTTCACTCTGTGTCTGCATCCAAATTTTTCCCATCTTAGACAGACACCAGTCATTGGATTAGAGCCCATTTGAATGCAGTAACCTCAACTTGATCACATCTCCAAAGATCCTATTTCTGAGTGAGGTCACATTCAAATGTACTGGCGTTAGGGCTTAAATATATCTTTTTGGAATAGATAAATATCTCTCTCCATTCTCTTGTCCCTGTTTCAGGGATAGACTGTGTCATTTGTTTCTCAGTGCTTGCTAGCCTGGTGATAGAGATAGGAGAGGGGCATCCCCTTATTGTCCTGGATTAGCCTCAGCCTTAGGCATGCCTTATGTTTTGGAGGTCTTTCTCAGTGACTGTGGAAGGTCTTGTATGAAAGGAATTTTCTTTTTCTCCTCCAATGATAGAAGACATCCATTGTATTGGCTTAGGGTATTGGACCCAGGAGTTTTTTCTTCACTTTTCCCATGATAGAGGACTTTTTTCTTTTACACTTTCCCCAGCTGCAATGGATCATCATAAATATATTGGATGTGACTCGTTTTTCTCCTCCGCTAATGGCATAAAGCCTTTTTTTCATAGGAAAGAAAAGTCCAGGAGCTACTTTGTGCCTTTTTGCAAGAGTAAACCAACCCCTCCTCAAGGCTGTACCACTGCAGAGGGTCTTCTTTGGCAACCAACCCTACCCGAAGCCTTTCTGTGAGCACCTAGTGGAAATATGTAAAGAAAAGTGTTTGAGTCAGTGTTACCTCCTCTTGTGTCCATGGCTTCTGGAGGCTCTGTGATCTCATGCCTGCCCACACACGACTGTTAGGAACATTTACAATTTTTTGCTGAATTTTTCCTGTCTGCTAGTGTGGTTTCCAGCATCACTTCTTCCTGTGCTCTGCTACAGGTGAGTCAGTACTCTATCTCACCTGTCCTTGGAGAGCCATGTGGTTTCTTCGATTTTAGGCTACTTACTTGCTCTGTGAACTAGCTCTGTGATGGGTTAAGAAAAAAGTTACATTTGGAAGTTACCTAGCTTTATTTCTTAGCTAGGATGGCAGGAACACTTTCCAGGTTTTCTGCATCCTAGGTAGAAGAGGACCTCCTTCCTTATGTCATATAGCCAGTGTTAAATCTGCACTAATGGCTTCTGATATACTTTGTCAAAAGAGTAAGTAATTTATACAAAGACATTCTTGAGGTGTTGGAAAATCTTGACAAGCCATTTGCATCATGCAAAAGTCTAAATATTATCTAGCATTGATTTGGAATTCTGTTTACTTACAGATTTCTGATTTGTTGAGAATTGCTTGTATTCTTGATGAATATGAAGCCTCCAGAACCTCTTCTCAGGCTTTTGTAACAGCCCTTAGGAATTCAGGGGGACACATCAATGAAAAGCTCAGGCAAGTGTGTCCCTTGGGATCCACAGGTTGGGTTGATCTGCTCCTGCGAAACATCACTGCTGAGAACTGTAGGTTGTAGCTGCTTCCATAGTGGCTCTTTTGGGCTTACTCTTCTGTGCCATTCCCACATACACCAACCATGCTGCCTACCCCCTGCTTCCAGCTTGATGTTTTTATTTTCATATCCAGTCATTTAAAAATAGCTGAAAGTATTTTCCATTTTGCATTCCATTTACACTTACCATTTTTCACTCAAGACTTTCTATGGAGACACTTCACTTGATAAAAAGAAATCATTATAGTGAAAGGGTGAAATATTCATCTCAGATGAATATTTCTGTTCAATTCGCCTGTGATACATTTGTGGTGACCTACTGAAGTGACACAAATGGAGATAATGGATAATAAAAGTAACTGCTTGGGGTGGAACAGAACAGAGGATTTAAGAGAAATTGAGTATCCATAGAAGATAATGAGATGTCTGTAAACTACATGACACTTTTGATAAAAGTTTTCCCCTAAGTTATTGTTTACTTTTGACAAATCAATGTATTTTTATTTAAATTGGCTTAAGTCTCACGTGTAAATGAAATGCAGTACATATTTATATAAGTGAGTTGGTACATTTATTGCTATTAATTTTGTCAGGTTAGGAGTTTAGGGAATTCAGCAGAAATATTAAATTTCACCCAGCAACTTATTTTAATATTCATGGATTCTTTACATCATTTATTCTGTAATAATAATAATAAAACAGTTTTATTAAAAGCTGAGTCCATTCCAGAAAAACATGTCTATCCCAATAGAGTTGTTCAAATAGTTAAGACCCTTCTATATGCTACACACTGTGATGAATATGGCTTAGTCCACATTACCTTCTTTAGATTCAAATGTAAATGACAAGATTTCAAACCAAATTTTTGTATATTTTTCATTTTCTTCAATGGATAAAAGAAAGATTTCTTACATCACTCTGCACATTCATCTTTTAATGTTAGTTTTTTTGTGTTTTTATAATATTTAACCTGTTCAAATAGAAACTTTAGTATTCACTGGGGTTTTCCCTTTAAGGGGAGATACGGTTAGGCTTTGTGTCCCCACCTAAATCTCATCTTGATTTGTAATCCACATAATTGCCATGTGTCAAGGGGGACCAGGTGGAGGTAACTGAATCAGGGAGGGTGGTTCCCCCATGCTGTTCTCATGATAGTGAGTGAGTTCTCAGAAGATCTGATGGTTTTATAAGCAACTGGCATTTCCTCTGCTTGTATTCATTCTCTCTCTTGCCACCCTGTGAAGAGGCACCTTCTGCCATGATTGTAAGTTTCCTGAGGCCTCCCCAGCCATGCAGAACTGTGAGTCAATTAAACCTCTTTTCTTTATAAATTACCCATTCTAGGGTATTTCTTCATAGCAGTGTGAGAACAGACTAATACAACAAGTTTGACTTTTGAAAATTCATTTAGATTGATTAAATTGACTGATGGTTTTTGGCTCTGAGGACACACAGGCAAAAATCATTTTCCAGCTGCTCCTTGGCTCAAAATGTCAGTCATTTAAACTTTCACATAGATATTATACTTTAACCATTTTAAACATCATTGCATACCACTTTTCTCCCCCTCCCCCACCCTTGTTTTCTATTGATCTATGGAATACAAAACAAAAAATAAGATTTCAAGAAGGACAAGTTACTGAATTAAGAACATTTTATTTGTCTCCTCTTGTACTGTAGATTTTAAAATCGTCTATTTTCCTGATGCCTCAACATCACCACAAGCAAGCTGTAAGCAGCGGGCCCAGGAGACCAGGTGCACCAGTGGGACAAGGCTGGTCACCATCACAGCCTTCCCATCCTGTCCTCCCCTGGTTGTGACCTAGTGACACTCAAACACACCAGTAAAATCCCTTCAAGCCTTTTGCTTGTGTGCTCCACCCTGCCCCCCATTAAATACCCTTATGCACTGGTCCATACTCTCTCAGTTTCCCACCTGCTTGGTCAAGGTCTCTCCCTGGAGTTCTTCCTAGGTATTGTGCCCTGCCTCTGTCTCTAGGACTATGAGTCTACTACATTCTCAAATGTCATATGTCTCTCTAGAGTTGATTTCCAAGGCTGCAATGCAATGATCCTTAAAGAGCTCCCAAGAGGATAACTCCCACATTGACAACATTCCTTTTTTTTTTTTTGAGACAGAGTCTCACTCTGTCACCCAGGCTGGAGTGCAATGGTGGCATCTCGGCTCATTGCAAGCCTCGTCTTCTGGGTTCACACCATTCTCCTGCCTCAGCCTCCCGAGTAGCTGGGACTACAGGCGCCTGCCACCAGGCCCGGCTAATTTTTTGTATTATTAGTAGAGACGGGGTTTCACCGTGTTAGCCAGGATGGTCTCGATCTCCTGACCTCGTAATCTGCCCGCCTCAGCCTCCCAAAGTGCTGGGATTACAGGCGTGAGCCACCATGCCTGGCCCCAACTTTCCTCTCTTTAAAGCCATTAGAATATCTGAACATATGCCCTGTGAAGCCCCTGACCAGAATAAGTGTTGGGGACAACTTTATAGTTGTCGTCAGTAGGGAACCTAGGAGTGTGTTGATATTTCAGAGAACCTCATCAGCCTACAGATGGCAATTTTCACAAAGAAAGTGCTCACCAGCTTGTAACTAGAGTTTCCTCATTTCTTGGTGAGTTTATAGGTTCAAAAGACCCTCAAATACGGGCCAGTGACTTCCCATTTTATCAGCTTGCTGGGGAGTCAAGCTTTAGAGAAGGCGGGGTCCATCTCAGTATGAATTCAAGCAAAACCGCTAACGATAATGTTGCCAGAGAGGCTAGAATTAAGTATTATAAAAAACATTGTATCATTTCCTGCTCTTGGAATCGAAAAAATGTAGCAAAATCTAGAAGAATTGGTAGTGAACTTGCAGGTTTAACAAGCTCTTTACTTGGAGGTTGTATCTTGTTCCTTTGGTTTGTGGACTTGGTTGTTTACCTTGTTTGTTGACCAGGTGAGAGCTCTTTGAATGCTCTTTCTCAGTGTGATTCACTGGCTGCTTGCATCAGGATCTTTTTTGGATTTTGGAAAATTCAGATTCCCCCGTCTTAGTCCAAAGTTACTGAATCAGAGTTTCTGATGGTATGGTTTGGGAATCTGTGCATTTCATCTGCTTTCCAAATGAGAATGTCTACTTCATATTTTTGGGCTTCAATATTCATATTTTTAAATTAGGAGGTTAGACTGGAATCTAAGTGGAAAATTCTGGTTTTCAGAACTTTCCCCATGTGAGGCAGGCACAAGTCAAGGAAGGCCAATATACCCCAGAAGCTCGAAGGGGCAAATAAGAGAATCCCCCTTGAAGCCTCCGCAGGAATATAGGCTTGCCAGCTCCTTCGTGTCAGACTCTGGCTTCCAGAACCAGTAGGTAGTCAATTTTCATTGTTTTAAACTAAGATTGTGGAAATTCATTGCAGTGCCACAGGGAGCTAATACACAATGATTTTCACTGAATATTAAAAGATAACTTCTGGGGGAAATTCTACTTTTATCAATTGATGGATAATCTGGAGTTAGATTTACCCCATCTGCTATAAAAACTTGGACAAAATTATGAAATAACTGCTTTCAGATAGTCAACAACAGTGTAGTATGATGTTCCCTGAGAGAAAGGAACTAGCGAGATGGTCCTTAGAGCAGAGAGGGTGGTCACGAGTCCATAACCTTACAAAGCTGAAGACACAGTGACTGGTAGGTGGGGAGACAAAAGTTGCTAAAATTTGCAGGATGCAATACAGAATTGCTGGGAGTTATGCAGAGAACCAGCTCCAGGAACATACCTCAGGGACTCTTTGAGCTTGTGCTGAGTACCAGTCTGCCCACCTGGGTAGCGTGGGACTCTATGGAGCCACAAGAAGAGCAACAGCTGGGGAGCTGCAAGGCGAGTGGTTCTCATCTCCCACACAGGGCTGGGGCCAGGAGACAGCTAAACCTCACACAGCTGAGTATAAACACTTTTGAATCCATTGGCAACCACTTGATATAGCAGTGCCACCATAGAAGTAGGGCTAAATTGCCCAAAAGTAAAGACTACTCTAGAGCTGACGTTCCTGAATCATAAAACTTAAGAGGCTCAACTGGATTTACAATTGTCCGTTAAAAGAAAACAAAACAAAACAGAGCAAAATATAACAACAAACAAATGAGGAAACAAAACCCATCCAAAAGGGAGAAAACACAATCCAAACACATAATAATGTAACATTCACAATGTCCAGAATCCTGTAGAAAGTTATCAGCATGTAAAGAAACAGCAAACAGTGACCTAAAAGAGAAAAACCAGTTAACACAGGTTCAGAAATGACAAGGACCTTAAAATAGGTATTATAAATATTACAGACATGTTCATAAAATTAAAGTACAACACTGAGAGAAATAAAAAGCATAAAAAGGAACCCAATGTTATTTATAAAGATGAAAAAGAGTGTGCCAGTGGATGAAATGACAGCATAGTAAACAAAATGAAACACCAATAAACTTGATGATGAGCAATAGAAAATATTGAAATAGAAGCAGACACAGAAATAGACTAAGACAAGAAACCTTAACAGAACCTCAGTGTGGGACGATTGTAGCGAGCAGTCTAACATCCATAAAATTGAAGGACCAGAGGAAATGAGGGGAGAAAAGATAGTCAAAGAAATAATGGTGGCCGGGTGTGGTGGCTCAAACCTGTAATCCCAACACTTTGGGAGGCAGAGGTGGGCAAATCACCTGAGGTCAGGAGTTCGAGACCAGCCTGGCCAACATGGTGACACCCTGTCTCTACTCAAAATACAAAAATTAGCCTGGTGTGGTGGTGCATGTCTGTAGTCCCAGCTACTCGGGAGGCTGAGGCAGGAGAATCACTTGAACCTGGGAGGCGGAGGTTGCAGTGAGCCGAGATTGTGCTACTACACTCCAGCCTGGGTGACAGAGCAAGACGCCATCTCAAAAAAATAAATAAATAAAATAATACTAATACTAGTGGTAAAAATTTGTTAAAATATGAGGAAAGCTGTAAATTCACAGATTTATGAAGCTAAAAACATTGCCTGACATAAATGAGGAAGAGAAAATCTTATGAGGAGCTGGAGGGAAAAAGACATAGAGAACAAAATATATGAACCGTTACAGACTTAGCGACAGAAAGTATGCAAGCCAGAGACAGTTAGCATCTTAAAAATACTGATAATGCTAAGGAAAAAATAACCCTGTCAATCTAGTATTCTATGTAAAGTAAAAATATTTTCAAAAACACAAAAACAAAAGTACTCATTATTGCTCAGCTGCACTATATGAAATGTATAAGGAAGTTCTTTCGGTCAAGAAAGTGACAGTAGATGGAAATTGCTTCTATATAAAGGAACAAGGAACACTGGAAATAGTGACAGTTTGGCTAAGTAAAAAACATTTCGTTTTCTCTTGTATTTTCCTCTTTAAAAGATAACTGTTTAAAGCAAAAATAGTAGCACTATATTGTGGAATTTATCATATTTGCAGAAGTACAAAAGCACAAGAGCTCAAAGAATAGGAGGGAAGTGGAAGCACATTGCGTTCAGGGCTTTTACACTGTAAGCGAAGTGGCATCGTATTATCTGAAGGTAGAGTGTGATTATATAAAGGTGTATATTTTATTCCATAGAGACACCACTAAAAATGTAAAACATGAAGGTAAAAAATATAAATCCCATAAAGGCACAGAAAACAGCAAAACAGCAACAAAGAACATGTGGGACAATTATAAAGTCAATAGCAGGATGGTAGATGTAAACCTGACTACATCAAAAAAGAAAATACAATAAATGTATATGGCCCAAACATTCCAACTGAAAGACATAAAATAGAGCAAGACTCAACCAAATGTCATCTACCAGTGACCCCCTTTAAATGCACAGACATGGGAAGACGACATCCCATGCAAACACTTTAAAAAGAAAGCTGGGATTTGATTTGCATTTCTCTGATGGCCAGTGATGATGAGCATTTTTTCATGTGTCTGTTGGCTGCATAAATGTCTTCTTTTGAGAAGTGTCTGTTCATATCCTTTGCCCACTTTCTGATGGGGTTGTTTGTTTTTTTCTTGTAAATTTGTTTGAGTTCTTTGTAAATTCTGGATATTAGCCTTTTGTCAGATGGGTAGATTGCAAAGATTTTCTCCCATTCTGTAGGTTGCCTGTTCACGCTGATGGTAGTTTCTTTTGCTGTGCAGAAGCTCTTTAGTTTAATTAGAACCCATTTGTCTATTTTGGCTTTTGTTGCCATTGCTTTTGGTGTTTTAGTCATGAAGTCCTTGCCCATGCCTGTGTCCTGAATGGTATTGCCTAAACTATAATGAGATACCACCTCACGCCAGTTAGAATGGCAATCATTAAAAAGTCAGGAAACAACAGATGCTGGAGAGGATGTGGAGAAATAGGAATGCTTTTACACTGTTGGTGGGAGTGTAAATTAGTTCAACCATTGTGGAAGACAGTGTGGAGATTCCTCAAGGATCTAGAACTAGAATTACTATTTGATCCAGCAATCCCATTACTGGGTGTATACCCAAAGGCTTATAAATTATGCTACTATAAAGACACATGCACATGTATGTTTATTGCGGCATTATTCACAACAGCAAAGACTTGGAACCAACCCAGATGTCCATCAGTAATAGACTGGATTAAGAAAATGTGGCACATATACACCATGGAATACTATACAGCCATAAAAAAGATGAGTTCATGTCTTTTGCAGGGACACGGATAAAGCTGGAAACCATCATTCTCAGCAAACTCACAAGGACAGAAAACCAAACACCACATGTTCTCACTCATAGCTGGGAACTGAACAATGAAAACACTTGGACACAGGGAGGGGAACATCACACATCAGGGCCTGTCATGGGGAGGGATAGCATTAGGAGAAATACCTAATGTAAATGATGAGTTGATGAGTGCAGCAAACCAACATGGCACATGTATACCTATGTATCAAACCTGCATGTTGTGCACATGTATCCTAGAACTTAAAATATAATTAAAAAAATAAAAAGAAAGCTGGGAGTGGCCATGTTAATATAAGATGAAACCTAATTTTAAATAAGGATTGTTGCTGGAATTAATAACAAGCATTTCCTAACAATGAAGGAGTCAGTTCATAGAGATGACATAACAATCCTAAATGTTTAAAATAAAATGGCAATCTACAGACTGGGAGAAGAAGACTCTCAACACAGATGTCTCACAAAGGACTAATATTCAGAATATGTAAACAAGTCCAAGAAATCAATAATAACAAGAAAATTTAGCAAATTAAATAACGGGCAAAGGATTTGAACAAACCTCATAAAAGGTAATATTGCAGGCACATGTATACATAAATTTAATATATATTATATATACATAGAGCCAATGCACATATGAAATGGTGCTTCTCATTATTAACCAGGGGAATGCAAATTAAACTGAGAGTGAGACATTAGAGCACACGTACTTATCAGCTAAAATGATATAGACTGATATTACCAAGTGTTGCCATGGATGAGGTGCAACAGGAATAGTTGTACGTTGCTGGGGGAATATAAAATGATATAACCACTTTGAAAAAGATGTGGCAGCTTCGTAAAAAGTTATCATATACAGGTATATGTTCAGATGACCGTGTGAATTTCTTCATAGGTATTTGCCAACAGAAATGAAGAAAAATGAATGTCCTCACAAAGACTCATACGCAAATATTCAGAATGACTTTTTCATATTTGCCCCAAATTGTAACAACCCAAATGTCCTCAGTGGATGAGGATTGTGATGTATCTATACAAGGAAATATTATAAACGTTTAAGATACAACAACATGGATAAATCTTACAGTCATTATGGTGAGTAAAGGAAGTCAGGAAGCAAAGAGAAAATATTGTATGATTCAACTTATAGAAAATTCTAGAGCAGTCATACAGGAAACAAAATGTGCCAGAAGTTAGGGGTGTTGTCACAGGGAGTGAGAGTTTATGGCCAAAGGCATGAGGGGAATTTTTGAGGTGAAGGAAACTGTTATTTGTAGTGGTGGTCACATTTTTGTTTGCATTTGTCAAAAGCTGTTGAACTATATACACTGGAAATATGTGAATCAGTACATCTGATGAACAGAATGTGTCTCATGAATTTTTACTGCGAGTTCCAGGTAAGTGTCTGATGAGCACCATGGGGGTGGTTGAATTGGGCCAAGTGGAAGGCCTCTGCCACTCTCTTCTGATTCTTGGGAACATTTCATTTGAAATATGGACACTCAAACTATAAAGATCAGGTTTGTATCCATTTTGAACAGGAAATTCTTCTCTGTGTTAGCCACAAGATGGCAGGGCAGCCTGCTTTATACCACTTAAAAATGTTCCACCCTAGATCCTAACAATATTAGAATATTGTTATGATCCTAACAGCAATTGTTTGATGTTGCGCCTGGCAAACTTCACTGTGTGCTGGTATCTGAAGCAGTGGCCTTCCAATCGACCGGGGCTCCTGGCCATGCCTTGTTCATTAGAAGATCTGTGCACAGAGAGCTTCTGTGAGACTCCAATTTTTTTCACGTCAAACACCAAGCAAATTCCCCAGGAAACATCTGTGGAGAGACAGGCAGGCCTCAGCAGACACTACTGTTTGTAAAATGAGAATTTTTGAGATGCACGCAATCCTAACTTTATTCAATAGACACTGAACTTCTGTTGTCCCTAGGACTTCAGTACCTGCCTCAGGAGGCTGCATTCTCATGGAAACTCTGTTTTGGAATGCATCGATCGCTGGCTTGCTGTTCCCAAAGTTCTTTCCTTCACACCTGCTGCCACCCCCAAGAAGAGGGGAGGGCAGCGGAAGGGACAGGGTGGAAGATAGTAGGGCCTTATTCCTCCTGCTGGCTCTGGAACAGAGAGCAACTGCAGCCCAGCTCCTCTCTGCCAGCCAGTGCTGCCCCCACTCCAGAAACTACTGCGTGGTAATAGGTTATTCATCTCCAGCTCATATGAAAGAGGGAAGGGGATGTTGAAAGAGTAAACAACAACAACACACAACAAAGACAAACAAAAAATAAAGCGATGAGCTGCAATTTTTAACCTCAGCTCCTGCAGCCAGGAAGTGGGTATCTGATAGCACGTGGCTTTAAGAAATACCAGTGAGAAAAACTGCTATTCGACTAAGAAGTTGCTACTCCTGTCACCGCAAGTCAGAGAGGTTACAGACAAAAAGATACCACTTCTTAGAACAGCACCACAGTGATTCGTAGAAGAAATTCTTCAGGATGTGTTTTCTCTGGAGACCTTTACAGACCTTCTAACGAGGCCATATTTTACAAATTTGGGAGCAACAAATGAGTGAATTATCTAAAACGACAGATAATAGAAACAATTACATTTGCATCTGAAAGACTAAAATTTAATGCTAATGTAGTGGGGTGACTGACCTAAGGGACACACTTGCAAAGGTTATATTTGTACTTTTCTTATATTTACAGAGAGAATGCCAGATCCTTGACATGTAGCCTGGACTGAAACCCCCTATTAGGGATGAGAATAGATTTTTCTTAGGAGGGAAGAGAAAGGCAAGTTGTTTCAATTGACTGTGAACAGGTGTGCAGCCAAATACTTTAGCTTTTGAGGATTTAAAAGAAAAGATGTTCTACTTCTTGGAGTATGGTCACTAGAGAGGAAAGAGAAGCTCGCATTACCTCTGTGGAGTGAGGGCTTGATGTCTGATGTTGGCCTGTCCTTCCAGGGCTCACTTTTGCTCTGAGAAATGCTCTGCATGGAACCAGAAGGAGCTCCTGCCAGCACCAGGAAATTGGGCTTAACTGTTGAGACCTCAGAGTGAGCATCTCAAGAGATGGGGCTTTCCTCCCTGGAGGGGCCTTATGGACCAGTAGGATCATCCTGGGCTGACAAGTGTGTGGATAACATCAGACCCGACTTCAACAGCAGGAAGCAGTGGCATTAGCAGCACAAACACAGTCTGGTACTATGCGAGCCTGTGCGAAAAAACACCTCCCCTCCACGCCCTCCCTACTTCATGACCTCTTTGGACAGAAGCAGTTCCTGGAGTTCTAGGACAATGGAGAAAGGCGTGGCTGAAGCTGAAGCTTCCAAACTTTTTGCAATTAAACTAGAGTCTTGAGGAATTCGTGAAAAAGTTGAGAGAGATGTTACTGCGTAGATACTCAAGGTTGCAGAGTGGCTGGTGCCCATGGCACAAAGATCAAATGCTCTCTAGAGCTATATTCCCACCAACATAAGAAAGTGACCCATCTTGGACTGGCGTGAATCCGCTAGCAGCACTGTCTGGCATGCAAAGCCTCAAGGGATTCACAGCTGATGAGAAGCCAGAGGACGTTGTAGAACTAGAAGCATCTGCTAGAGAGAGGACCTGGGCCATAATCCCTAAGCCCTAGGAGTTGTGTGTTTATTTTTTTTTTTCCTATTTTTACAAGAAAGAACTGCTAGTTAATGCCAGGGTATTCATTACGGATGCTTCATAATTGGGTAATTATGCTTGCATGTGTATAAGTACTTACAAATATGTTGGATGCAGTTAGTACGATACACGTAGTGTAGTCATATGCCTATTATACCTGTACGTGTGTCTGTCTTGTCTGTCTCAACCAGGAGATGTACCTCAAGCAGGAAGACACAAACAGTCCTTATAGTCAGTTCCAGAGAGGGCAGACCGGATAGACAGCAGTCCTGTAGAGGACGGTTCTTAAGTCAGACGAGGGACAGCTTAGGCACTTACTGTATTCCCATCTCCCAGACCCACGCAAGCAGGGACTAAACATTACAGATCTGGTAATTAGTTATTATTTCTAGGAGTTCTTGGAATCCTTTCCTAAAACATAAATACATCAGGCCATTCATCCTAGATAATATCTAATGTGAACTGGTAGAGTTAATTTCTATCTAAAAGGTCAAGTGCTGGTAGTGATAGTAACTAAGTCAGGGGTAGTGTTGTCAACTAAACAAATGGAGCTGGGCATGGAGCGCCAGTGAAGGAGGCCAGGTCTGAATGGGCAGTGCAGTGAAAAACCTGAAGTCCCATGTAGCTCTGGGTTTTCAGGTGAAGTAGTGGGGATCTATTGGGAGGAAGTTGTTCAGACAGCGGGTGAACGCAGCTTGATTCATGCTGCATCAACTCACAGCTTCATCTCCCAATGGAGTGGGAGCAGCTCACATGAGAAGTACTGAGGACTCAAATACCAGGGATGGTGAATAGTTTCATCCTAGCACCAACTCACACTGATTGGGAGTGGCTGTCTAGAGAATCAGTCACCTTGGGAAGGATTTGGAAGGTGAGCTCCATTTCAACAGCAGATGATTTTGTTTGTGCTTGATTAGAAATCTCTCCTTCTGTGAGGAGTGGGGTGGCATGTGCGATGCATTTGCCATTCCAAGTATAGGTGTAAATATACTTAGTTTGGAGCTATAGCAGCAATAAGTATATAAGATATCTTATTAAGCAAACTAGTAAGGTGTTAAAAAGAGCATGTTCAAATGTTGCTGGTGACCATGTAAATTAGTACACATTTTCTGGAGAGCAATTTGCAATATATATTCAAACATGCACAGCTTTGACTGTAAATTCAATTGTAGGAATTTCTTTTATGACAACGATCAGAGATGGGCATACTTACATTGCAAGGATGGTGTTGAAATGCAACAAAACATTTTTAAGCTGTGTATTAAATCAATTCTATTTTTTAATACAATAAAATATTGAGAAGCAACTATAAATCATGGTTTTAAAAATATGTAATTATTGGAAAGTAAGGCTCTCATCTCTGACTCAATCAATGGCTTATAAGTAAATTTTTTTTTCTTCTTAATTTTCTATATTTTCCAAATTTGCTGCAATTTAAAAAAAATGACTCTGACAAAAATGTAAGCCAGAATTAGACACAAATTTTATCTGTAATGTACATGAACAATAAACCAAGGCTTAAGCTTTCTATATTTCTGAGTTGAATTCAAAAGACAAAAATTTAATGACATTAAAGAGATGTCAAAGAAAATAAGTTTCAGCTATTTAAAAATAAATGCTTATGGACAATGATAGATTTACCTCCCTCATGATCTTCATACTCTATTAGTGTTTTAGGGAATTTTGTATTTGTTCTATAAAAACATTAATTATGTCTTTTAATTATTTAACCTGCTGGCAGAAAGTATTTTATTTCTTCAACTAGACCAGGCATAATTGCACACAAAGCAATTTAGTAAGTTTGATAATGCATACTAATGTCACCCGAAGCTATTATTCTAATATTTTCATGTTTCATTTACATCTAATTAATATTTAGTTTTGGTGTATTCTCTGTGTATTTTATTTTCTTCTGTTTTGGGGAATTCTCTTGCTATCACATGCTTTTGGTAATTTCTACAGAAGAAATCTTTATCTCAGATGCCCCTGAAGAACTTGGCTCTGTGAAGACCAGTAACACGGTGAGAATTGGCTTTCAGTAGCCCTGCATGAAAAATGATGTTAAATAGGCTATGGGCAGGGATTGCCCTTTAACTGAAGAGTTGAGTGATGGAAATTCCCTTTAGTAGTCAGTGTGCCTAATTTTCTAAATATACTTGGACAGTTTTCTTTGTAGGGCTCCCCTCCCATAGGTGTGTTTCCACCTAATTGACCTCTCTTCACTTCCCTTCACCTTATTTGCTTTCAATCATGTTCTCTGACTCTCCTTTCACGCAACCCCTGTTCTATCATAGCCTCAAGGCTTTGCTGTGAAAACTTCTTTATTTTTAAATTTGTGAACAATTCATTTCTCTAGTTTGCCAGAAAATTTTGCATTGCTATAACGAAAGCATTATATTTACTATGGCTATAGTAAACGCACATCTTACACCGTTCTCAATACACACCTTTTAAAGTAGCATGTTTGGATGAGAGAAACGACAGCTGATTGATTGATAATTAGTCAAAAGGCGTATTGCAGAAATGTGATTATTTGTGGCTTGTTAGATTATTGATATAATTGGAATGTCTTACAACTAGGAATGTCTATTTGACTTTATGTATGGCTGGGGAAAACGTATTTATTTTTATGGTGTAATGTAGTGATAGAAAATTCCAAATGTGTAAAGTTGCATTTACTGGATTTATGCATTTGTAATGGTATTTATTGTAAAAGAAAACATACCTTGTTTTGTCTTTCTCTTTCTCTTACATGCCCACATACGTATATACACTATATACATATATATTCAAATGTTTATCCAATGGTATTTGCTTATTTATCCTTTTTACATTCTGATAAAATTGGCCTTTGAAAACACTGCCATTAATAAGAATAATAAGAATGCAGCACCCTTGGGAGGCCGAGGCAGGCAGATCACGAGGTCAGGAGATCAAGACCATCCTGGCTAACATGGTGAAACCCTGTCTCTACTAAAAATACAAAAAAAATTAGCCGGGAGTAGTGGCGGGCACCTGTGGTCCCAGCTACTTGGGAGGCTGAGGCAGGAGAATGGCGTGAACCTGAGAGGTGGAGCTTGCAGTGAGCTGAGATCGCGCCACTGCACTCCAGCCTGGGTGACAGAGCAAGACTTCGTCTCAAAAAAAAAAAAAAAAAATTCAGCACTTAAACACTGTAAAAATGCTAACTTTGGTGAGATAAAGCAAAAATATTGGCAGAAAAGTATTTTGAAAAAATCTGTATTAGAGATTCCTCCAAGAGACTCCTAGACTTGATAAATGACTTCAGTAAAGTTTCAGGGTGTAAAATTAATGTACAAAAGTCAGTTGCAGTTTTATACATCAACAATGTTCAATCTTGTTCAAGCTGAGAACCAAATCAAGGATTCTATCCCTTTATGATAGCCACACACGTACACAAATACCTAGGAATGCATTTAACCAAGGAGAACTACAAAACACTGATCTAAAAAAAATCAAAGATGACACAAACAAATGGAAAAACATCACATGCTCATGGATTGCAAGAATTAATGTTGTTAAAATGACCATACTGCCCTAAACAATCTACAGATTCAATGCAATTCCTATTAGATTACCAATGTAATTTTTCACAGAATTAGAAAAAACAATTGGAAAATTAATATGGAACCAAAAAAGAGCCCGAATAGCCAAAGCAATCATAAGCAAAAAGAACAAAGCTAAAGGCATCACATTACTTGGCTTCAAAGTATACTACAAGGCTACAGTAATCAAAAGAGAATGGTACTGGTACAAAAATGGACTCATAGATCAATGAAACAGAACAGAGAACCCAGAAATAAAGCAACGTACCTACCACCAACTGATCTTTGACAAAGTCAGCAAAAATAAGCAATGTGGAAAAGACTCCCTAGTCAATAAATGGTACTGGGATAACTGGCTAACAGAAGAATAAAACTGGACCTCTGTCTCTCACTATATACAAAAATTAAATCAAAATGGATTAAAGACTTAAATGTAGACCTGAAGCTATAAAAATCTTAGAATAAAAGTTAGGAAAACCTCTTCTGGACATCAACCTAGACAAATAATTATGACTAAGACCTCAAAAGCAAATTCAACAAAACAAAAATAGATGAACGGCACTTCATTAAATTAAAGAGCTTCTGCACAGCACAAGAAACAATCCACAGAGTAAACAGACAGCCTACAGAATGGGAGAAAAATATTTGCAAACTATGTATTCCACAAAGGACTAATATCCAGAATCCATAAGGAACTTGAATTAATAAGAAAAAAAATAAGTAACCCTGTTAAAGAGTGGATAAAGAACACAAACAGAAATTTCTCAAAAGAAGATATACAAGTGGCCAACAAACATATGAAAAAATACTTAACATTGCTAATCATCAGGGAAATGCAAATTAAAACCACAGTAAGATGCCATCTTACCAAAGTTAGAATGGCTATTATTAAAAAGTCAAAAAATAACAGAAGCTGGTGAGCATGTGTAGAAAAAGGAATGTTTACACAGTGTTGATGAGAATGTAAATTAGTACATCTCTTATGGATTGAAAAACAATATGGAAAACAGTATGGAGATTTCTCAAAGAACTAAAAATAGAACCACCATTTGATCCACCAATTCCACTACTGGGTATCTACCCAAAGGAAAAAAATTGTTATATCAAAGACACCTGCAGTTGTATGCTAACTGCAGCACTATTCACAATAGGAAAGTCATGAACTCAACATAAGTGTCCATCAATAGTTCCATCAATGGAATCAACATAAGTGTCCATAAAGAAAATATGGTGTATGTACACCATTGAATACTATTTATCCATAAAAATATAAAATCATGTCCTTTGTGCAGCATGGATGGAGCTAGAGGCCATTATCTTAAGTGAAATAACTCAGAAACAGAAAACCAAATACCACACGTTCTCATAAGTGTTAACTAAACAATGGGTACACATAGACATACAGAAGAGATCACAGACAGTGGAGACTCCAAAAGGGGAAAAAGTTGGGGGGAAGTGAGGATCGAAATATTATCTATTGGATACAATGGTCACTATTTGGATGATGGGTTCCCTTGAAGCCCAAACCTCACTACTGTACAATACATCCATGTAACAAACCTGCACATGTACCCCCTGAATCTAAAATAAAATAAAAATAAATAAAATTTATATTAAACACTTTTTAACAACTTTGAGATTATATTTATGAAAGTAAGTTTTAAAGTAAGGTGCAGTATAGAAGTTGCTCAACTTTTCTCCCAAATAATTTTAAAGTAAGTGTTATCAAATTAAACTGACTTTTATAAAAAATAGATTTCTCAAATGAAAGCACTTCTTTTTTGCTGACAAATTAATTGATGTGTGGAAAGTTTTTCTCTCAAATGGATTTGGATATAGAACTCTAAAAATTTGTTTTGGTTAATTTTTACCCAGAAGGGTTGTCTTACAATTGATTTATTATTAATAATTTGCCATGTGTTCCATGCATAAATAATTGAGATTGGGAGAAAATCATACTTTGGGCATGTATTGGTCCATTTTCATGCTGCTGATAAAGACATACCCAAGACTGGGCAATATACAAAAGAAAGAGGATTATTGGACTTACGTGGCTGGGGAGTTCCCCAGATACCCTAAATCATCTCTCTCAAGTTCAAAGTTTCACAAATCCCTAGGCCAGGGGCAAAATGCCACCAGCCTCTTTGCTGAAACATAACAAGAGTCAACTTAGCTCCAGTTCCCAAAAAGTTACTCATTTCCATCTGAGCCAGTTCCGCGTGGCTGGGGAGACCTCACAATCATGACCGAAGGTGAAAGGCACATCTCATATGGCAGCAGACAAGAGAAGATAACTTGGGCAGGGAAACTCCCCCTTATATAATCATCAGATCTCGTGAGACTTATACACTATTATGAAAACAGCACAGGAAAGACTTGTCCCCATGATTTAATTATCTCTCACTGGGTCCCTCACACAACACATGAGAACTCAAGATGAGATTTGGGTGGGGACACAGCCAAACCATATCATTCCTCCCTTTGCCCCTCCCAAATCTCATGTCCTCATATTTCAAAACCAATCATTCCTTCCCAACAGTCCCCCAAAGTCTTAACTCATTTCAGCATTAACACACAAATCCACAATCCAAAGTCTCATCTGAGACAAGGCAAGTCCCTTCTGCCTATAAACCTGTGAAATCGAAAGCAAGTTAGTTACTTCCTAGATACAATGGGGGCACAGATATTGGGTAAATACAGCCATTCCAAATGGGAGAAATTGGCCAAAACAAAGAGGTTACAGGCCCCATGCAAGTCTGAAATCCAGTGGGGCACTCAAATCTTAAAGCTCCAAAATGATCTCCTTTGACTCCATGTCTCACATCCGGGTCACACTGATGCAAGAGGTGGTTTCCCGTGGTTTGGGGAAGCTCCACCCTGTGACTTTGCAGGGTACAGCTCCTCTCCTGGCTGCTTTCATGGGCTGGCATTGTCTGCAGCTTTTCCAGATGCACAGTGCAAGCTGTCAGTGGATCTACCATTCTGGGGTCTGGTAGATGGTGGCCCTCTTTTCACAGCTCTACTAGGCAGTGCCCCAGTAGGGGCACTGTGTGGGGACTCCAATCCCACATTTCCCTTCTGCACTGCCCTAATAGAGGTTCTCCATGAGCACCCCACCCCTTCAGCAAACTTCTGCCTGGGCATCCGGGCATTCCATAGATCCTGTGAAATCTAGGTGGAAGTTCCCAAACCTCAATTCTTGACTTCTGTGCACCTGCAGGCTCAACACCACATGGAAGCTGCCAAGGCTTGGGGCTTCCACCTCTGAAGCAAAAGTCTGAGCTGTACCTTGGCCTCTTTTAGCCATGGCTGAGGGGGCTGGAATGCAGGATACCAAGTCGCTAGACTGCACACAGGAGAGGGACCCTGTGCCCAGCCCATGAAACCATTGTTTCCTCCTAGGCCTCTGGGCCTGTGATGGAAGGAGCTGCTGTAACATGCCCTGGAGACATTTTCTCCATTGTCTTGGGGATTAAAATTCAGCTCCTTGTTATTTATGCAAATTTCTTCAGCTGGCTTAAATTTCTTCTTAGAAAATGGGATTTTTTTTTCTATCACATTGTCAGGCTGCACATTTTCCAAACTTTTATGTTCTGCTTCCCTTATAAAACTGAATGCCTTTAACAGCACCCAAGTCACCTCTTGAATTCTTTGCTGCTTAGAAATTTCTTCTGCCAGATACCCTAAATCATCTCTCTCAAGTACAAAGTTTCACAAATCCCTAGGCCAGGGGTAAAAGGCCACCAGTCTCTTTGCTAAAATATAAGAAGAGTCAACTTAGCTCCAGTTCCCAAAAAGTTACTCATTTCCATCTGAGACCACCTCAGCTTGGATTTCATTGTCCAAATCATTATCAGCATTTTGTCAGAGCCATTCAACAAGTCTCTAGGCTGTTCCAAACTTTTCCACATTTTTCTGTTTTCTAAGCTCTCCAAACTGTTGTCACCTCTGTCTGTTACACAGTTCCAAAGTCACTTCCACATTTTGGGGTATGTTTTTAGCAGTGCCCCACTCTACTGGTACAAATTTACTGTATTAGTCCATTTTCACACTGCTGATACAGATATACCTGAGACCAGGTAATTTATACAGGGGAAAGGGTTTAACGGACTTAGAGTTCCACATGGCTGGGGAGGCCTCACAATCATGGCAGAAGGCAAACAGGAGCAAGTCACATTTTACATGGATGGCAGTAGGCAAAGAGAAAGAGAACTTGTGCAGGGAAACTCCTCTTTTTAAAACTATCAGATCTCATGAAATTTATTCACTATTGTGAGAACAGCACAGAAAAGACCTGTCCCCCATGATTCAGTTATCTCTCACCGGGTCCCTCCCACAACATGTGAGAATTCAAGATGAGATTTGGGTGGGAACACAGCCAAACTGTATCAGATGAATATGCAAATAAATGACAAACTGTGATAGCAAAACTAAAAGTGTTACTTATGTGTGATTATGACATGGATCACTGAGAAAAATCAATGAAACCGTGGCAAATAAACACATGAAAAGATGTTCAACACTGCTAGACTTTGGGAAAATACAGATTAAAACCACAGTAAAACACACTATTAGAAAGTGTAACATGAAAAGGAATGGCTGTGCCAACCTTGATCAGGCTGTGGAGACCTGAACACACACATCCTGCTGGTGTGACTGTAAAATGGCACAGTCACGTTGGTAAAGAGTTTGGCAGTTCCTCAAAAACTGTAACATATACTTTCCATATGAGCCAGAAACTCTATTCCTAGGTATTTACTCAAGAGAACCAGAGGCACACATCCATACAAAGATTATACACAAATGGCCACAGCAGCTTTATTTGCAGTCATCCCAAACTGGGAAAATAAGCCAAATATCCATTAATACATGAGTATATAAACAAAACGTGATATATCCATGTAATGGAATACTACACAGCAATAAAAAGGAATAAACTAGTGATGCATGCCACAGAATGGATTAATCTTAACTACGCAGAGTGAAAGAAGCTGAACAAAAAAGGTATATATGCTGCTTGCTTTCATTGATATCAAATTCTAGAAAATGCAAACTTCTCTGTAATGATTGAAAGCAGATTTGCACTTGGCTTGGGACGGGATGAAGTGGAAGTGACGGGAAGGAAGAATTTCAAAGAGGCAGGAGGAAACCTTGTACATGGCAGTATAAAAACTTGTCAAAATTATCGAAGTGTACACTTTAAAAAGATGCAGTATTCTGTATGTTAAATATACCTCAACAAAGCTGTTAAAAGGTACAAATAAAAAATAAAAAAAGTAAAAACGGAAATATACTAGAGAATATTGGCTACCTACCCCCAAATGGAAAATAATGACTTAGAGATTTTATGGGGTAATGCCCCATTTTATCATCCTAGAGTGCCTTGGTTTCATAGGGTGAGACCCGTGGTCTGTTCTGTCTTATGCATGGCCTGCTCCGTGTCTGTGCACTGAGTTTATCTTGCTTGGTTTCCCTGAGCACAGGCTGCTCATAGCCAGTGGCCCTTGTGTCCTGGATAACTGCATGGATTACATTGTTCCCAGAACCAAGTCAGGAATTCTGAAATCTTTGCTCCTTTCTGTTTGTACCTGAGACTCTCATGGTTCTGAAAAAAAAAAAAAAAAAAAAAAAAAAAAAAAAAAAAAAAAAAAGCCAATATGCACAACTAATTTCAGGGTTTATTTTCTCAAGGCATTTAAGCAAGGCTGGCCATGTGGGGTGAAGTCCTTTCTCTGCCACACTGGGGCCTAGTGATGACCGCAGAGGGTAGACTGAGCAGAGGGATGCTGGCGGTGTTTCTCTCTGGAGCTAAATACGTTGCTTAGATTTTGGTCCCACTGGGCCACAGCCCCATGAGCCCATTAGGAAGCATCTGCTACCTGAATGGGGCAATAGTGACTAAAGAGTGTTGGCATCACACTCTGTCCTGGCCAGGAGGGAAGCAGAGGCAGGAAGGTGTCCCACCGGGGGCCGGTTCACTGCAATACACCTGCCACTCATGGACCACCCATTGAGACTGCCCGCTGGGGAGTCTGAGTGTTCTCTGAGGAGCCCTGGGACAGACCTGTGGGTGGCATCTCTCTGTCCCTGGCCACTCTTCCATCCCTCTTGTGGCTGGCACTGCCTGCAGGGCTGTGTGTCCCTGTGGCTTTGAATCACCTGCTGCCTTGCTCTCCCTGCAGATGCCCACGCCAACCCTGAGAAGCCTGCCTGGGTACCTTTCTGTGGCTGCCTGTAGGGTCAGGGTGAAATGGTGGCGAGGGGAGTCTGTGACCCCTTCGGCTGGGCAGGTCCATGGGAGGCAGATCCAGGGAGCAATCGAAGCCCACAGGAGCTCCTTCCACAGTGCTGGCTTCCAGAAATCTGGGTGAAATGGACAAATTTATTCAACGTTTATGTTACAAACTAAAAAATAAACAATCAGATTAAGTTATTCTTGCTGAGTTTAAATTCAAATTCTTTATTCAGAATATAAGATTTCTTTGCCTCTACCATCAGTCCCCACCCAAGGCTTCTCCATGGTGGCCCCTCTGAGCAGGTGCAGGCTGGGCTGGTTTGAGGGCCTCTCTGGTGCCCTAGACTCACAAGGAAGGATGTACTGGGGTGGGGAGGTCAGAATCTGAGTCTCACCCCAAAGCTCCCTGCCCCAGCTGCAGCCCCTGGCTGGGAAACAGTGGGCCCCTTTCCTGTGCCCTGTGTCTGCTGCCCTGTCTGTGGTGCACGTTTCTCTAATGCTGGAAGAGTTTTGCTAGCAGTCCTTGGGATTAGAATCAGAAACAATCCCAATTTTCATGGCAGGAGTGGATGTACTTTGTTTTTTCCAAAACACACCCCATCTCCATTGGGTTAGGTCTGTTCCAGGCGCTCAGTGTGGACTAGTGTGTGTCTAACTGTTCTCTAAAGCATCAGATGTCACACTCACTTCTGTCGAAGGCAGGACATGGCGCCAAGGGGACCCTCATTCTCATTCAGCATTAAATAGACATGTGTCTGCTTTGCTGCCGTCTGAGAAGAGCTTGCTCTCGGTCATCCTGAAGCCATCAGGTTGGGTAGGTATTTAGTCGTGCTGGGTCACTATTACTGAAGCTTTGACCCTTCCCGTTTCAACATGAATTTGACAACTGTTTTTCAGCATTCTTTGTTTTACTCACAAAGGACTGAGACTCAGCCTTTGATAAATTCTCATTTGCAGAAGGGAAGTGAAAAAAAAAAGCATTTGGGTCCTTATAAGAAATACACCAATTTTACCCCGACTCTTCCCGGTGGTGTGATCATTTTGAAGTTTGAAGGGTAACACACACACACACCACACACACCTTCAAGCATGAAAAGAACTTGAATTAAGTCAGGCACCGTGTGAAGGGACAGGACTGAGAAGAGAGGCTCCGAGCGCGCTGACAAGCCTCTTCTTTATTCTCCAGAGCTAATTGCGTCACTTGACACACAGGCACTGAGAAGAGTGAAATTCTGACAGCCTAATTTGAGCTTGCAGTTCCAATGAGATGTACATAAGGCACTTGACGATCAGTGTCATTTTCTTTTTAAAAGCAATCCAATGATTTGATTGCCTGTGAGCGCAGTAGCCCTTTGAGGTGAATGACAAGGCTTCGTTCAGGGTCTGGTTATGGCTGGGATAGTCTGGAGACTGAGATGAAAGAGGGGAGGCCCTGGCTGTCAATCTGGATCGGGGGATATGTGGGGCAGGGCCTGGGAGCACTGCAAATAGATGTGACAATCCTGCATTTGACAGTAAAAATGAGGTTCGCGCCTGGCCTTGATGATTTCACCCCGAAGTGGCAAGATTTTGGTTTGCAGAGATTCAAATGGTGATGTTTTTGGATTATAAGTCCAGCTTGTTGTAGTTTTAAAGTAGATAGAGAAAATCTAAATCTTTATGGATTTAGAGGAAATGCTGAGTGTTAGAACAGAAACAAACAAATAAATAAATAAAGCAAGAAGGCGAACAGGACTGATTTTGCCAGTAGGTGGCAACATCAAATCACGCCAGAACCACTTCCTGGCACTGTTCTAATGAGGAGGTTACAGCTGTATAAAATTTCCTGTTGGCATAGAAGGTGAAGTCAAGGGTTGTAATAAAGACCACTTTGAGTCTTTGAAAATGCCGCATGTCAGCAGCAACTAAGACTGACCCTTTAAAAAAGAAAAAAAACCCTCAGGAATGAGGACGCCAAAGAGGGTATGAATCAGTGTCCTAGTTGAAATAGTGTCTGATGTCATGGGTGAAAATGAGCACACAGATCTCATCTGTTTATCCCGGCCATAAAGTGGTCACATTCATTAAGTGACTGGAAATTTCATTTAATTATAAAAGAGAGGACCATATTAGAAAAAGACATATGCAGCTTATTTCTCAAAAAGATATAGAATGTATTCTAAATAATATACTTTCGAAACTTTGATCTATTTTTCTTTCTTCCCCTCTCCAAAGGAATCTTGGTACTTGGAACAGCAAGGACTGTTCAGGTCAAGGTAGTATGTAATTACACTGCCAGATGGGAGACTATTTCTGCCAACCACGATTCTAATTTAGTCTTTTCCTATATCCAGTACTAAATTGACTCTACTTAATAGAGCCACATACCGCCAAAACCACCACACTGCCTGTGTAGCATTCTGATTTGGAGCTTTCTTGTAACATTTCAGAGGAGCCACAATTTTAGATTGAATGAAGAAAAAATAGCAATATTATAAGAATGACTAAGCTCAAAAGAGACTGCAAAAGATTTAAACAAAGCGTACACTAGGCTGAAATGGGACTCTGACCCTGAAATCCCTCGCCGGGAGGATGTGAGGAGACCTTCCACTTGCTGCATTGCGCCTCTGAGCTGAGATTTCCTTAATGTCAAGCCCAGACTATCCCAGCAAGGTTTTGTTTTGGCTCAAAAATCTTAATGGAACCCATTTATTGCCCCGTTACTGAGAGTGCCGATCAGCTAAGGCCTCAGTAAAAGTCCTTCTCCCCCAGATCACTGTGTTTTCAGGTCAACGAAATGTAACGGAGTCATAGTTGTGCTATTTTTCTACTGCAGCCGTCCAGCAGGGAGGGCTCTGGGATCTGGCTTCTCTCCAGAGGGGGTGCACCAGCTCTCGTTTCTTAGGGAATAGTAAAGTTGGGGATAGAAATGTAAGGGAAGAGGGCTTAGAGAACTGAGGTGAGAGAGAACTCAGAAGAACCTGAGTGTGGGTGAAGACAGAGCTTGCGCTGGGAGCATGGTTCTGGGAACCCCTAGTTGCTTTGTCTTATTTTCTACCTTGCCAGAGTAACCCAACTGTGACCTTGGTCAGAGCTTATGGAGGCAATTACAGTGATTTTTCAAAGAAATTTAGGATTGGTCCATTTCACAAATTTTGGTAGCTAAATTCTCCTTTTACTCATATAAGCTCTGAAACTAACACCATTTGCAAGTCCCTGAATTCACTTATGCCCGCTGACTACAAAGACTGCCCAAGGCATGAACTCTTCCCGCCGTCTCCTTGTGGAAAGAGTCTGGCTTTGAGTTAGCTGCTCTGTTTGCATCTCAGGTCTACCCTTTGTAGCCTGGGCTCCTCTTGCAATCCAAACCCGGCCAGGCCATGCTGCTATCCCACTTTGGAGACTCCTTCCTACAGGGTGTCTCCTATTCACATTTTTAGACACATGGAGAAGAGAGGTCCTCAAGCTCTTGGCTGTCCTCTGTGATTCCAGAAAGTGATTTCATCACTATTCCTTAACAGTCCTTCTCGTTTCAATCCTCCGCATCTGATTTTATTACCCTCTGCAAATTATGGATGGACTTGGCCTGTTGACCTTTAGCATGCTCTGACAACACAGGTGCCTCCCCCTTGTCACAGGCCAGAGATGCCAGGTAAAAAATGGATAGAGGTCCTGCAGCACGAAAGTCATGAAACTTTGTTCCTGGGTGTACCACAAACTCACATGTTCTTTCCTTGGCCAGACGATATCTGTCTTCCTTTCCCAGCCTCTCAAAGCAGGAAGCATCCTCTTTCAAAGGCTGACCCTTCCAGTTGGCATCTCTGTCTTCTTTAAGATCTTACTCTCTTAGTTTTTCCTGTTGTCTCTCTTTTACCTGAAAATTTTCCCTCACCACTTGATCTTTCTCTGTGTCTACAGATACAGTCAGATGTATCACTTGAGAAAAATAAAAGGGTTTGTCTTATGCTGAAATGTTGTCAAGAATTACTTCTAACATCAAAATGATGGCCTTTTTTCTGGAAACCACCTCAAAAAGTCCACATCTGTCCTCCAAATTTTGGCACTAGTCACATGACTGGTTTCTTGACTTCCATTTGTGCCGCTCCATTCTATTCCTCACTTATCAACATGAATGATCTCTTTAAAGTATGCATTTATTATGTCACTTTCTGACTTACAATAGTCCAAAGTGTTCTAACTACTCTTAGAATAAAAACACGTGTGAGTCCCGTTCCGGCAGGGGGCAGGGCTGTGCCTGCTGCTGCCCTGGACTCTGTGCTTCTCAAATCCTCCTCTAGGGTATTGGGTGTCCTGGATAACCCCTGTAATCCCAGCATTTTGGGAGGCCAAGGAGGGAAGATCCTTTGAGTCCGCAGTATGAGACCAGCCTGGGCAACATGTGCATGCTGTAGTCCCAGTTACTCAGGAGGCTGAGGCAGAAGGCTCACTTGAGCCCAGGAGGTCAGGCTGCAACAAGCCATGATTGTGTCACTGATTCCAGCCTGGGTGACAGAGCAAGAGAAACGAAAGAGAGAAAGGGAGAAAGGGAGAAACGGAGAGAAAGAAAGAAAACAAAATCTCCTCGGTGCAAGCCACACCAGTCTACTGTCATTATCCAGGTGCAGAGAGTTCTTTGCTCCCCAGAGACTTCACATTTGCTGTTCCCTTTCCCAGTGTGCTGTTCCCAGCACTCCTCTTGGAGTGTCCCCCCATCCGCCACCCTCCAATTTTATAGAACATGCTTCATTCCTTTCCAGCACTTACTTAACACAAGATATAATTTATTAATTAGCAAAGTGGTCTGGCTTCTGTTTCTTCCCCTAAAATGTCAGCTCCATGAGGGCAGTAATTACCTCGTTTTGGTTCACAGTTGTGTTTCTTGTACCCAATTAACATGTTATCTATTGTATTAAACACATTCAATACATTTATTGAAGTAATAGGTTAATTAATGAATGAACTGATGAACCTCTGACCTCAAGCAGCCATATGCTGTGTGTCAAATGCCCACTGATCCCTGCTACCTAACTCTGCAGTTGTTCTCTGAATGCTCACTCTCCTCCATTCTATCAGTTCAATTTGAGCTGATTTTTAGGGCACAGACCCCCTCTCATCTATTCTCTTTGTCCTTGTCCTGGTCACTTTAGACTAAGGTCATCTTCTCTTTTCTCTGAGTCATGGTATATTAGCTTGTACTATTTATGAGAAGGTAACTTTTTATGAAAATATGCTTTATTCTCTTAGCTGGGTATGATCCTTGAGGACAAAAGCCACGTTTAATATCTTTTTAATTTCCTAGAGCTCTTTGGCACTGTGATGGTAGACTGATAGATTTGAAAAGGAAGACTCTGAAAGAGTTCACTTCCATCCAGATGAAATAAGTTGCATGAGATGAGTACCTGTGACTTTCCTAATCTATATATATTTTTTCTTTGCGATTTCTTTGTACTGTGATAGAAAAAGGGGATACTTTAACATAGCAGATGATATGCAATGTCCTTTGCAGGGGTGGGAAATATGGGCTGACATGGTGTGTAAGAATGACGTGTCAGCAATCCTGAGGGTTCCGTCTTCAGAGGAGAAATCATCTCTAGTTTCTTTCTATCTCACAAGTGCAGTTGAAAGCTACTTACACAAGAAAATCAGTGACGGGCAGTCAGGTAGGGAAGCAGCGTGTTTCCAGGTTTGAATCAGAAGAGGTTCTTGAGTGCGGGCTCAGGACATCACAGTGCAGTATGGTCTACACACAGGGCTGCAATGCTTGCTTCTGTGGACGTGGCAATGGTGCTGCAGAATGAGTTTGTTCAGGATGTTGCAATCATGTAATGATGTGGTCAGGGTGAGTACATGCTCATAATCAGTTCAGTGCCACTCAGTGTTAGAGAAAAAAGTTTTGCAATGAGTCCAAATGGCTTTGTGACTTAGCTGTGATTCAACTAGGATGAATGGCAGAAACCCCTTGTTACCACTCAAGTGCTCACAGGGCTGTGTGAAGTCGAATGAAGTCTCAAGTCGTACTTGAACAAGGTATGAACGGCCAGTACTGAGAATTGAGGATTAAAATGTAACATAAAACAGACATTTTGGATGAGTTAGAAATTGGGTATAAGGTCAGAAACCATAATTTTTAAAAGGCAACTTAATTGCATCCAATATAAACCAGTAGCAAATAGATCCTCAGGAAACAGCTGGGCTAAAGCCCAATCAAACTAGAGTTGGAAGCAAATGTTAAGGTAGAAGTTAGGAGAAGGGACAAGGCAAACAAGAGTGTAAGAGAAGAAATTCCTTGGCCTTCTCGCTTCTCTCTAAGAGAAGAGAGATTGAATGAATTGGTCTGTTACTTTGTTCTCCCCCAAAAACGTTTACCTATTGAGAAAAATCCAGTCCATTCATTTGATCAACACTTTATGGAGAAGTAACTGTGTTCCCGGCACAGTACTTGTCATGGGAGATTCATCAGCTAAGAGAATAGAGAGACAATGCTGCCCTCCAGGAATTTGTATGCTAATAGAGGTGGTAGTGGCTTAAAGACACAAAGGGATGAAAACATAATATATTTAGATTATAGTTTGTTTTTTTTTTTTGAGACGGAGTCTCACTGTGTCACCCAGGCTGGAGTGCAGTGGCACCATCTTGGCTCACTGCAACCTCTGCCTCCCGGGTTCACACCATTCTCCTGCCTCAGCCTCCTGAGTAGCTGGGACTACAGGTGCATGCCACCATGCCTGGCTAATTTTTTGTCTTTTTAGTAGAGATGGGGTTTCACCATGTTAGCCAGGATGGTCTTGATCTCCCGACCTCATGATCCGCCCGCCTTGGCCTCCCAAAGTACTGGGATTACAGGCATGAGCCACCGTGCCCGGCCTAGATTATAGTATGTTAAAAGACAACGATCGCTATGAAAAAATACATAAAAAGTAGGGAAGGATGGTTTGGATGTGGGAATGAGAGAGAGGAGTGAAGGGTGACTGGGGACTTGCAATGAACGACTCATTGAAATGTGCATGTGGACCTATTCTCTTTTCCTCATTTTCCCTTTTCAGGGTGTCAACTACTTTGGGATAGAACGTGGGCTAATGTAACACTGTCATGATTGTTGGTCTTCATCTAACATAGACCAGCTTGTTTCTCACAGAGGAAAATGTCTATGACCCGAATACGTAATATGACACTGAGTGGATCAAAAAAAAGTGCAAAAAGTGTGGCTTAGGTGGCAAAGCCATCTTCAGTGGCATGAATAACATGTCACATATACTACTGGTTTTCAGGGTTCCCTTCCCTGATGGGAACACTGGTAAAATTGACCTGGTGGTTATAGGTCCCAGTGGACTTGGGTGTGGAGGAGGAATATCTGTGACTCTCAACCTCATTTTTATGACCTGAAGGGACATTTAATTTGACTTATGCTTATTGTCGGCTGTCATTAATCACTTGAAGGACTATTTCCAAATGGATCGTTAAACAAACTGAGTCTGTGTTTTATCAGTGGAACCAGAGCGTCGTGAGACAAGGACTCCCATGAGCATGGTGGGAACAAGACCATGGTTCAGAACAGGTGGGTAGAAAAGAGGTCTGGTTAACCCCAAAGCTAAGGACCATGGCCACGCATACACATGCTCACATCATAACCACATGAAACTTGAAACACGGAGGTGGAATAGACCCTAAAGGGTGGCCCATGGCCCTCTCTGACTTACTCTGGATGGTATATTTCCAGATGCCTGTTGCTTTGGGATATTGTCCATGTCATAGCTATTGCCTGATATATTACATGAGTAGAAGCATTAGTTTCTGTGAAATAAGTCTTATATTATAGGCAGGTGAAGAGGCTCATAAGATTATAATAATATATTGACAGGCTGTCACTGCAATATTTTGGATGGAACAGTAAGTCAGGAATGGAGGCTGGACGGGCCCTGAGCAGGATCTTTGTCCTGACATGATCCTGCCTTGGACCTGCACAGGGTCTTGGTCTAGCTGGACTGCTGTAACGGAACACCACAGACTGGGTGGCTGTAAACATCAGATATTTATCTGGAGCCTGGGAAGTCCAAGATCAGGGTGCTGGTAGATTTGGACTTTGGCCAAACTCACTTCCTGGTTCATAGGTGTCCCACTTTTGGCTGTGTCCTCACATGGTGGAAAGGAGCGAGGAAGTTCTATGGGGTCTCCGAGGACACTAATTCCATTCATGACCTAATCACCACCCAAAGGCCTCACTTCCTATATCATCAAACTTGGGGGTTAGAATTTCAACATAGGAATTTGAGGCAGCCGTAAACAATTGGTCCATTGCAAAGGTGAAGCTCTGAGCAGGTGGTACCAGTGACTGAATTGGGGGGCATCTCTCTAGGAAAGACAACTCCTGGGCTTGTTTCCCTTCCAGTTTGCTCCTTTTCTCCCATAACACCTGTCATAGTTAATTTATGTCAACTTGACTGAGCCATAGGGTGCCTTGACATTGGGTCAGGTATTATTCTGGGTAGATCTGTCAAGGGGCTTTCGGATGAGTTGAACATTTGAATCCATGGGCTGAGTGAAGCAGATGGCCCTTCCCAGTGGTAGTGGGCCTCATTCATCAAAGGCCTGAATGGATCCAAAAAGCTCACCTCCCATGAGAAACAGGGAATTCTTTCTCCTGCCTGCCTTGAGCTGGGACATTGGCCCTTCCTGCCTTCAGGCTGTAACTGAAGTGAGAGCCCTGGGTCCCCAGCTTGCCAACTGCAGATAGAGGTACTTGTCAGCCTCCCTAAGTGTGGAGCCAATTCCTTACAATAACCCTCTTTCCAGATATCCTAGGGGCTCTATTTCCCTGGAGAGCCCTGGCAAATACAATATCCCTACTATTTCATTTTCTCTAACCTATTTAAATTTTAAGTTTGCTATTGCATGAAGAAAGGTATGGGTAAAATGGGGGATTATACTAACCCGGTCAGCTTTCAGTCAATAGTGTTCACTAGAAGGAATAAAAGAGAAATTCTCAGGTGGGCTGGTGGTACCAGCTTGATCGTGGATTAGGAAGGGATGCCTGTAAAGGGGAAAGGTGTGGCAGCAGGTAAAGTGGGGAACTGCAAACATGAGGAAAATAGCCCAGAAAGTTTCTGAATAAAGCTGTTCAAAGCTACCATAGAGCTTAGTTAGTTAAAGAAATGACTTGTGCATTTGGACAGATACTGTTCGTGCTGCACTGCTGCAGATATAGCTGGAGAAGGGGAGAATTAGAAGAAAGCCTTGAATTGCAGACTCAGCCTCTCAGAGTGAATCTGGCCCCTCTTAAAGACAAGTCCCCTGTGAGCAGTGGTCTGCTGGGACCCCGTCATCTTGCCACAACCGGAGCCACAGCAGTGCCTGCAGCTCCTGCAGCCTCTGTTCCTCCCCTTTTACCTGTGTTAGGAGCCTCTCCAGGGTCAGGACCTTTGCACTCTGTATTCCACTCACAATCTCCTGAACTACTAATTATTCCTCTCTGCAGAATTATTCCTATCAGATGCAAACATGTTCTAACATCTCCCTTGAAAAGCCCCTTTCCTTACCTCAAGTGCCCTTCCAGCTAAAGCTCTAATTGTTCTCTGTCACAGCAAGTCATTTCTAAAGAACTGCCTACATTTTTATCTTCAGTTCTTCACCTCTTACTGACTCTGCAACCCAATCTGATCCAGTTGCCTTTCTCAATGTGACACTGAAACAGCTTCTGTGGGGACACAATGGCCATATGGCCAGAGCCTGTGGTCACTCCTCTTATCACTGCACAGTTGATTGTTCAGTCGTGTCTGATGCAGTTGGCAACTTCTTTCATCTAGAGCAGTGGTTATAATTTTGCCCTCCAGGGGTGCCTTGGCCATGTCTAAAGACATATTTTTTTTGTCCCTCATGGTGAAGGGAGTACTCCTGCATCTGGTGTGTAGAGGCCAGGGAGTCCTCACAAAAAAAGTGTTCTCTTGCTCAATGTGTCAGTGGTGCCAAGGTTTCCTTTCATTTGTGACTGCCTGATGAGTTCACTGGGTCCGCCTCGGTCCCGTGTGCTGGCTTGTCTTCCAGATAACCTCTGAATATTTGGTTTTTATAAAGTTTGGTCTGGACCTCATTCTCTATCTGCATTCTCTCCATGGGTCAGCAAATACGTTTTCGTGTTTTAAAATATGAGTATGCTGATGACTCTAGTTCTAAACACTCTGATGACCTCTAGACACATAAGTTTAATTGCTTACTTGGCATTGCTATTTGAATAAGAGACATCAGGAACTTAATATGTACAAAAGAGAGATCGAATTGCTTTACTAAACCCACAGCTCCTTTCCTGCTTTCCCACTTCTTAGTGAATTGTACCACAACTTACCCAGCACATAAAGCTCTAGGTATCCTCCTGGATTCCTCTCTTTCCAGAGCCTCCTACAGTGAATACATCATCCAGTCCTATGAGTCTCTTTATAAAGTATTTCCTGCTCTACTTATAAAATATTTCCTTTAATTGAATTTTCTCCAGCTCTGTGGCTGCTCATCCAAGACACCGTCAAATAAACATTGCCTGTATCAGTGCAATTGCTTTCAACTTATCATTATGCTTCTGCTCTGGCCCTTTTGCAACCTACTCCCCATGTAGCATCGCTAAGTAATATTTCAAAACTGTAAATCACACTAACGTACAGTGGCTTCCACTGCACTTAGAAAAAAGACTCCATCTCCTTCCCAGGCCCATACCCCTAAATGGTCAGGCCCTTGCTCGTCTCTCCCACAGTGTTCACCATGCGTCAGCAACCATGGTACTGATGTCAGGAGTGGCCCCAAATATTGCCTGTTCTGGATTCATGGCTCTGCAATGTGATCTCGAAGCTCCTCCCATGAAGAGATGAAGAGATGACATCTGTTTGTCTACCCCATGGATCAGGCTTGACCCTGTGACTAACTCTCACTCAAGGAATGCAGCAGGGGTGATGTTGTTTCAGTTCTGAGTCCAGGAAGCAAGAGGCCAAGTGTGCTTCTGCCAGCACTTTGGGGTTACTATCCAACCCTCATAATGCTACCCACTGGAGGATGAGAGACTGTGTGGAGGAGAGAGGAGCTACCACAGCCAAGACCATGCAAGATCCAGAAGCCTCCAGCCGACCCAGCAGCTGAGCACTAGTACACGAGTGAGCCTAGAGAGGACCAGAAGAGCAGCCCATCTGCACCTGTCCAAATTGCTGACTCACAGGAGTGTTAGCCAGTCAACAGTTGCTGTTTAAAAATACTTAAGTGGATTATTATACAGTGTATCTTCTGGCCTGACTCAGGCCCAGAAGCCTATAGTGAGGAAGAACCTATGGTTTGCTTTTATCTTTTTGCTATGAATTGGGAGAGGAGAAGAGTTCTGAGAATGTCAAGGTCTTGGTTGACTGGTGCCCTTGCAATCTGGTATTGATGCTCTGGTGTTTAGTACTTGCAGGGTGTACTTGTGGTCCTTTCAAGACAGCTCATCCCCTTGCTGCTTCTCAAGGTGACAGCTCCTCTCACCGTCTGCATCTTGAGGTGCACTTCACATGGACCCTTTCTGTGGATATCACCTCTCCCTGGAAGGCTGTGGTTTGAAATGGCCTCTTTATGGCAGACAGTTTATGGGCTACTGTCCATGGCGACCACACTGGCCCATGTGGGGCACTTGGCCAGCCACTGTCAAGGTATTCATCTTTTCTCACAGTTCATCACAGACAGCTCCATCCACCTGTTGCTTTTAGATATTTTCTCATTAGGGTCAGATACTCAGTCTATGTGTCTTTTAAATTTTATGGGATGAAGGCCATGCTCTCCTTCACCTGGTTTGGATTAGGAGGACTACAACCTGAGCCTGGGTGGGGGCAGAGGACATGCTGTACTCTTAAGAACACTCTCCATGAAAATCTTCACCATCAGTGTTTTTCTTCCCTTCTTGATCAATCTCCTGAACATGGGATGAGAAGAGCTCGAGATTTTTCATCTTGTCCCTGCCCTGTTTGCTGTGGCTTGTGTTTCTCTTTAGAACATAGGAGGAGTGCTTGGAACCCATTGTCCTCATTAGAAATTCTGACTTGGAAGACCAGATTAACATGTTTAATATCACAGTTTCTTAAAAGCCAGCTTAAATCTGATCACTGAGCAAACTCGTGTTAGGAGAGGGTAAGAGAGTCGCCTGCACATGTCAGGGTTAGCCAGGGAGCCATGGCAGGAACCAGGAGGCTCTCAGGATGTGGGAAGGACCATGCTGTCTGCTGGAGGGCACAAGACAAGGAACACTCATAGCAGGGCACCAAACAAATGCCTGGAATAAATCCAATTAGTCTAATTTTCATGACAGTGATCTACGATATTGTTACTCTTATTTAATAGATGAAACAGAGGCTTATACTATTTATGTTATTTTTACTCTTTTCTAGGCAAAAGAGAGGACACATATTTTGATTGATAACATTGATGAAAATATTATCACCCAGTAAATGTGCATTTTATTTTCTGTATTCAATTTGATAAATAATTTTAATGACTGTTTTGTTCATTATATGCACTCTAATGAGTAGAATGATAATTAATTTTAACATCCCATATGTTACTTACTTTAACTTTCATGATTCATTTCACATTGAAATCTCATCTACCTGTTGATGGATAAACTGCATCAGTATTGAAAGAAATTGACTGTTCTACTTAATGCCCATCCTAATATATTCAAAAGTGTTCCCAGTCTGGGCCATTAAAAATAATTCATGAGAACATCCACACAATGTGCTCCCTGTTTTTCCCAGTCCCCTCCCTAAATCCTTCTAAAGGACCTCACTCTTGTCGACTCCCCATATTTTACACAAATGTATTTCCATGTGTTTATCTGTGTTATTTTGGCTCTCTGAGCAAATATTCACTCCGAATGAGGCAAAAACCCTCAGTGTAAGATTCCAGGGGAAACCAATCGTGCACTCTTTATCTGACTGCACACAGAGAATGTAGGAACAGTTGTCAACTGCTTTTTAGTCTATGTAGAGATAAGAGATTTTCCCCTCACCTTCCAATTTATCATTGCTCATTGGAATGTTTCTCCAGTGTCAGGAAAACAACCCCAGACATTCATTTTCTACATTAATAGCCTGACAGTTACAGGGGCCAAATGGCTTTTATTTTTTCAGATAGCCCCATTGTCATTATTTTAACTGTCTGTTGATTCGATATTACTTGATGTAACAGCCTGGACTGGGTTCTTAAAATATATGACATGACACAATCAGGGTTGGGGTTTTAGGTTATTTGGGCTGAATGGTGTTGGATTCTACCTTGCTCAATCAGACTGTGCTTTTTCCTGGTGGCAGAAACGTGCATACATTACAGTCACAAGATCAGCTTTTCATATCAGAACTAATGGGATGCAGAGTTTAAACAAAAAATAATCCCAGCAACGCTGTCAGCATTCATATCAGAGCCGCAGCTGGGTGAACATGCTGCCTCCCTTCTCTCTCCAAACCTGTCTCCATGTAAGATGTCAAAGGGTCACAGTTGCTTACAGCTGCGACTCCCTGAGATCTTTCATCAGGATAACCAGCTTCGAGGTGATGCCATCTGTCTTCATTTATCTCTGCAGAATGTCCAGTTTAGAAAAATGAAATGTCTGTCTGAGTTAAGAATTTTGGATGGTCAAAAACCAAGCTGAAATCTCTATCAATTAATTTTCCCCCCATGCTACAGTATAAACTACTTTAATATAGTAAACAGCAAATGTATACAAACAGCGAAAACACAGAAAATGCTTTGCTTTAGAAATAAGACGGAAACAAATTCTTCCGGTGGCAATTATTCATATTTCCTATGTGTATGACTTGCAAAGGAAAGCAGTCTCTGTGTCTTGATGAACTGCTCATTGTCTGAGCACTGCAGTTATGAAGATCAGCCCGTGGTGTCAACAGTACAGCACAGCTGTCTGCTAGGAGTTTTCCTGAAGGTGAAGAAGCCAACAGTACATTCTAAAACTGGAATGGCATCAGGAATATTAGGTCCACAAAATATAATTACTTGAACTGAAAACTGACCTGGTCACAAGAACAAATGCACCATGTGATGTAACAGCATTTTAGGAGGTCTCTAAAAGAATTTGCTATCCTATGTGCTTACTCAGGCAGCTGCGATATTCACCAGCTACAGAGCCCTCCTCACCCTGAGCTGCTTTTATTGCAGATAATAATTCTGACTCAATTTCTTTTTATCTACCGTTTGAGACACATATTAAAAAGTTTCTTATAGCCACCACCAATATGAAGCAAATGCAAAATCTTAGAAAAGAATTTGGCCATTGCATGGGTCAAACAATGTTTGAAGAAGCATATATCAGACAATCGTTTTAAGAGTGTTTTTTGCCACCTTTTTCTATTCCTAGATTTTTTTCCTCTTGCCACTGGACCAGCTCCAAAAGAAGCTGAATAAATGTGATTTATGATAGCAGGAGGCTGCACTGTTGCTGTGATTGCAAGCATTGCGGCTATTTAATGTAATGCCATATTATATAATGTATTAACATATTATAACATATGAGCCATTATTCTCAAACGATATCTGAACACAAAGCAGAAGCTAGTCATCATTTTGGAAAGCAAAGCAATCCTAGAAGGTCCCCAAAGGGTGAGACAGAGGATGAGTAAGCAGTGAAAAGAAGGATGAGGTTCACAAGATTTCATGCTTATGGAAGGATGCCAGACTTGAAGAGGACAGGCTTAGTGAGTGACTGTTCCAGCGCAGGTTACCATAAGAAGGGAGCAGGAAACCCCAGCTCCCTCTATTCAAGTACAGTCTTCCTATTTCTCAGTTTTTACTGAGGACAACCCTGGATAAAGACAACATAAAGTATAATAATAATAAAATAAAAAATACATATCATAATAAAGAAAGTACTATATAATATTTTTTAAAAAGAATTATATGGAATGGAAATTATATGTGATATTGTAAAAAATAAAAAATAAAAAAATAAACAAATGATGTATTTAGAGGAGATTGGGTTAAACTTAAAAGTGTTTGTCTCTCTTATGCTACATTTTTTTACTGTCTAGGTATATGATCATAAACACTATATATAAACACTAAAAACACTATATAAAAGTATTCAGTTTTTAGAATCTGTAAATTGTCTTCTTTTCCAAAATAATTTTTAATGTTTGTCTTATTTCCAGCTAGATCATCACCACCTATTGACATGATACTTTAAACAATAAAAATAAAACTTGCTATAGGACAGAAATAATAAGTAGCCACTCTGTTTTTGACCTGAGATCATCTACTTAATTCACAAGGAAAAATTCATATTTTATCACAGCGTATTTCATTAACAATATGTGGATCTTCCTCTACAAGCAGAGGTCATCTGACCATCTGGACTTTAATGTTTTTGCGATTTTCGTGGGATACTGAGATAATGATTAAGTAGTACTTCAGTTGAAAAAACATTTGTTATGTACCTTCTATAGGCCAGACACTGTATCAGATACTGAGTATATAAAGAAAATGGATGATAGATTCCTACTTTCAAGAGATAATGAATGAATGTTCATTACTTATGAAAATATTTTTTATCCAGCTCATGTCAAACTAGTAGAAATAACAATATAAAATCTGTCATTGTTTCACTCTCCACTCTAGAGTGATGATATGGTTTGGCTGTGTCCGCACCCAAATCTCATCTTGAATTCCCACGTGTTGTGGGAGGGATCCAATGGGAGGTAATGGGATCATTGGAGCATGACTTTCCCGGGCTGTTCTCATGATAGTGAATAAGTCTCACGAGATCTGATGGTTATATAAAAACAGGAGTTTCCCCACGCAAACTCTCTTCTCTTGTCTGCCTGCCACCATGTGAGATGTGCCTTTCACCTTCCTCCATGGTTTTGAGGCCTGCCCAGCCGTATGGAACTGTAAGACCAATAAACCTCTTTGTTTTGTAAATTGCCCAGTCTTGGATATGTCTTTATCAGCAGCATGAAAATGGACAAGTGGTTATTTTATTTTGACCATTTTAAGATTACACAGTCTTTCCACACATTCGTTTTTTCATTCACACATTCATTCAGCAACCATTTGATACTTTGGGGCCCCATGTATTTGGGCTATGTGGATATAAATATGAATAAGAACAAGGACATCTTCAGGTGTCTCCCATCTGGTTTTCAAAGGAAGAGGGAGGCTGCATTTCAAAATAAATGGATAATAAACGAAATTTTCAAGGGAAAATCTAAAAATGGGGTCATAACTGGGGGTGCTCCACAGAGGAATGATAAGAAATAAAATCCCCTTCTCATTTTTGTCCCTTTTTCTCAAATCTTCCCTATTCCTTTTGTGATAGTTTGGCACAGAGAGATTTTAGATCAAGAGAAATGTCTAAGGCTTTTTTATTTCTTTACATTGCCTCCTCTATGTTGTTAACATTGCCCCCTTTTCACTAAATTTGTATAATGTTTGTTTTCTTTTTGGCCAGTGCTTTTCACATTTGCATTTTTATCGGGGAGTCAGCAGGTGTGCTGGGGTCTGCATGAGAAGGGGGAGCTCATACCTAGATTATGAGGAACAAAGGGCAAAATCTGGACAGTAGTGGATAGTAAAGAATGAGCAAAATTCTTTACATTTTATTTATATATCTGCATGTAAATATCTACATCGAATTATGTGCCTACACCTCTGTCTATCCATTTCTCTGTCTCTGTTTCTGTCTCTCATTCTCTCTGGAGGAACAATCAGAACAGCATAGAGCATGAGGGTGGTAGGAGAGTAGACAGCCCCTTTTACTTTTATTTTTCATAATCTATATTTTGGAAAGTATAAAAATAAGCACCACATACAACTTTTTCTATAGTTATAATAAGATATAATCCATATACCATGCAACTCACTCATTTAAAGTGTACAATAAAACATTTTAGTGTACTCATGAGTTATGCAACTATCGCTACAATCTAATTTTAGAGCATTTTCGTTGGCCCCCACCCAAACCCTATGCTCATTAGCAGCAACTCCCATGAACCACCCCCCTAACCTTTGGTACACCGTTTCCCTCTCTGTGGATCTACCTACTCTTTATATTTCACATAAATGGAATCATCTGGTACGTGGTCTTTTGTGACGGGCTGCTTTCAGTTAGCGTAATGTGTTCAGGGTCCATCCAGGTCGTAGCATGTATCAGTGCTTCATGCCTTTTATTGCTAAATTATATTCCATTGCATACATGTTACCACTTAGAATTATTTCCACTTTTTGGATATTATAATGAATACTGCTTTGAACATTTATGTACACTTTTCTGTGTAGACATATGTTTATTTCTTTTGGGTATATATTTGGGGGTGGAATAGTTGGTACTGTGACTTAAATATGTCCCCCAAAAAGCACATGTTGGAAATTTAATACCCCATGCAACAGCATTGGGAAGTGGGGTCAAAGGGGAAGTATTTGGGTCTTGAGAGCTCAGCCCTCAATAATGGATTAATGTGGGTTACGAAAAGAGCTTGGGGCTGTGACTTTGATTTTTTGCCCTTTCTTGCCTTCTTGTCTTCCAGCATGCGATGATGTATGTAGCCAACAAGGCCTTTACCAGAGCTGGTACCTTGATATTGAAATTTCTAGCTTCTAGAACTGTAAGCAAATACATTTCTGTTCATGATTAATTGCCCAGCCTCAGATAATTTGCTGTAGCGGCACAAACCAGACTGAGACAGTTGGATTCAATGGTTAGCCTATGTTTAACATTTTTAGGAACTGCCAAACTGTTTTGGTAAGCCGCTGCACCATTTTACAATCCCACAAATAATGGGTATGGGTTGAACATCCTCATCGGCACTTGTTATTGTCTGTATTTTTTTATTTTGTCCATCCTAGTGGGTGTGAAGTAGTGCCTCATTATGGTTTTGATTTGCACTTCCCTAGTGACCAATGATATTCAGCATCTTTTTATGTGCTTACTGACCATGTATGTATTGTGTATGTATTTTTAAAGAAATGTCTATTCAGATCCCTTGCCTATTTTTAATTGGGCTGTTTGTCTTTTTATTATCGAGTTGTAAGAGTTCTTTATATGTTTTACATACACATTCCTTATCACATATATGGTTTGCAAACATTTTCTCCCATTCTCTGAGTTATCTTTTCCCCTTTTCGATGGTATTATTTGATGAAAAAAAGTTTTTAATTTTGATGAGGTCCATCTATAGTGCTTTGTTGCTTGTGTCATATACATGAAGGCTTTGCTTAAATCAAGGTCATACAAATTTACTCCTTATGTGTATGATGCAAGTAAGGGGTCCAACTTCATTCTTTTGCACAAGGATATTCAGTTGTCTTAGAACCATTTGTTGAAAGTCTATTCTTTCCTTATTTTAGTGGGTTGGCTTAAAAGTTACTGATAAACTCAACATCCTTTCATGATAAAAGTCAGGAAATTAGGTATAGAAGACATGTGCCTCACACAATAAAAGCCATATATTACAGGTCCACATCATACTCAATAGTGAAAAGCAGAAAGCTTTTCCTCTAAGATCAGGAACAAGATGAGGATGTTTACTCTCTCAACTTCTATTCAACATAGTGCTAGAAGCCATAGCTAGAGCAATTAGGCAAGAAAAAGAAAGAAAATCACCCACATTGGAAAGTGATAGATTTTCTATATTTGCAGACAACATAAGTATACATAAGTATAGAAAACCTGAAAAATTCCACCAAAAACTGTTATAACTAATAAGTAAATTATTAATAACTAATAAGCAAAGTTGTAGAATATAAAATCAACCTACAAATTCAGTAGCATTTCTGTACACTGATAATGGACTATCCAAAAAGAAATCAAGAATACTATCCCATTTACAATAGCATCCGAAAAATAATATAAAATACTTAAGAATAAATGTAAGCAATGAGTTGAAAGATTTGTACACTATAAACTATAAAACACTGATGAAAGGAATAGAAGAAGACACAAATGATTGGAAACATATCCTGTGTTCATTAGAAAAATTAATATTTTTTAAATGTTCATATTACTTAAAGAGATTTATAGATTCAATGCAACATTCATAAAAATACTAATGACATTTTTTACATAAATTGGAAATAAATTTATTGCAGGACTATTCACAATAGCAAAGACTTGGAACCAACCCAAATATACCCATCAATTATAGACTGGATAAAGAAAATATGGCACATATACACCATGGAATACAATGCAGCCATAAAAAAGGATGGGTTCATATCCTTTGCAGGGATATGGATGAAGCTGGAAACCATCATTCTCAGCAAACTAACACAGGAACAGAAAACAAAACACCACATGTTCTCACTCATAAGTGGGAGTTGAACAATGAGAACAAATGGACACAGGGAGGGGAACATTGCACACTGGGGTCTGTCAGGGGGTGGGGGGTTAGGGGAGGGATAGCATTAGGAGAAATACCTAATATAGGTGAGGGGTTGATGGGTGCAGCAAACCACCATGGCATGTGTATACCTATGTAACAAACCTGCACATTCTGCACATGTATTCCAGAACTTAAAGTATAATAATTTAAAAAAAGAAATCGGAAAGAAATCCTAATATTTATATGAAGCCACTAAAGACCCTGAATAGCTATAGCAATCTTCAGTCAAAATTCGATTTAACTAATGGCTAATGATGTTGAGCATCTTTTCATGTGCTTATTTGCCACCTTCATTTATCTCTTATTTAGTGAAATGTCTGTTCAGATCTTTAGCTTACTTCATATTGGGATTTTTATTTTTCTTATTATGGAATTTTTGTAACACTTTAAAAAATATTTTGGATATAAGTCCTTTACTAGATACAGGTTTTGAAAATATCTTCTTCCCATTTGTGCTTGTCTTTTATTTTCTTAAGAGTGTCTTTTGAAGAGCAAACTTTTTCAGTTATCCATTTTCTTTCTTTTTTTATTTATGCTTTTTTGTGTTTTCTAAGAAATCTTTGCCTAATCTAATGTTTTTCTTCAGATTTTTTATAGTTCCATTTTACAATTGGATTGATCACTGTTTTGAATTAATCATGTGATAGTGAGAGGAAAGGATTGAGTTTTTTTTTAAGGTGTTTAATTTTTGTTTGGTCTATGGATGTACAATCATTCTAGCACCATTTGTTGAAGAGACTGTACTTTTCCATTGAATAGCCATGGCAACTTTGTTGAATATCTGTTGTCTACACTCTATTCCATTCCATTGATCTATCTTTATGTTAATACCACACTTTCTTGATTACTCTAGCTTTATATAAGTCTTGAAATCAGTTTGTGTGAGTACTCCACCTTTGATATTGTACAAAATTGCTTTGGCTATTGGAGGTCCCTTGTATTTTGGCAAATTTTAGAAGCAGCTTGTCCGTTTATATGCAGCTATCTGCTGAGATTTTTATTTTGGTTATATTGAATTCATATATCAACTTTGGGAGAACTGTCCACTTAACAATGTTGAGGCTTCCAACCCATTAATATGGAATATTTCTTTTTGACTTAGTGCTTTAATTACTCTTATCAGTGTTACATAGTTTTTAGTGTATAGATCCTAAATATATTTTCATAAATGTATCCCTAAGTATTTCATATCTTGAGATTTATTGTAATTGCCATTTTTTTCAAACTGAAATTTCCTATTTATTGGTAAAATACAGAAGTATATTTCATTTTTGTAGACTGTCTTTCTTGAGATACTGCTAAACTCAATAAGGCAGGAAAAAGAAATACATCCATATAGATTTTGAAGAAATGAAAACAGCCCTTTATTTGCAGGTAATATGATTATGTACATGAAAAATACTCAGGGGCTTGTATTAATTTTTTAATTAAAAATGACAAGCCAGATGCCTATAGCAGTGGTTCCCAGACATGGTCCTAGACCAATTGCATCAAAACTTCAGGAGACCATTAAGAAATGCTCTCTGCTGTACTCATCTTAGGAGAGTCTTATTTAAAACACAGAGGAGGAGAGCTTGTCATTTTTATTTTTGAAAACTTACCTAGGTTGTGTTGACACAGCTGTTTACTTATGCTTATTTACAGCATTCAGGGGTGGGGAATCATGAAAATTCTGGGACAATGACCCAAGTTTCTCTGCAGGGTGCATGGCAGGTGTATTTCACGATCACTAAAAAGGGAATTTTGTGGGAAGAGATTAAGGTGGAAGCAGCCAGTTCAGCGGAGGGCATGTTGCGTTGTGCTGCCTGTGAACACCAGGCACAAGTTCCTTATCGGCATCTGGCATCACAAAAGACCTCTGAGCTGGGGAAAGATATGTCAGACTCATACATCTTGGATGTGAAGAGTGGAGAGTGGTTACCTTGTGCAATGATGATTTCACTACAGAAGGAAAGGTTCCATGTTTGCTTTGATTTTGAATGAAAATTAGAGCTCTTAAGATGAAACGCTTTCGTTGTGTGCCTGAGCACTTAGAAAATGCTCTTCGCTGGATTATTGGTCACGGTAGAGATGCTTTAGAAGGTTAATTCAGTATTTATTTATTTTGTATTTCACCTCGTCACTAAAAACATTTCAAGTAGCTGTCAAGGGTAGATAATTTTTGAGAATATTAAGTGATTTGATGAGGACAACGATGAAGAAGAACAGGAGGAGAAAGAAATGGCAAGAGGAGGAAGATGGGAACAAATTGCAGACAAGAAAAAAAATGGAAAAATGTACATATGTAGGTATTTATTTATTTTTATTTTTTGAGACAGAGTCTTGCTCTGTCGCCAGGCTGGAGTGCAGTGGCGCGATCTTGGCTCACTGCAACCTCTGCCTCCCAGGTTCAAGCAATTCTGCCTCAGCCTGCCAAGTAGCTGGGACTACAGGTGTGCACCACCACACTCAGCTAATTTTTGTATTTTTAGTAGAGACCGAGTTTCACCATGTTGGCCAGGAGGGTCTTGATCTCCTGACCTCATGATCTGCCTGCCTTGGCTTCCCAAAGTGTTGGGATTACAGGCGTGAGCCACCACACCCGGCCAAAAAGTGTATTTATTAAGGCCTGAATACATTTTATGAGTGAGTTTTAAGACATTCTGGCAGCTCATATGACAAATTCTCTCTCTCCCTCTTTTTTCAATATATATGTTCATATTATTTATAATTGAAACTGATCTGGTGCTAATATCAGGTAAGAATTTACTACAGATATTTTCATAAAGAATTATATTCTATGTAATGCAATGAACAAAGTTCTCAACAATATTTTTGGGATAGTAACTGAGTTTTGTTACAAGGAATATTTATCTTCCACTTCTGAAGTTTCCCTCCATGTGGAGGACGCTTTTTCACAGAAACACTCCTGGTGTCCCCATGCCCTTAGTTGCCTTGCAATTTGGTAGAAGGCAGAATTTGTGAAGGAAGGCACAGTTTCCTCTTTGCGAGTGGGCAGCTTGCTGGACACACTCTTTCCTTTGCTCCTCTAAGTTGATAGCCCTTATATAGGAACCCCCATTGCAACAAAAAATAATGGGAAAGGCTTCCAGGTCATTATTGTCTATGGCTGGTTGGGTTCATCTCTTGATTCTGTGAATTTAACTTAGTAATCCTATGGCCTGAAGAGTCTTTAATATTATTTTATCAGTTAAAATATGATATGTTGGATTTCTACCTATTTGCTTCTTTGTTTATTTCTCAATTGGCTCAGATCTTGCATTGGGAATAGATGTCTACTTACTGGGAAGCCTAGAAGTGCAATAGTTTCCACCAAGTTGTTTATTTTAAAAAATAATCAATAGAAGCTTATGTCTTTTTATGACAATTTTGTATGAGTAATTCTATGGTGGAAAAAGTTGATATTGGTACCCGGTATTTTGCTGGATTTTTGAGGTCTTGGAATGCGTTTTAGAATATCTAGGAGAGAGTGGTTGGCCCACATGGCTTTCAGTTCACTGTTTGCTAGAAAATAGTAACAAGAGCCACTTGTTTGAGATCAGGAGACCTTCATTGTGGCTTTACTTCTGCTGCTTGATTAATGATTATTGGGTGGAAAACATCTCGGGAACTCACCTTTCCTCTTCTCTAAGACTGTTTCCCAGACCCTCAGATTAACATGCTAACCAGGGAGCTTGTCCTGTGCCGTGCCCTAACGATTCTGGCCCAGTTGTCTGGTGAGCAACCTTTGAATCTGGATTTTATGCAGATTCATGAAGCGAGGTGTTTTCCGCTTAAGAACCCATAATTCTCTGAACTTTCCAACTGACAGATGATAGTTTGTATTTCATCATTTTTTTTTTTTTTTTTTTTTTTTGAGTTAGAGTCACGCTCTGTCACCCAGGCTGGAATTCAGTGATGCGATCTCGGCTCACTGCAACCTCCGCCTCCTAGGTTCAAGCGATTCTTCTGCCTCAGCCTTCCAAGTAGCTGGGACTACTGGCATGCGCCACCATGCCCAACTAATTTTTGTATTTTTAGTAGAGATGGGATATTGCCTGTTGGCCAGGCTGGTCTCAAACTCCTGAACTCAGGTGATCTACCCACCTTGGCCTCCCAAAGTGCTGGGATTACAGGCATGAGCCACTGTGCCCGGCCTGTTTCATCTTTGTATGTCACAAACCACAACATTCCCAACATCATCTTCATATGTATCTTTTTATGCAAAAGACTTTATTGAATTGCGTGGTGATGGTGCACCTGTAGAGATTGGACACCGCAGAGCATGGCGTCATGTTCTCATCGTCACCCTTCATTTGAGGACTCCAGATCACACACAGCCAATAGGCCCATCCAATTTGCTTGGTGCTAGGAGCGACATGCAACCCATGGTTTTAGCAGCTGGTTGACAGACCCAGGTTGCGGCGAACATGACCTCACTTGGTTCACTTCAGATCGGTCATTACTCATCTGTGTGCGGTGCTCCATAAAAAAAAAAAAGCTGCCCACTTTGAGGAGCCTGAGGCGTCTCAATGGAGCTTTCACAATGCACCTTTTCAGCTGACTGCTCCGGACACAAATAACGAACCTGTTAGACAAAGTGTCTTGTCAATCGGTTTATAAATTTGCATAGATAGGATTTTTGATGCAATGCCATGGAGCAGCCCCACAAATGCTTTGTCAATGTGCTGTGCTAATTGGAAGAGGGTCTGTTTTAATATTAATAATGTCACGGTGGGCCGAGCTTAGTTCTGGGCCAGTAAGGTAGATCTTTATGGAAATGGCAGGGCATGAAGTAGAGAGCACTAAAAAGTGGGAGAAAAGTGGATTCACTGCTGCTTTTCTTCCATAAAAAGACCAGAGATAGATTATCCATCATTTGTCAGCTCTCAGACCTGTCCGTAGAAACCATTACACATTTTTGAGAGCAAATTGACTGACAGCACTGCAAAAATGAGGAAGATGGTTTTCAGTGATGCGAAGTGAGTTTTCTAAGAAAACAAAGGTAGTTGATAGCAGGTCCAAAAGTCCAGTATCATTTACACTGGGAAAACAGTAAGTACATACACTAAGTCCTCGTTTAATGCTGTCAATAGGTTCTCGGAACTGCAACTTTAAGCAAAACCACGTAGAAAAAACCAATTTATCATAGGCTAATTTTTACCAACAAGAATTAAGTTTTTACAGCATATTTCTGGGTACAAAACTTCACCAAACTTCTAAGTAAAACCCCAAACTCTTCTAATATTAGACATTAACAAACCTGTAACCTATGCATACATTTAAGAAAAATTAATAAAAATAAGCAAGATACACATTTACCTCATTTTCTGTGAAGCAGTGAGTAACAGCGGTCATAGTGGTCGTGGGTTAAACCAAAGAATAAATGTTTGTAAATCAAAATTCATAAGAAGCACCGACCACCACACAGTTCAAAAGCTAACAATCACAAACATGTCAGGATCACCATGTGATCATTTATTACCATGCATTTGTATGATTATCATATACTTTATATGAATTTTCATTGACAATAGTTTCACTTCATTCATCCATTCATTTTTCAGCCTGCTTATTCCAATTCAGGGTCATAGGTGGCCAGAACTTATCTCAGCAGCATAGGGCCATCCACATACACCCTCCCCCACCCCGACAGGGACCATGTAGACTTGCGAATTCATCTCATGGGCACACCTTTGGGATGTGGAGGGAAACCAGAGTACCTGGAGGAAATCCCACGCAGACCTGGGGAGAATGTGTTCACTCCATACAGAGGCCCCAGCCAAGAATCAATTTCCTTTATCATCAATGTTATAACAAAAGGATGTTGAAGAAACACCATTATTTGAGGACCTACTGTGTATGATTTTTCCTGTCCATTTCCAACTTTCTCTGTGAAGGTATTATTTTTTCATTTCTTAGCTATCATGTCCAAAGTATCTAATATCTGATGGTTTCCTAATTCATACATTACATGCATTACCATCTTCATTTCCCCACCAGCTCACCAAAGCTGACAATCATGCCACTGACTCAGTGAATTTCTGAAATGAAGCAGAGATTGGAGGCATGAGCTTGGCAAAATTTGGTTCATGTGAAGCCACAGGGACTCAAAGACAAGGAGAATCCTAAGACATGAAGTAGTCCACAGTTCATTCAATGGTTGCATTTCTGAAAGGATACTGAGATTATCCAATTTCAAATAAGGAACATCAGAATAGAACAACTGTGTGAGGTACAGACTGAGATTGCTTTTGTGTAGCAAACAGCACAGTGGCCACAGAGCCAGCATCTCACAAGGTTATTTTAGTAGCTTTAAAATACAGTCGACACTTGAACAACAGAGGTTTGAATTGCACGGGCGCACTTACGTTCAGTGTGTGTTCTGCCCCTGCCACTCCTGACACAGCAAGACCAACTCCTCCTCTTCAGCCTACTCAACGTGAGGATGATGGGGATAAAGACCTTTATGATGATACACCTTCACTTCATGAATCGCAAACACTTTTCTCTTCCTTATGACTTTTAAAACCTGTTCTTTACTCTAGCTTACTTTATGGTAAGAATATAGTATAAAATACATGTAACATATAAAATATGCATTAATTTGTTGTTTATATTAAAGGCAAGGCTTCCAGTCAACTGTAGGCTATTAATAGTTAACTTTGGGGGAATCAAAACTTATATGTGAATTTTTGACGGTGTGTGGGAGGTTGGCATCCCTAACTCCACATTGTTCAAGGGCCAGTTGTAGTTAGTATGTGCTGAGGTTCTGAAATAATACAGACCCTACAAATTATAGGCACTTTCTGAAGATGAAATTGTTAGTCACCATAGAAAACAGAGGGGCCTAGACAAACATGTTCTTGCTGTTATTTTTTTTTCTCTTTAGAAGGATATGATGCTGGTGATTCTAATATAGCCCATCACACTTTGAGGAGAAAACTCTATCATCTGTGTATAAAATAACTTTTGTTTCTAGTCCAGGCATAAAAATGAAAAATTCTTAAAAATCATGTGGTCATTATATTCATGCCATAAAAGTACCATCTCTGCCCCACCTTTTGCTACCTTAGATTTTATATATTTATAATGTTAAAAATGGGTAAAATTTTGTGTCTGTAAACATCAGTATTGAGTTTAAAAGCCTCCACAAATGTTATAGTTTTGTGAAAAATAAGACTTGTCAAATTAGTCTGATCTCTTTTCTGTGACAGAATGAACATGCTGGCCAGCCAGAAAGACAAGGGTTTTAATGCGTGCTGACCTACATAGATTTTATAATTAGGACATTCATATGGCATCATCTAGGAGCAGCAGTGAAAGAGAAGCAGGCACACAGACCCTGGCTGGGAGAAGCGGCCCCACATGGCCACATTGAGGCCATTCTAGTTGTGGCAGGCCAACACTGCCATTTCTTATGGCACAGGGTTAATTTTAAGCATTTTGGCTAGATTTTATTTTGTTTTATATTCTTAAGATGGAGAAGGAGAGTTAGCTCTTGACTGAAGACTTAATGCTGGTTTTAGTTTATCCCCAATTCTCAGATCTTGGCTTATCAGTTGAGTTTTCATAGCAAAGAATATCAAAAGTAGGAATAAGCTTAACTAATCACTTGAGTGAGATGCAACCCTCTGGAGGAAGGCTCTTATCTAGTATTTTCTACACAAGAGGAATAAGCTAAAATAAAGTCTAGTAGTTCTCCTTAAGTCTTAAGTCTAGTTCCATATCATCATCAATCTAGGAATTACTGTTTCTGGAATTATATTTAGGTGGCAGAATTTCAGTCTTTTTGGTTCTGTTCTGGTGTGCTTAACTAAAACCTGTTCAAATGCTGGGTTGTTTTGAAAAGCGAGGTATCCTATTTATAGAAACATATAAATTAGAAAGAAGAATTTAATATGGCAATTCAATACATTTTGCCAGGTAATCTTAGGTGTCTGGAGAATACCAACCGTTAATATTTCTTAATGCTTTGGCCCCCAGAACTCTTGGATTTGGGCAGGGAACAATGAGTGAAGGAGATCAAAGTGGCAAAGTTAATTGGGCAAATGCTGCGTGACATGGAGTGTGATGATGGCTTGCTTATACTCCCCATAAGCTTGGTGTACGAGGTGTCTGTTGGTACCTCATTGCTCTAAAACCTAGCAGCTGAAGACAATGCCCATGAATTATCTGTCACGTTTTGTGAGGGTGGGGTTCTGGGTATAGCTGGGCACTTCTGGCTCAGTTTCTCATGAGCAGGCAAGCTGTTGGCTGAGACTTCAGTCACCTGAAGACCTGAGGGGGCTGGAAGATCCCGGGGCTATTGGCAGGAGCCACAGTTGCTTACCATGTGGGCCTCTCCATGGGGCTGGGGCTGCTTATCACCTGGCATCTGGCTTTCCCTAGAATGAGTGATCTGAGAAAAGGTGTGTGTGTGTGTGTGTGTGTGTGCGCATGCATGTGTGTGTCTGTGTGAAAGAGAGAGACAGAAAGAGAGAAGATGGAATCACAATGTCTTCTGTAACCTAATTTCAGAAGTGACTCACCATGACTTCTGCCACAGTGCAGTGATGGTAGGTGGGGTCATTGGGCCTGCCTTGGAGCTCCTAAGCCTGCAAGGGGACTGAGTAGAGTTGAGGCTCTTTCTAGTCCTCTGACTATTTGATGTATAAATTTATGTGAAAAATAAGGCCCATTCTGCTTTCCTTTTTGACCTCATTAAAGTAAGGAATGTTCTAATGAGATTCTCTTTTGGAATAAAGTGAATGCCAAAAATACCTTATGATATTCATAATGATGGAAAATACTTCTGTAAACTTGTGTCTCTTTGTCTATGGCCCTTATAGTCTACAGAATGGGAAGTGCTGGGGCTTGGTAAACAGTGGATATGTTCCTCTAAGCTTGAGGCTTGGACTGGAACACCTGTACACATTCAGTGCAGGAGACCAGAATCCTAGTCATGCCTTGGCCCAAGCTCCCCATATGGCATCAAAGCCACTGAATCCTGATGACACAGGTGGTGGATCACAGCAAGTGGAGGTGTCCAGGAAGGTGTAGACAAAAAGAATCTCTGAAGACACCCAGAGTATTTACAAGTAAGTCAAGGGGAAAATGGGTCCAAATCTTACTCCTCAGTAAATAATCCTGGCCTATGTGACTGAGTCTGGGAGAGAATTATGGAAGTGGTTATGCTGTTTTCCCAAGGTATCTTTCCAGCAGCTCACATAATTCAGGCTCTGGCTGGAATCTTCACACAGAGCAAGCGCCTGCCTTCTGCCAGGCCACCAACACAGGGCAATTGCATCTAATGAGATGGAGGCCCATTGTAGGATAAGATTAGTGATTATGTAAGATTATGTTCTGTCCTCAGGCTGTAAGAGGCTTACACAGCAGTGGAGATTTGTGTAAACGTTATTAAGTTCAGCTAATTAGGACTTTTCTAAACCTGAGAAATCTGGATTCCAGAAGCAGAGATGAGAACACTTGGACCAGTTTGCTGAGTCACAAAGCAGCTTACCTTTGCCTGTGGCTCATGCTTGTTTAAATCTTTAAATAGTAAAGGTTTTGGCTGGGGATATTCAATCTAGCCTGAATAGAGCAACTGTCTATAAAAAACTTGGACTTATCCACAAGAGACACTACAATTTTGACCTTTTGACTGTAATTATACAGGCAGAGTCTACCCAGTCCAGACCATTTTAAAAAATGTGAGGAGGCCTGATTTCCCCTGAAGAAAAGAAAGCACTTATTGAACATGATACAACCTGTTTTCTGGATTAAGAATGACAGAGGTGTCTCTTTACAGATGTTAGATATGCTTGGGTGCACCTGCTCCTAATAATAATGCATGAGTTGTTGCTTTTCCTCAGTTTCTGCCTGACTGATGCAGGAAAATCATCGCTTCTTGTCCAGTTCAGTCTCTTTCATGTTCCCCTGATCTTTCCCTCTGCCACCCCACACATGCTCAATACACTGAAGTTTCAGGGCCCTTATAGACTTGGAGAACATCTCTAGCCTTTGCATAGGTGCATATTCAAAATCCCTTAGATATGCCGTTTTAGTAGCTGTTTTCTGTCAAGGTGTTTGTATTCTAATTGATATGGTTTGGCTGTGTCCCCACCCAAATCTCATCTCAAATTGCAATCCCTACATGTGGATGGAGGGACCTGTAATCCCCATGTGTTGAGGGAGGGAGGGAGGTGATGGCTCTTTTTTTTTTTTTTTTTTTTTTTTTGAGATGGAGTCTTGCTCTGTTGCCCAGGCTGGAGTGCAGTGGTGCAATCTCGGCTCACTGCAAGCTCCACCTCCCAGGTTCATGCCATTCTCCTGCCTCAGCCTCCCGAGTAGCTGGGACTACAGGCACCCGCCACTACACCCGGCTAATTTTTTTGTGTTTTTAGTAGAGACGGGGTTTCACCGTGTTAGCCAGGATGGTCTCGATCGCCTGACCTCCTGATCCGCCCACCTCAGCCTCCCAAAGCCCCGGGATTACAGCCGTGAGCCACTGCACCCGGCCGAGGTGATGGTTCTATAAGGGACCACCAGATCTCATGAACACTCACTCACTATCATGAGGACAGCATGGGGGAAACCACACCCATGATTCAATCCAATCCATGATCCATGATGATTCTCCCTTGGCTTTCTCTTCTCTCTCTCCTGCTGCCTTGGGAAGAGGGTGCCTGCTTTTCTGCCACGGTTGTAAGTTTCCTGAAGCTTCCCCAGCCATGCAGAACTATGAGTCAATTAAACTTCTTTCCTTTATAAATTACCCAGTCTCAGGGAAGTTCTTTATAGTGGTGTGAGAACAGACTAATACGCTAATATGTGCTGAAAGGGCTGGGTACACAGCAGTCACCCTAAAGCATCTCTCCTAGACAGGGGGGCTTCAGGTCCACTCTCAGTGCTGAGCCCCCTGAATGGCGCTGATTTACTCTCTGTATTCTCTGCCACAAGGGACTCAGCAGAATGTGTTATGTAGGATTATGTCCTGATTGGGAACGTTGACTTAAAACTTGTCTTTGCTTTGAATCACCATCTACTGCCTGTTGAACAATTAAGTCATTTCATCTAGAAATCTTGCTCCTCCCATGAACAGCACAAGCAAGTGGGGGTGCAACAGATGTGGGGTCTCTGTTGTTAATTACTTCATGCTAACTTTGCATGTCCCAGGCTACTATTAGCTAATTTGCTTGGAAGTCTAGATTAATGGCTAAGAACTCCAGCTCCAGGGATACATTATCTGAGTCTAAATCCTACTTTTCCTCACAGACCATGAGCAAGTTACTTACCTTCTCAGACATCAGTTTTCTTGTCTAAAACTAAGTATCAATCTGTCTGTCTGTCTGTCTATCTATCTATCTATCTATCTATCTATCTATCCATCTATCTATATCTATCATCTATTCATACCCCATATATTGTTGTAAGGATTAAACAAGTAATGCCTGCAGTGTTAGAACAGTTCCAGGCATGTAGTAAGCATTTAATAAATGTTAGCTTTTAAAATAATCTAGCAGCCTCCTTAAAACCACCTATCTCTTTTTTTTTCTCCAACTTTTATTTTAGTTTCAGGGGGATACTTGTGCAGATTTGTCACATGGGTAGATTGTCTGTTACTGGGGTTTGGTGTATAAATGATTTTATCACCTGGGTAGTGAGCATAGTACCTGATAGGTAGTTTTTTTTGCCCCTGTCCCACCGCCCCCCACCCCCAAGTAGGCCCCGGTGTGTGTCATTCCTTTCCTAGCATCCATTTGTTCTCAAAGTTTAGCTCTCACTTATAAGTGAGAACATGTGGTATTTGGTTTTCCATTCCTGCTTTAATTTGCTTAGGATAATGGTCTCCAGCTGCATCCATGTTGCTGCAAAGGACATAATTTCATTCTTTTTTTATGGCTGTATAGTATTCCATAGTACATATATACCACATTCTCTTTATCCAGTCCACTGTTGATGGGCATCTTGGTTGATTCCATATCTTTGCTAGTGTGAATACTGTTTCAGTGAACATACAAGTGCATGTGTCTTTATGGTAGAACAATTTATATTCCTTTGGGTATATACCCAGTAATGGGGTTACTGGGTTGAATGACAGTTCTGTTTTAAGTTCTTTGAGAAATCTCAAAACTGTTTTCCACAGTGGCTGAACTAATTTACACTCCCACCAGCAGTGTATTAGTGTTCCCTTTTCTCTGCAACCTTGCTGACTAATATCTGTTATTTTTGACTTTTTAATAATAGCCATTCTGACTGGTGTAAGATAGTGCTTCATTGTGGTTTTGATTTGCATTTCTCTAGTGATTAGTGATGTTGGGCAGTTTTTCATATGCTTATTGGCTGCATATATGCCTTCTTTCGAGAGGTCTATTTATGTTCTTTGACCATTTTTTAAAATGGGATTGTTTATTTTTTGTTTGTTGATTTAAGTTCCTTACAGATTCATTTGTTGGATGTATAGTTTGTGAACATTTAATCCTATTCTGTAGGTTGTCTGTTTACTTTGTTGATAGTTTCTTCTGTTGTGCAGAAGCTCTGTAGTTTAATTAGGTCTCACTTGTAAATTTTTGTTTTTGTTGTAATTGCTTTTGGGGACTTCGTCATAAAATCATTGCGTATGATTTTATGTCTAGAATGGTATTTCCTAGATTTTCTTCCAGGTTTTTAATAGTATTAGGTTTTACATTTAAGTCTTTAATCCATCTTGAGTTGAATTTTGTATATGGTGAAAGGAAGGGGTCAAGTTTCCATCTTCTGCATATGGCTAGCCAGTTCTCCCAGCACCATTTATTGAATAGGGAGTCATTTTCCCATTGCTTGTTTTGTCCACCTTGTTGAATATCAGCTGGTTGTAGGTGTATGGCTTTCTGTTTGGTTTCTCGAATGTGTTACATTGGTCTACCTGTTTGTTTTTGTACCAGTCTCATGCTGTTTTAGTTACTGTAGCCATGTCGTATAGTTGGAAATCGGGTAGTGTGGTGCCTCTGGCTTTGTTCTTTTTGCTTAGGAGTGCTTTAGCTATTCAGGCTCTTTTTTGGTTCCATATCACTTTTAGAGTAGTTGTTTCTAGTTCTGTGAAAAATGACATTGGTAGTTTGATAGCAATAGCATTGAATCTGCAAAGTGCTTTGGGCAGTACAGCCATTTTTACAATATTGATTCTTCCTATCCATGAGTATGGAATGCTTTTCCATTTGTTTTTGTTGTCTCTGATTTCTTTCAACAGTGTTTTATAATTCTTATTGTAGAGACTTTTTTTAGTTACTTTTCTGGTTGGCTGTATTTTTAGGTATTTTATTCTTCTGGTTATTGTGAATTGGATTGCGTTCTTGATTTGGTTCTCAGCTTGGATGTTATTGGTGTACAGAAATGCTACTATTTTTTTACATTGATTTTGTATCCTGAAAATTTACTGAAGTTGTTTATTAGTCCCAGGAGCTTTTGGACAGAGACTCAGGGGTTTTCTACATACAGAATCTTATTACCTGTGAAGAGAGATGGTTTGACTTCATCTCTTCCTATTTGGGTGCCTTTTATTTCTTTCTCTTGCCTGATTGCTCTGGTTAGGACTTTCAGTACTATGTTCCCTGGGAGTGGTAAGAGAGGGTATCCTTGTCTTGTTCCTGTTCTCAAGGTGAATGCTTCCAGCTTTTGCCCATTCAGTATGATATTGTCTGTGGGTTTGTTTTAGATGACTCTTATTATTTTGAGGTATGTTCTTTCAGTGCCTAGTTTGTTGAGGGTTTTTAACATGAAGAGATGTTGAATTTTATTGAAAGCCTTTTCTCCATCTATTGAGATGATCATGTGGTTTTTGGTTTTAGTTCTGTTTGTGTGATGAATCACATTTACTGGTTTTCATATGTTGAACCAGCCTTGCATCCAGGGAATAAAGCCTACTTGATCGTGGTGGATTAGCTTTTTGATGTGCTGCTGGGTTTAGTCTGCTAGTATTTTGTTGAGGATTTTTACATCTGTGTTCATCAGGGATATTGGCCTGAAGTTTTCTTTTTTCATTGTGCTTCTGCCAGGTTTTGGTAACAGAATGAGGCTGGCCTCATAAAATGAGTTAGGAAAGAGTCCCTCCTCCTTGATTTTTTGTAATACTTTCAGTAGGATTGGTAACAGCTCTTTGTATGTCTGGGATAATTTGGCCATGAGTCTTTCTGGTCCAGGTCTTTCTTTGTTGGTAGGTTTTTAAGTTACTGATTCAACTTTGAAAATCATTATTGGTCTATTTAGGATTTCAATTTCTTCTGAAAATTTCCAGTCTTTGTAACTGCCGGCATTTCCCTCTCCATATTCTTACTTGTATGCATGCCCTGTTGCATTGTTTTTCTCGTTTATGCTAGTGTATGTGCTCATTCTCCTTCGAACTGAAAGGCATGCCAGGAGGGGAGAAATGTAAAGTTGTTGATTCTGACTCAATAATTTTATCTATATATTTAGCAAAATTCCAACCAAAGCCTTAATGCTTTTCCTTTCAGAATTCGACCAGTCTGTTTCTGAAGTACATAAGGTGGAAGTGCATGAGAAGAAAGCTGTTTGTTGTAAATTAATAATGGGGACACAGCCTTATAAAACATTGCATGGGGTACTCAGGGTAGGATAATTGAAAGGACTCACAAACTCCAGAGGGAGCACTCACATACATAATGATAAAGCATGCAACAAACAGGAGGAAGTACAGGTAATCATAATCATAAAGTGGTTCACACTTGTTCAGGTGCAGCTGCCACCCAAGCCCCCATCCTTTCTCACTTTCACAGGATTTGCTTCACAAACAACTGAGAAATAGAACCCAATGCAATATCTATAGTCTAGAAGTAGACACCAGGGAGTTCAGGCCGAAGAATCCTGAGGCATCTTTTGTATCCTGCTGGACATGCAGCTAATGCTAGAATGTGTGACCAATTAAAGTAGGTGAAAATCACCTATCAATTTATTCCTAAACGAGGTAAACAAACCAACAGTGCACATCTCCAAGAAAATTTCAGACTTTGAACAGCACATTGTAACTCATTAGCCCTCCCATCTCATCCTCGTTTTGGCGAAGGGTCAGGACCAGATATCTAGACAGCCCCAGGAGTACTCATAAGGCTGCCCCAGTGCAGCCGTAAGATTCCCTGTTCCTACACAGTTCAGGAGATGCACTAGGAAGATACATATGCAAAACGCCATGGATTCATGAAGATTTAGACATATAAGAGAGTGAAATGTATATTCAAATGGTGCTTCAAATCATTGAGCAAAGATATATTATTCAATAAATTGTATTTCCGTATGTTCTAGGCATTTGTGGTTTTTCCAGAGTAATATTTTCTATTTAATTATATAAATGACTTTTGATTCAACTTCTTGGTTGCTCACGGACTTTTCTGATGGTAATATGTCAGTAAGATACCAAGAATACTCAAATTTAAGGAAAACATATTGTTGTAGTTCTGTGTCGAATTTTTCAAAATACAATGTCCTACACGGTTTTGGTGGCAGAGATGTTGGAAAAATAGGAAAAATAAAGAGAAAAATACTGTATTTTTTTTTCTGCTTTAGGTTAATCTTTACTGGGATTCCATACAATTTACTAATAAACTTCTTTTTATTTGATTTTCAGATATTTTCTTTTTAATGAAGCTTTTTTTTACAACAGTCTGCTGTTGACATTTCAGTGTCCAATCATGAACTTTAACACCAATATATCTTACAGTTTCTCTTTTTATATGGCAGTGTTTTTATGAGCATGTTAAAAATGCCCTTTAAAGATATACACTTATGTTTATTTATTATCTTCAAAAACACAATATTTGTTAATTATCATTTGTGTGTATTGAGTAATATGCTCAATTCTGTCTCTTGTCTGTTTCAGAGTCATAGGTTTCCTTAGAGATAAAGCATAGGTATGCTGGTCATTTAAAAATTGTCTGTTTTATTACCATTATAAACTAGTATATTGGCATTCTGTGCTATAGTCAGCTGGCCTGGCTTGTGGAAGACAGGATTAGTTTAAATCGTTTCCCCAGAGCTTTTGTTAAATGCCCTTCATCCTCCAGAATTGAGAATAAGAGAAACATTTTATAGCAGAAGTCAGAGACAAGATCCTGCTACAAAGTGAATTAGCTATAGTGCATATGAAGGTCAAACCAAACAGCTTTTTGGGACCATTCCTGATCAGAAAAATCTAACATTCCATGCAACTTTGCTTACAATATTATAATTACATTACAATATTGTAGCATTTTGCTCTCTATGTATCCTAGTTTTATACTAATGACTAATTCTTAACTAAATATGCATGCATATTTTAATAGTTAAGACATATATTTGCAACAGAAATCTGTCGTCTATCGATAACAGCAAATGAGGACTAAAAAAGATTTCATCAGTACAAATGCACTCTTTTCTTTTCCTGTCCTTTATGAATTAGAAAGCTTAGTCAGTGATTGCTTTAAATTACAGGCTTCTAATATTACACCTAACAGTCACAAAATTACCAGGTTCTTATCTATTGCCCATTAATTTTCTATTTGTGAAGTATCCATTTTGGAATGAGAGGAGAACTGCACAAGAGATTCTAAACCAGGAAAAGGAATAATAGTAAAAATTGTAAATGTTCTGGCAAACAAGAACAGAGCTGTTCTCATTTCATGTCCTTGGCTCCACCACATTCTAGCTTGAAGACTCAAGCAGAATGTGTGCTATTTTCAAAATAATGCTGCTGTTTCAAAGTAAAGTAGGATATTGACAGCAACAGTGAGTTTGATACAATAAAATAAAAAAGAAATCTATTCCATCTTAAATGTCATGGAGATCTGCTGGCTTTCCCTTTTTGTTGAATTTATACAGGCAGCTCTTGCTAATGAGGATGAATACTTCCTAATGTGGCATATATTTATGTGGGGACCAACTAAGCATTTATATATGTTTCCTACATGAATTTCACAAAGCAAATCAAGATAACAGAAGAATTAAACCCATTTGATATTTAAAATATAACACATAGAAAACCACTTTGAAACACTAGGTTTTTGTGTTGTGTTTTTTTTTTTTTTTTTTGAGACAGAGTCTCACTCTGTTGCTCAGGCTGGAGTGCAGTGGTGGGATCTTGGCTCACTGCAACCCCCACCTCCTGAGTTCAAGTGATTCTCCTGCATCAGCCTCCTCAGTAGCTGGGATTACAGGCATGCACCACCATGCCCAGGTAATTTTTGTATTTTTAGTAGAGACAGGGTTTCACCATGTTGGCCAGACTGGTCTCAAACTCCTGACCTCAAGTGATCCACCCATCTTGGCCTTCCAGAGTGCTGGGATTACAGGCGTGAACCACCGCGCCCGGCCTGAAACACTAGGTTTTTAAGGTGAGTACCTATTCTGGGATGGTGTGGGGTTTCTGTGAGCTGCTAAGTATGTCTATGCTATTTATGCATTCTGGCACTGGGGAAATGACCACAGGATGAGTCTGGAGACCCATGGACCTACTGTAAGTAGGATCTGAGCTAAAACTCCATTAATTACCTGACTTCCATAAGTCCCTACTTTAACTGGAGGACCACAATGACGTTTTGGGTCCTTAGGAATCAGTGTCAGCTCAGAGCTATTGTCTAGTTGTCCCCAAAGTGTCTAATCATTTCCCTTTCCCCAGTGCACGGTTAACCTGGCAAAAGACCGGAGGTCTCCTTGGGGAAGGACGGGAGAAAGATTAACAGCATAAAATGTCAGTAGTGTAGTGGGTTCTTCCTCAAGGAGATCCAGCCTCCCTTTCATTCAAGGGGTTCTGGGTCTATAAACTGTCTCAAGTCAGGAAACTGATTGAGGGGCCATGATTCTCTGTTTTTATAATTCAAATTAGTCTTTTGTTCATTCAACCTGGAAGTTTTCTGATTATATCAATTAATATAGGAATATAGTAGGCTTCCTATCAATTTCACTTCTAGGAACACCATCATTAATTAGCCAGTGTCACAGCTCTACATGAGTCAGACTATTCTGATTGCTGATTTGCCTCTGCTGTCCATTACGGTAGTTATGCCCACCTTACCTTTGACAGTTGAGTGCTGCCATTTGCTCCCTGCCACCTCGGGATCCAATATTTCCATTGTATTTAAATTTTGTAGTTGAGTGACTGCGGTTCTCACTGTTAAATCTGACATACAGAGAAAAGCAATTACAGGGCTCTTCAAAGATGCAGGTGCTGTCTTCACAAATCTATTTTGCAAGGCACTGGTCAAGCGTATATCTTCTGGACCCTCCCAGCTGGGATGAGTAGGTCTAAAGTGACTGCTCCACTCCACCATCCCAATCTCCCTAACCTTTGGATCCCTTCCTCTACATTAAACCAAGGGAGATCAGACATTTCTATCTGCTCATGGTGGGCCATTTTATTTCAGCTAACCAAGCAAATAAACTATTAGAGCTTTTTTAAACTCTCCAAGCTACAACATTAAATGCAGAGTCCCTACTTAGTGGGCCCAAATCAATAAATTCAGCCTGATCCAACTCTATGTTCCTTCCACCATTATCCCACACCCTTAATATCCATTCCCATGCTGTTTATATAAATTACAGATTTCTGTTTATATAAATTACAGAACTCAAGCAGTTCTTTTCAAGTGTAGTGCACCTTTTCATGGGTCACACTCTCAACCTCACATCTAGGTGCCTGCCAGGACTTTAGTCTAGTGTTAGGTCTAGAAGCAAACAGGGGTGTTGGGGGTGGCTCCTCAGGAGAATCAACATTATTTTGCCTGGCAACTGTCTCAGGGAAGGACATCACTGTTGCCTCAGGCAGTGCAGGGTTTATCTTCCCAGACAAAGGTGGAAAGGCTGATGGCAGCATGGGTCGGAGAGGGGATGTTGCCACTACTGGGGATGGGGAAGCTGTTCCTTCTGGCAAAAAAGATTCATCAGAGTTCACAAACTCAGTGTCCCCAGCTTCATCATGATCCTTCCACAGGTCCCCATTCCAAGTTGCAGGGTCCCATTCTTTTCCAATCAATGCCCTCATTTTAACAGCAGACATCTGGCGAGGCTGTGCATGCACCTTTCATTGCAGGTCACCCACTTGCATGATAAGAGCTTGTGTCTCTTTTTCCACAATTTCAGCTCTTTCTTTACAGGAAATAAGAATCACTCAGGGCAATCTTAGCAGATTTGAAGCTCAGTATCGGTTTCTGAAGCCGAGAGTTAGAATCCTTGGGTTCATCATTTTCTTTCATCACATTGTCCAGTGAACTTAAGAGCAACCAACCAGCTTCATTATGTTCCCTGGTTCTCCACATACAGTCAAAGGTATTATGTGTAGCGTCACTAAACTCCTTGCTTCTCATAAGCACTGAATCAGGAGTGTCAAATGCATTCATTTTGCATAACTATAAACAATTCACGCCAAGGACTATCAGTGTTCTCCATACTATTAGAAGTAGAGTCCTTAGCATTTTTGGGTCTAATCATATTAAGCGGCCAAATCCAGAAACCCAAAAAACAATGAAAGAACTCCATCCTTAATATTCTGTTCCTCTAGAACCACTCCTGGTACCAAAATCTGTATCAGTCAGGGTTCTCTAGAGGGACAGAACTAATAGGGGATACATATATATATATATATAATATATACAAATATGAGAGTTTATTAAGGAGTATTAACTCACACGATCGTAAGGTCTTACAATAGGCCATCCGCAAGCTGAGGAGCAGGGAAGCCAGTCCGAATCCCAAAGCTGAAGAAGTTGAAGTCTGATGTTCGAGGGCAGGAATCATTCAGCATGGGAGAAAGATTTAAGCTGGGAGGTTAAGCCAGTCTAGTCTCTTCACGTTTTTCTGCCTGCTTTATATTCTTGCCATGCTGGCAGCTGATTAGATGGTGCCCACCCAGATTAAGGATAGATGGGCCTTTCCCAGCCCACTGACTCAAATGTTAACCTGCTTTGGCAACACCCTCAACAGACACACCTAGGATCAATATTTTGCATCCTTCAATCCAATCAAGTTGACACTCAGTATTAACCATCACAGCCAGCATGGTTGGGGCAGTGTAGGGTAATGGAAAGAATGCCAAGGAAGGAACTCAGGAAACCTGGGCTTGTCACTGCTTTTTTTTTTTTTTCCTGCCACTAACTTTGTTTCATTTTCCTCATTCTGTGTTGCAGTCAATGGTGCTAAAATTCCCAGAGTTCTAACGTTGCCAATGTTTGCATATCCTAGTGTCATCACTACAGTGTAGGGATTTTAAAAGTTTGATGAATTAAAGATAATAAAAGAATCACACAGGACAATTATTTAATTTTTTCAGAGGCAGTACTTCAAATTCAAAAATATTTTGTTTCAGGCACTGTGTCAGACATTTATAATATTCATTCTATTGAAATAATTGTCCCCACTTAGGAATTAGAGAAACCAAAGAAAAGAATTAATTGAATTTGTTAAGACTGTATAAATAGGAAATGGCAGGGTAAGGAGAAAATATAAGATCTGCTGTCTCCAACCCAGAATGATTTCCCTAAATCTCTGACTTTGCATGATATTGTCATCTCGATTATGAACAGTATTAATTGATGTTTTTCCACGTTGTTGTATGGATTGCTATAGAAGGTAATGTTCAGTATGATGTGAAGAAATGCTAATGCAGTATCTGCCACTAACACTTGAAATTATCTTATATAAAATGATAATTTTGGAAATAAGTGACCCTTTAATCTTCCTCTATTATGAATTCCTCATAATAAATTAGTGTAACTGCTGACAGAAATGTAATGGTTTTCCATGGTTCTGCATTACTGGCATGGCCATGGTCCCAAGTGTAAAAAAAAGAAATTGAAATTTTGTTACTAGCAAGAAAAAAAGGACATTTGGGATTGAAATTGAAGTTCCAACATGTATCAAATAAGGTACAGAAAGAGATAATGAAGTAATGCAGAAGAAGTAATATTTAAAAATATGATGACTAATATTTTTCTATGATTTTTTGGAAAAAAGACATGAATCTTCACTTTGAAAAAGCACAGAAAGTCTCATTCATGACAAATAAAAACAAATTTACTCATAGGCACATTATCAAAAAACTGCAGCTACCAAAGAGAAAAGGCAGACTGTCTACAAAGGAATGGCAATGGGAATGTCTACTCTTCTGAGGTAAATGTTGTAAGGTGGTGGAGTAGATGAGTGGATTGTTTTCAGCGGATAATGGCAATGAACTGCACTGGAATCTTGTCAAAAATCTTCCCAGGAAACTATATCACCATCACAAAAGAGTCTAAGTCCCACATGTCCCCACCATCCTCATTGCTCAGGGTAGAGAATACAAAACATTTCAATTACGTAAAGACAAAGAAGTAAATACCAAATTCCAAAGGAGCGTCTATCACCATTGCAAGCCATTAGCTTTGGAGAACAGGATAGTTGAGTCTTCAGAGATTCCAGGAAAAATAGAAGAGAAGAGTAAGAAACTAAAATGAAGTGTAGAGCAATCACTCTAAGAAAACTCCAACACTGAGTCTAATCTGCTAAATGTTGGGCTGTGAGTGGCCACAGGGTGGCAATTTAAAAGTGAGCAGCACTGGATTTTGTAGCTTCCAGGAAACACTGCTTCTTGGAAAGATTCATATTGACAAGGAGTGGTACCTGTCAGAGATGTGTCAGGCAGAGAAAGAAGGTATAGGAAGAAGTGCCTAATTTTCAGACACAACACACCAACCTCTCCCCTTTTACCAATACCAGCATCACCATTTAATAAACTGTGGTTTACTAAACTGATGGAGAAGAGGTTTTTGAACTAGGAATCCTGTCCACAAATGCCTATGAGTGGGAAAAAATCAAAGCGACTTCATATAAAGATTCTCTGAAAAAAGGCAAATTATAACATTTCCGCTGATGAAAATTCTTTCACCTCCAAAAGCAATATGAAACAGAAGAAAACTAACAGACTAAACACTCCAAACATAATTATATGTATATAAGCTAAATGTATACAAATATACCCTGAATAGACATTGTCTGAATATATATTAAAACTCTGAATACATATATAAAATCTGTATGTATATATGTATATATAATTTGAATATATATAATTTTCATATATATAATGTACATACACACATGCATATATGTAACATATATAAATATATATATTTACCAAAGTTAATAGAAATCAAGAAAAATATGGAAGCAAAAGATGAAAACAATATCCAAAGTGAAGAGAAAAATTATTAGGGGCCTTAGGGTAAATAATTAAAATGAAAATTTAATGAAGAACATTGTGGAAAAACATAACAATGAAGAAGATTAAAGTAAACAAAAGTAAAGTTGGTCAGAGGGAAGCTGGTTGAAACAGAAGACAGGAAAAAATGGTCCAAAATAGATATAAATGGAGCCCTTGAAGAAGCAGCACAAAATAAAGAAAAACTACCAATATTTAAAGTAGTAATCCAAGTAAATTTTCTAGAAAAAATAAAAACACTTCAACTGATAAATTGAAAGAGGATATTGTTTTTCTGGGAAGACTGAATGGAAATTACTAATTTTGAAACATAGTCTAATAAAAGTATTCATTGGAACCTTCAGAAAAATGTAACAAATGACTTATATGGTTAAATGAATTATGCATGCTTAAAACCAAGCTGTTTCCCAAGTATCAAGGCTTTACAAGAACAACACTAAATGTGCCCAAGAGCGCAGGGAACTCAGTGCCTCAGGGCCCTCCTCAGACAGCTGCCAGAAGATGTGCATTGCCCAACTGAGGGAGAGATAACTGGGGAATCTGTAGTATAGAACTGATGGTAATAACTTGATTCTTTTAATTGTTGTGCTACATTAAAATAAGAATGTATGCATTCAGACAACGAAGACATAAACAAACAATGGCAAGTAAAGGAAGAGACAAAAAGGAAAGTACAATGAGATCATTAATCAATACATAGAAAATGGATGTAAATCGAAGGATATTATTTAAATTCACAGACAAGGTAGTGGATGGTTAAGCAAGAATAAAATAGAGAACTCTGGTATCACAAAAGGTGTAAATATACATTAACAACTAGAACAAAAGTATAAGCTTTCCAAAAATACCTAAAGAATTTTTAAAATAATTACAATGTGTCATCATATAAAAAAAGAAACAGTAAATATGACATAATGAAACCAGTTATTATCACAAAATTATATGACAGTTTTGAGACTAATATCAAAAAAGGTGAATAGGGTTAACTCATATATTAAATGAAAATTATTTTCACAGTGGCAAATAAAGTAAACCCAAAGCCATAATGGAAACAAAAACAGACCTAAGACATACTGATTTAAAAAAGACTAAAGATAAGGGGATGAGCAAAGTATATACTAGGCAAATGGAAACAATGAGAAAATTGGTGTTACAATTCTGATTTTAGACACAATAGAATTTGAGCAAAAACAGCAAAAACAAGAAGAATTTATAATGCTGAAACTCACAGTGAGGCTTTAACAGTTATGACTATGCATCAAATAGCAACTAACCACATAAAACAGAAAACATAGGTGCAAGGATAAATAGATATAGACACACTAATAATAGAAAACTTTAACATACTGCTCTTGGTAAAAGATGGGTCAAGTACACATATAAATATGAATATAAAGAATATAAAATAACCTCTAGAGTAAAGTAGATATGTGCGTATATATATCTTTATATGTATCTTTATATCTGTCATATCATACTAGACCCTTAAAATAGGAAATATACTTTTCACACAATTGCACAGAGACAATTCACAAAGAATATATGTTGACTATATATTTCATCACCAAGAGAGCACTGGTCAATTCTATATAGTAAATATATTACAAACAAAACTCTTTGATAAAAACACATACAAAACCACACAATTTTAAAAGGGATTATTAAAACAAAACTTCCAAAATTATTTCAAAGGAAATTTAAGACCTTTTATTAAACAACTCTTGAAGAGGGGGGAAATATAACTTGAAATTTCAGAATTTCTGGAAAATAATAATAATAATCCATATGAGAATCAATGGGATAGATTCAAAGCACTGACTAGAGGAAAATTCATAGCCTTAAATGGCTCTCTGTCAGTGAAAACAAAAGAGTGAAAATAAATGAGTTAAATTTCCAACTTAAGAAGTTATTCAAAGAACAACAAAGTAAACATGATGAAAACACAATAAGAAAATAATAAAGGTAAAGGAAAAAAATAGTGAGGTATAGAACAGGAAAATATTAGATTCAACAAATAGTTGAAAATTTTGGTTCTTTGAAGATACGAAAAAATCTATGGCCAAGTTCATGAAGAAAAATGAGATGAAACATAAATATACAAAATATCTATAGATACAGAGAGAATTTAAAAGAATATAAGACATTGTTATACCTGTATGCAAGTAATTTTTAGAAAAGTAAAATTTGTCAAAATTGATCTCAATAAATAAAAAACTTACATTAATTCCCATAGAAGAAGAAAAAATTTGTCAAGGCATTATCTTACACAAATGAATCAGGCACAGATGCTATCACAGAGGAATTCTACCAAAATATGAAAAAAACAGATAATTCCAAAGTTAAAAAAAAGTCATTTCAGGGCATAGAAAATGAGTACAAACTTCTACATTCATTTTACAAGTCAAGATTAACTTTGACACCAGTTAATACAAGAAAAGGAAAATATACATCAATGTTGCTTATGAATTTTGATACAAAAATCTTAATTATAATAATTTAGTACACAGGTTGGAGAACCACATTAACCAAAAATTACATCACGACTAAATGGAATTTATAGCATTTATGCAAGTCTAATGTAACATTAGAGAATCTATTAATATAATGTCCCATATTAATGGGTCTAAAAAGAAAGATCATGGGATGATCTCCAAATGTGTTTAAAAATACTTTGCCAAAATTCAACACACATTCTATTTAAAACTTTCAAAGAATGCTATGGATGAATATTTCCTTAATATCATAACATACAAATATCTTATTTTTAAAGCCACACTCTTAATGGAGAGACTAGAGGCATTCCTGTCATGATCAGGAACAAGGCAAGGATGACTGCACTCTTTATTACTATTAATCGTGTTATGGGAAACCAATGAAATTGAGCAAAAGAGAACAATCAGAAGAAAAGAATAAGAAGTAAAACCATGATTAATAGGTGAAATAATAGCATATTTAAAAATCCCTAGAGAAGCAATAATAAAACTAACTCAAACAATAAAATCATTAATCAGGGTAATAGGATATAAACTTTACACACAAAAATCAATAGCTTTCATATGCAGAAAAAATAACCAGTTAGAATATAATGGAACAGAATACCTTATTTATAACAGTAACAAAAGAGATAACATACTTAGGAATAGATTTAATAATTTAAACTAATTAAACGATCTATAAAATTCATCTATTAAAAGGCAAATATTTTCAGATTGCATTTTAAAAGTCCGGCTGCATGTTGTTTACAAGAGTATTTACCTAAAACACAAAGACACAGAAGATAGAAAATATAGTGAGGGCAGAAGGATAAACCACAAAGATGTTATCTTAAAGAAAGCTCAATTAGCTATATGAAAAAAAAGTTATGGTGAAAAGCATTAAGAAGGATAAGGAAGGACATTTCTTACGGATAAAGCAATCAAGAAGATATTAATATCATGTCCCTTATTTATGTAACACCATGGCCTCAAAATAAAGCAACAGGAAAAGGAGGGTGGATTATAAAAATCATTTACAAAGCTACTTTCATAGGAGAGATTTTAATAGACTACTAGAAGAAATGGATAGATACACTGCCTATTGCATGGATTGCCTCATTTAGTCCTCACAATCATCTTGAGGTAGCTATCACTATCATCCCCAAGGAAGCACACAGTGGTTGAGTACACATCCCCAGGGCACACAGTTAGGAAGCAGGAGACAGGAATCAAAGCTGTGCTCAGGCTCTGAATACAGAAGGGAAGACCTAGGATTAGGATTAGCTGTGACTTTAGGTTACCTTAAAGTAATCTGTGTTACTTAGGTTCTCAGCTTCCTGTTTGTATATGGTAAATGAGGCGTGGGACACCCCAGCCCAGTGCCTGGCACATGGTGGTCTCAGTAAAGGGGAATTCTCAGCCACCTTGGCACCCACCATTCATCATTGCAGACCCCAGCCCTGCTCTCACAGTTAGAACCTGGATGCCTGGACTCACCCTCCTCATCTTCTCCATTAGGAGGGGGCTTGAAAACGGAGGGGAGCTGGGAGATGAAGGGAAATATGGAGGCGGAAGAGAAGGAGGGAGAGGAGAAGGAGGTGAAACAAAACAAAACAAAACCTCGAACCAGCCCTGGTTTATAGAATTATACATCTCTCATCAGCAAACATACTGAAAATCTCAGAGGCCATTTGTTTGTTCCTAGTTCTATTCCGTGAAGCTGGGCCTGGCTGTAGCAGACATTGTTCCATTGGCTGAGACGTTAAACTGTATTTATTTACTCATTACTATTTATTTATATAGAATATAAAGAAGATATTTTAGAAAATCATCTACTTAATTCATAACCCAGTAGCTCAGATTTCAGATTTCCATATGAGCGTCAAATTTCTTTATCAACTCAATAAAAAAGCAAGGAAATAAGCCAGTGTTTATCTTGGGGATGGAGATTGCTAGGGATGTCCAGTGGGTTTACCCTCAAGGGACTCATGGTCTTGTGTTTGCCCTGAAAATCTACTGCACCGTTGATTTACACCCAGTGTTTCTACAAATGAGAAGTCACAGAGTTCTTCAGAATGGCCTTGATTTCCACATGTGCTAAGTACATTTATTGCTGGGCTTACAGCACATACGAATTTCTCTTGGGGGATCTTTAATACATATTTCCTGAAAGTACTGAGAAATTCATTGACTTTCTTAAGACCTGTGGCCTCCAGGTGCCCATCATGTTTTAACTCTAAGCATTAAAGGCCAGCACTTAGAACATCTTGCAGTGTTCATCTGCATGTGGGCTTGTGCCTCATGGGCTTAGCAGGGTGGTCCATTCTTTTCTGTTAGGTATATTTTTATTTTACTGTAGTAGTTACTCTAATGCTGATTTAATGTTGCTAAGTGTATTTACTAAGTATCTTTTCATGACATTTGAGCTCTCCAGTACCACTCTATGTGGTGTATTTTCTTTATTTGCAATACTGTTCTCTGTGCATTTTTTAAGAAGAAAAATATTCTTCATATTGTTTTTTAAGAGGAAGAAAGAAAATCTCCCAGAGCAAGATAGCCCTCTGTCAACATGTTTGGGGCAGGGAGATAGCGTTTTCTTTAACAGGTGCTCACTCCCTGCTCCCTGTACAAACAGCCACCAGCATGCGGGTATAAGAGAGGAAATACCACACCTTAGCAGAAATGCCAGTGCATTTCCTTCATTCATGGTAAATCTTTTGGACTTGTCATTGATAACAATTAGCTCTCCTGCCGCAAAGAATGTCTACATTGTTTTCATACAGAATAAGATCTTTGAGACTGTGTATTTTAGAAAAGCACAGAGTTAAAGGACTTCTTATATTTTCCTTGAAGGCTTCCACTGACTGCAAAGTCTACCAGTAGCAGGGAAGCTCTCAGAATGTGGCAGGGGGAGCAGCAACTATGCCACCCTGCAGCAACCCCACCCCAGGGCACTGGAGGCCAGTGGCCAGGGCATCCTGCCCGGTAGCCCCCCTCCACCTGAGCTCCTGGCACCTCTGGCCAAGGCCACGGGGCAGCTCTGCTCCTCGATTCTATCTCACTCCCAGCTGAGGGCTCCAGATGCACGATTCATCGAGGGTGCATGGGTCTGTGCAGTGATTCCAGCCTCTTCCAGGGCCGGGGTGCCAGTGAAGAAAGGGTCAGACGTCCTGCCCTTAGGGAGCCTCCTATTGTAGAGAGACTAAAGCTCCCAGTGTGTGGCAGCCTGGAGAGACAAGCCTGGGTGGGAGTCAGGGGAGGGCCAGGTGCCGAGTGTGAGGGTCCCAGATGCCCCAGATGGGGGTGTCGGGCACCAGGGGAGGCCACAGCCACCTTGCCAGCCACATCCTGTTAACCACTTTGCCAGGACTATTGTGGCTTGGGTGACCTCACAGGCCAGGGCCACACATCAAGTGTGAGTAAGTGACCACAAGCTTACCCGTGGCAGCATCAATGGTCCCCATGGACCCCTCGTTTTCCGTAGAAAATACTGCAAATTCTTGAAGATTTTCTTTTCCATTGTTCCTTAGAGTGAGTTTCTACTTTATGAACTCTGGCCTGCAAAAAGACAGTGAGTTAACGAGTTGATAAATTTCTTATAGCTTCGGGAACTACAAAGTTGTGAATATAATGTTGCAGAGCACAGGCAGTTAAGTAACTTGCACATATGAACTTCCCTAATTCATAGTTCAAGTCCAGTCCTGTGGCTTCTGGCTCTGGTGAAAAAATATATTTTTTTCCTGCAAAAATGTAACAGGGAAAATGAATAAAACATCTCTGTCTCTGCTCTGGGCCAGTGTCTGATATACATTCAGGTTGTGTGGTCCAAGATGTTCTCCTTGGATGAAGGAAAGAATACATCTTACTCTGTGAGATGTGGGTCCACCTGCAAAAGGGAAACCTGAGAGAGACCCAGTGAAACACATTCCTTTCTGTAATCCCCCAAACATCTTCTACCAATGATTATTTTTAGAAGAAAAGTAACCAGATTAAATCAGATCAAACCCCTGTTTAATAGTTTTTAGTTTCTTCTGAGAAACAGCATTGGTTTTTGTGAAAATTTAGAATCAACATCTTCCTCTGATTATTGGACAGTAAGCTGTTTTCTCTCTCTCTCACCATTGAGTTGACTGTTGACATTGTAAACTGAGGAGGTGATCATTCACAACCCTTAAAATGAAAAGGATAGGAAATGACACATTAACTGCATTTTCATTGTCAAAAGTGCATCTAATTAAATATTTGTTTTTTAATTCATATCATTTTAGAATATAAAATAGCTCAATAGTAATTTATTCTACATATATTCAAGAAGTATTTATCAAACTCTTACAATGTGCAGGGTCTCCTCTGACAGGCCCTAGAGTCAACAAGATGACCAAGAATCTTTCCTTTTTCTAGGGATCCAGGTACCTGTGTTAAGAATTTCATTCTGATGTAGCTATACAATAAGTAAGGCAGGATCTAGTACTGAGAGTGAAGGAAGAGAGAGACCAGTTTTATCTGTGGAGACCTGGAATAGCTTCTTGAAGAAAATGGAACTGGAGGGGTATTTTTAAAGATGCAGGAATTAAGAAGGACAATTCATGCAGAAGAAACACATTGAGTAAAAAAAGGCAATGGACTGATCATGTTAGGAAAAACAGCTTCATCAGACTGTGGGGCTTTCACAAACGAGTATAAAAAGTCTGAAATAGGAAACTACTGAGTATTTTATAATAAAGAAGCACTGTGCTTTGCTCGATATCTGTGCAAACACTCCCAGGGGTGGGGACTGTCAGTAGCATAGGCTTGGAACTGGCAGATGCTGAAGGAGGGGCCTCCGGTTCTGGCTTTGAATGTGGGCAGTGACAGCAATGAGATAGGAGTGGCGCAAAGAAAAGGATTTCATAATTGATGGCGTGGGGGTTGGGAGAGGCGTTCATGATGTATCTGAGTGGGTGTAGCTTGTTATGTGTCTGTAGGGATTAGATGGTAAATTCTGTTTAGAAGATGTCTCTAGGGTTTGGAAATTTTGCATCACAGTTTTAAGCAGGACAATCAAAATGTGGTTTTGGAACTCAGAAGGCCGTTCAAAATGACAGTTTGTTATTTCATCAGCTCAGTAGCACAAGTTGGAACCACAGGAATAGGCTGAATGGACAAAGGGGAATTGCGGGGTGAAAGGAGGAGGGAATGCATAGTGTAGGTAGGACAACAGCTTAACAGCCACAATGACAGCAGCAACAGTAGAAGCCCAAAGGTCACAGCTGTTGTCCTGAGCCTCCGCGATGGCCCCAGATGACAGGCAGCTACTGGCATTCTGGTCTGTGTGGGGTTGAATAGTGTCCCTCCAAAATTCATGTCCACCTGGAACCTCAGTGACTTTATTTGGAAAGCGGGTTTTTGCAGATGTAGTCAAGTTAAGATAAGGTACTACTGGGTTTGGTGGTCTGTAAATTCACTAACTGGTTTTCTACAAATAGAGGGAGATTTGGAGACAGACAGAGACAGAGAGGAGCAGGCCATGTGAAGACAGAGGCAGAGATGGGAGGTCAAGGGTGGCCCAGCAATGCTGGCAACCACACATACTAGGAGAGAAGCATGGAAGAGGTTGTCCCGCAGAGCCCCCAGAATGGACCAACCCTATGACACTCGGTTTTGGACTTCCTGCCTCCAGAGCTGTGATAGAATGTGGTTTTAAGCCACCCACCCTGTGGTCTTCTGTTTCCGCAGCCCTAATGCAAGTCTTTTGTGTAGTCCTCTCTCACATGGGGCAGGGCTGGCCTGGGCAAACAGTAGCATATTGTGGAACGACAGCATGTGACTTCCATCCTGACCCCTCCTGGATCACCCTCTGTAGAGGGGAATGGCTGCTGTGTCATGGGGGTGCATGAGCAGCCCAGTGGAGAGGTGCACTTGGTGAGAAACCGATGCCTCTGCCAACCACCTGCACTAACCTGCTGGGTCTGAGACTGAGCCACTTTGGAAGCTGATCTTGGAGCACCAGTCAAGCCCTTAGCTGGCTGCAGCCACAGCCAACAACAAGACTGCAACCTCCTGGGGGATCCTGAGCCAGAATCCCCTGGCTAAATTGCTCCTTGATTCTTAACCCACAGAAATTGTGTAAGGTAATAAATGTTTTTAAAGTTGCTATGTTTGGGGGATAATTTGTTTTATATGAGTATCAAATAGATGTGCATTTGAGAGGTTTTATTTTCTTTTCCTTTTCCATGGCTACACTGAAGTCAGCTGTGGGGAGTGGGCTCTCCTTGTAGTTAAATCACTTGCTGCCTGCTTCCTGCTTGGTAAATGTTAGCTCCTGAAGGTTGTTTCAAGGCTCACCTCACAGTTGTAGGGCTTTTATAGACCAGGCTCATGTTTTCTTGGGCAACACCCTTTGCTCAGAAACAGATGGGTTTCTGACCTATTTATTTCTAGTCCAGTCAGTTCCATGGGGGAAGAGCCATGCCCAAGCTCATTCCTGCACATGCCTTTTATGTTTGCTTGCTCCTAACATGCTTCTTTCTCTCAATTTACTGGTGGCTATTTTAAAGCTATCTTAAATAACAGATTTGGCAATGGGGCTTGGTATTTAATGCAGGTCCAAGTCATTTTGTTCAACTGAGAAGTCTGGTAAGCCTTTGTTGCTCAAGGCTCTCATCGGTTTTATTTCCTTCTGTTTGGAGCCAGAAGCACTTGCCTTTTCTAACCCCAAAAGTCCCTTATTTTCAGATGTTCTATATTTACTTTAATTTCTGTTTCCAAACCATTACATTTTGTCTAAGCTTATTTCATCCCAAGCTAATGGTAGCCTAAAGTCACCAAACGCAGCAAAGCTCTAACTCTTTCCACCTGATGCCCCAATGCTACAGGCTTGGCTGGAAGGTGATCTGCCTACCACATTAATGTGGAAGACGGTTTTCCAAGTATTTTGCCATAGAATAACCAGGCTTTTCAGTTCTCCAGCCTGAATCAGTTTTCCTTGCCACCTCTTCCTGCCTGCTAAAACAATGCCACGTATTTGAGAGTTTCATCAGGGCAGTACCCACTTCAAGATACTAATTTCTATATTGGCTAATATGGGCTAGTGATCATAAAACAACAAATGCCCAATTTTCATCAGTTTCACAAAGAGGTGACTTCTTTCTTGCTCATTTAACCAAATCTTATGGGTCTGTCAGGTTCTAATGGAGGCCTGAGGGAGAGTGGCGGGTAGCTAGAAAAACACTCGAGGAATCATAGACAGTTTTGACATGACTTTACTCTCTCTGGGTATGAGTGAGCCATAGGTACAGTGTTAGCAGGGTAATGATACCTTTTACAGACAACAGTGGCTCCAAGCCAAGCACGAGCTCACGTGGGTGATCACCTAATGCGCCTCACATGGCATGGTTACATAATGTGTGGGATTGTGCCCCTGTGCTCCAAACCCGCTGAGTCATGCTGTGCTGGAAGGCTGCCTCAGCCTACTCCTGACTAAAGCACAGCTATTTCCCTTATAGGGTCCAATTCAGAGGGGGCAGAAGCAGGGAGTTCTGTGTCTTGCATTTTATCCAGGGGCCCGCGCCAGGCTGCCAAATCATTACCACTTTGAAATTCACTCTGAGTCACTGTGCTTGCCCACACCTCTGTAAAGAGCATGGGGGATCATGCATAGAACATGTTTATGTGTCTGACCTGGAAGAGATGAGTCATCTCCACTGGTTGGACATGAAGTTGGGAAAAGTTGCCTGACTGTGCCCTAAAATATGAGAAAATAGGGTTGATGGTCAGCTAGCAGTCTCAGATACAGATATTGAATCTTGAGAAATACCATCATTTAGGGAATAATTGCCATAATTAGGAGAAGATAAGATGGAGAAGAAGCTGCCAGAGTGGGATGTGAACCAGCAGAATTCAGTCAAAAGAGAAGGGATGGTTTCAAGGACAGAGGGTCAGCTTTTGTTTTTTAATGCTGTACACACACTCCTGCCTCCAAATCTCAAAGAAGTATACCACAGACGTTACTTACATGTGGGTGCGTGTGTACTTTAGAGAGGGATTGGGTTTAAATGCTGGGTTTATACAGTAGATTCATGAGCAGATAACATCTAATTACAGATACCTAGAGCATCTTTGATCTTAAAATTCATACTAAAAACCTGGAATGAAGTAAAGCATAGCACACTACAATGATGTCTACACTGATTTTAAAACAATATGATTTAGTTAAATCAATGAGTTCACCAGGCAGTGTTGCAGAGGTGTGAAGAATCAAAGCTCTGTGCTTAGACAAATTTGGACAAGAATTCCAGCTCTGTATCTTCCAGCTGTGAGGCCCTGTTGGAATCTCAGTCCCCTCATCTTACATGAGGGGGTGAGAACTCGTAGCACTTGGTGTGTCGAGGCTTTGGTAGGATTAATTGAAATAACAACGTAAGTCAATAAGTGTAATACCTTGAACATAACAAAATACACAATCGTAGCTGTTTTACTCATTTTAAAAGAAAGACTCCAAGTAGTTGGTGATTGTAACTAGAACATTAACCTCTAATGGGAGTTATGAGTTGCCCATTCTTCACTGGTAAGAAGAGTCAGGTCAAGGAATCTGGAAAACACCTGGTCCTACTATCAGTAAGTGGTGCTTTGAGTTGGAAAATACCAGTGATTAGAATACATATTTTCCATGTCCCTGTTAAATTTCTTTATTATTTAGAACTTCGTATTTAATTGTATAATTCCATTTCCATGGGGTTGCTGATGAAATGTGGGCCAGAATTTCCTTTAACCAGTGAGAAAATACATCTCCCATCCCTCTTTTTACTAACCCTGAGTTACAAAGCCAAGCAATATCAACCCAGTGGATCCAGGAGACAGTAAGAAAGAAATAAGCCACCTAATCTCTTTTTGTCTGAGCTTTAAGCTAGGGGAAAATCAAGATTTCTTGGTCTGACCCACATTACCACATTGGCAGGGATTATAGAGGTTTGAGGCTGAATTTCTAGTAATCAATAAGGTATTCATTTTTTAGAACACCTTTTGAAAATGCGTGCCCATAGATGATGAGCAGAGAGTGAATTTTCAGAAATTTTGATTCCTGGTTCTCTTTGTAGAAGAGACAGAATAATAGTGATAAGTCAACAAATGAAATAACTAAATAAAATGTTCACCTTGAATGTTTTTTTGTTCTGTCTGTAGTTTAACTGCTTTATATATCTATTATCTATCTATCTATCTATCTATCTATCTATCTATCTATCTATCTATCTCTATCTACCTATCTATCCATCCATCCGTCTATTTATCTGTGACATTTTTACCTTAGTAAATGTCAGGAATGATTAATCATTTCTAGTCCATACATTGGAGACCACTTAATAAAGTATTTCTTTCACTACTATAAATGGTTCCAGAATGTCTTCTGAGTTTATTCATATCACACAGAGTACAGTTTCCTTTGAGCAGCTTCTAAGCATGATTCACCAGTGGAGTCAATCAATTGTTTTACCTCTTTTTCTATCATTATGTTAGCATGGTTATGTCTCATTCTGTGCTATGGACTCAGTAATGTTTTGAGGTTCCAGTAACAATTGGAAGCAAGCAAAAAAAGAAAACCAACCAATTTTGTATCAACATGTTAATCCATTATTTTTCTAAAAGTAATAAATATATTTTTACAATGTTACTCGTTTCTATTCCAAATTTAAAAGAAACAAAAATGTCATAGCATAGTCCATCAGAAATAGAAAAAAGTAAAAAAAGTTTATAAATTATAACAAAAACAATTATTAATATTCTATATTTCTAATAATTTGTCTATGCAAAGACGCATATCTAAACATGTTTATATGGTGAAAAATTTGCCTACATAAAATATATGTGTAGAACAAAATTGGATATTCCTATGCATGATATGGAGTATATAACAGAGTTATGAATCTTTTTTTGGATTAACGTGATATAACAAACATTCTTAAATATTAAAATTTTTTTTTTTAAAAAATTACCTAAAGGAACTGCACCAAATTTCATTTTAACCATTTTCCTGTTATTGGTGTCTTGGTTTTTTTTATAAGTAATGTTGTGTATCACATTTTATTATTATAGTTTCTTTACAATAGATTCCTGGAAGTAGAATTACTGATTCAGAGGATGTAAGAATTTTAAAAACCCTTCACTGATTTGCACTCTCACTAACAATGTGCATTCACACAATCACTATTTTCACTTTAAAATATTTGCTAAGATCAGAGACAAATATAATGTACCCTTGTTTTAAGGTGCATTTCTCTGGTTATTACCAAGATTGAGTTTCACACATATTACTATCAGCCATTTGTGTTTCTTCCACAAATTGTCGTTACTTGGCCTTTGTCCACTATATACCATCAGTCTTAGAGAAGCTAGATCAATAGCACCAAGACTAGGGGATCATTTCTATTATTTTCACGTGCTGATTATTGTTACAATTAAAGCGTCTTTTCCTCTTCCTTACTGTGTTTTTACCTCTATCATCTGCTTTGAAAAATCATCCTTGTGGACAATAACAAGGCATAAAGCAGGTGGGGTGGAGGGAAGAACGTTGACTTCACAGGCAAAGGACTGCAAACAATGGGGAAATGAGGAGGAACCCTTACAGCAGTGCACACTGGAATCTGAGGTTGGTCTTGTGCTTTGTTGGTTGAAACTATTAAGAAATCCAGCCATAGCCCAACAAAGCCGAAATATATGAATGTCTGTAAACACTAGGAAATAGGATACAATTATGCACATCAACCTGAGTATCTAAGGAGGAATTTTGATTACACCAAAGGGATTGTGGCATGCTTCGGAAGGAATCCACATATATTGACTGCTGGGAAACAATGATTCTGGTTAGAGCTTGCTTTTTTTTTTTTTTTTTTTAACAACAAGCGAACAAACACCTTCTATGAAATACAAAAAGGGCAAGTGTATTAACCAGAGCTTTCCAGAGAAACAGAGCCAATAGGCTATCTATGTAGCCATCTATTTATCTAATCAAGACATTTATTATAGGATATTGGCTCATGCGGTAATGTAGAGTGACTGAGAAGTCCCACAATATGCTGTGTGCAAGCTGGAGACCCACAAAGGCCAGCTATGCAATTTGAAGGCCTGAGAGCTGGAGAGTCAATGGTGTAGATTGCAGTCTGGGTTGGAAGGCCTGAGAACCAGGAGTACTGAGGGCAGGAAAGGATTGGTATCCTGGCTCAAGCAGGCAGGCAGAGGGAGGACAAATCCATTCTCCTTCGTCTGCCTTTTTCTTCTATTCAGGCCCCCAATGGATTGGATGATGCCCAAAAACATTGGGAAGGGCCATCTGCTTCATTCAGTCCACCAACTCAAATTCTTCTGGAAACATCTCACAGACACACCCAGAAGTAATGTTTAACCAGATATCTGGACATACTGTCTCCCAATCAAGCTGACACATAACATTAATCATCACAGCAAGTGAATAACACCTTGAGTCACAGAGGAAATCTAACAAACTTTGCAACTGTTGTATTCTATAAATAGGAAGAAAATGTGGAAAAATGCTTAACCTCCCCCATAGGCTGTAGGATAAAATGAAGTCTAAGAAACCAGGGTGGTAATGCATAAGAAGAGAAGAGAGAAGCTGGAAATCTCAGTAGGGTAATACAGAGATGCATAAATTAAAGAGTTGCAGTGAAATTTTAAAAATTTAAGAGTACAATTAAGGCAATGTGAAAGAGCTCCAAATGATAACTGGATTTTCGGATTAAAAGTGGGGGAAGATTCACTCTCAAATCCATGCAGATGGATTTGAGAAAATCCATTCTTTTCTTTTCTTTTTTGAGACAGGGTCTTCCTCTATCACCCAGGCTGGAGTGCAGTGGCACAATCATGGCTCACTGCAGCCTCAACTTCCCGGGCTTAAGTGATCCTCCCACCTCAGCCTCTGAAGTAGTTGGGACTGTAAGCTTGTGTCAAAATGCCCAGCTAATTTCCTTTTTATATTTTGTAGATAGGGAGTCTCACTGTGTTGCCCAGGCTGGTTGCAAACTCCTGGGGTCAAGCAGTCTTCCCATCTCAGCCTCCCAAAGTGCTGTGATTGCAGACATGAGCCATCACCCCTAGTTTCTTCTTTCTTTTTAAATGGACTTTACTTATTAAAGTAGTATTAGGTTCATAGGAAAGTTGGGCAGAAAGTACAGAGAATTTTTATATTGCCACCGCCCAACACATACACACAGCCTTTCCCACTATGGTATTTTTCTTTTTAGTTAAAAGAATTTAGAAAGATTCTGTAGGTGTTAAAGAAGACTGACTATTTTACATCCACAGGTATGAAAATTTAAGTTGGCTCCATCGTTTCCTCTGCACCTAGTTTCAGAAGACAATCAAGATATAGTCAACATTTTTGTGCATGTGTGGTAAATGGCTGTTATTCAAAAGCTGTATGCTCAGAGAAGTTGTCTTCTTATGCAGAAAAACATTAAAGACATTTTTAGATACGCAATAACTCAAAAACCTACCATGAAGTTGCTATTCCTAGGGTTAAAAAAAAAATCTTGGAATCACACCAAAATGTATTGAAACTATGACTTTAAGAACAGAATATTCATTGTTTAAACAGATTTGCAAGTCTTCCTTTCCTTGGTTTTACACTGGAATCCAGCTGAGCTGCGTGTTTTCCAATAGTTTTTGCAGGTGAAGCCAAGCTTGGTTTTCCTCATTGTTTACACTCCTAGTTGCCCTTTGGTCATAAGAATCCCTTTTTCAAGTCATATTCTTTCCATACATGGAAGCAACATCTGTTTCTCAATTACATGTTCATGCAATATGATAGCTATTTTTCTCTTTCGATACTTGTTAATTTAATTTGAACTCCTCTTCAAACAAAATTGTGAAAAGCAACAAAACATCCACTTATAAAATAATTTAATGACTTTTTCTACAGAGCTCATTTTGAATGACTTATACCATCTCATATTTTATAATTAGTGAATATAAACTACTTATTGATGTCATTTGTTTGCAAGTTGTAATTTATTTCTTTTCCATCTATAACCTGGGAATACAACAAGACTATCATTATAATTATGTTTATACCAAATATCTCCAGTAAAACCTGCTGAAAAAAAATTTCTTTTTTCTAGTTTGTTGATCTTCTGTCTAGTTTTTCTAGCTATTATTAAAAGTGGGATAGAAGTCTTCAACTATTATCTCTGAATTGTCTATTGCACCCTTCAATTCTGTTAGTTTTTGCCTCATGTATTTTGGGACTCTGTTCTCAGGTACAAATATGTTTATAATTGTTATTTCTCTCTGATGGATTAGTCTTGTTATTATATAATTTCCTTTCTTCCTCTAGTGAAAAATGTTAATAAAGTATATTTTTTCAGATATTCATTTGGCCACTCCAGCTCTCTTTCATTACCCTATACATGGTATATATTTTTCCATACATTTACTTCTAAGCTACTTGCGTCTTTAAATCTAAAGTGCTCCTCTTGACATGTTGTTGGATCATCTTCTTTTAATCCATTCTACCAATCTCTGTCCTAGAAATGAAGTATTTAATCCAATTACTTTTAATATAATTACTAATGTAATGTAAAATCAATTATTGTAATTACTATTTGTTTTCTGTATAGTTTATATCTTTTGTGTTTTTCTGTTTCTCCATTAATGTCTTTTTTGGTGTGAGTTAACTATTTTATAGTGTATCAGTTTAATTCCCCTGTTGCTGTTATATATTTCTTGAATTAATTCCTATAGGTTCCCCTGGGAGTTACAATTAATATCTTAATTTATAAGACTTTAGTTTTTATTAATATCAATTTAAATTTGGTAGTATGCAAAAATTTTGCTCCTATGGATTTTACTCTCTGCTGTAATATTGTTGTAATACCAATTTTAATGTTATATGGTACAAACAAATCAACATAATTTTATTATTATTTTGTGCAGTTGTCTTTTGAATTAGATAAGAGGATAAAATAGTTATAAGCAAAAAGTCTGTTTATGCTGTCTTTTATATTTACCTACATAGTTGCCTTTACCATATATATTTATATGGATTTAAGTTACTGTCTAGGTGTATTTTCATTTCACACTAAAGAATTCCCTTCAATATTTCCTTAAAAGATGCATGCTAGCAACAAACTCAGTTTTATCTGGAAATGTATTAATTTCGTCTTCATTCTGAAAAATAGTTTTGCTGAATTAGGAATTCTTGGTTCACATTCTTTTTCTTTCAGCACTTTGCGTGTGTTATTCCATTATCTTCTGATCTCCATGAGATATCAGCTGTTAATATTTTTGAGGCGATCTTGTACATGGCAATTTGCTTCTTTCTTGCTGCTTTAAGTTTCTCTCTTTGTCTTTGACAGGTTGATTATGATGTGTATTTGTCAAGATCTCTGAATATTTTCCACTTGGAGTTTATTGAACTCCAAGTTCAGATGTTCAGATTATTTTTTAACCAAATTTGTGACTTTTTTGGACATTATTTCTTTAAATATTCTGTCTGTCCCTTTTTTTCTTGCCTGTTTTCCTAGTACTACCATTAAGTGCATTTGATAGATTTAATGGTGTCCCACAGATATCTCTGAGTTCTGTTCATTTTTTCCCATTCTTTCTTAGTTTTGTACCTAAGCCTGGACAATCTTGATGGACTTACCTTAAAGTTCCCTGATTTTTCTTCTGCCACCTCAAATCTAATGTTGAGCCTCTAATAAACATCTCAGTTAAGTTATTGTACATAACTCTAGAATTTCTATTTGGTACATTTTTCTACTTCCTATCTTAAAAGATAATTTCTATTTAGTGAAACAGTGCTCTTATATTTTACTTTAGTTTTTTAGACATGGTTGCTTTTAGATTTTGAACATATTTGAACCAGGTGATTTAATGTTCTTTTTTAGTAAGCCTGAACTTTGGTCTTCCTCAGGGATAGTTTCGACTTACTAGCTTTTCCTGTACATGTGTCATAATGTACTATTTCTTTGCATGTTTTGTATTTGTTTTCATCAAAAATGGAAATTTTAAATAATACAATGTGGCAACTCAGGAAATCAGATTTCTCCTCCCCATCTAGATTGTGTTAATGTTGCTGAGTTCTTAAAACGTTGATTTGCCATTTTTGCTGGTGTTCTCATTGCTTTCGTGAAGGAGCATATCTTCAGGGGTTCTTATGCCACCATTCTGAATGTTGCCTCCCTTTCCCCATTTTTCTTACCTGGAATAAGAAAGACGTGTGGAGGTGGACTAGAACTTTGTTGCCAAAGGAACCACAGTCCCACAGTAAAATATCAGAGCAGGAAGATAAAAGGAGCCCAAATCCTTTATATTGCTGAACCACTGTATCAGCCTGCACCGAGTATTCCTATTTGTGGGAGATAAATAAATCTTTTATTTTTAAAATCAATGTTTGATTATTTTATTGTTACTGTTGTTACTTGTGACTGAAAGCAAGTGTATGGAACAGAACATTTGCTTAGTAAATCATCTTTCAGGGGCATTAACTGATATTCTCTATTATATATGACCGAATATATGTTCACTAGCAAATGATTCCTTTATGACAATTTCTGCTAATTTATTAAGTAGACTCATTAGAGATAAGACTATTGAAGATTAATCCTGAAAAATTCCATGGGCAGAGCAGAAGTGGAGGTGGAAATCGTTGAGAGTAGAGTATGAGGAGCAACTCAGAGGCAGAGTAAATAGGACACAAAAGGGGATGTTGAGGAAATGCTGGTGACACAGTGGGAGTTGAGCTGAGAAAGTTATGTAGAAGTCAGATATCCGAGGTCCTTCAATGGTATGTTAAGAAGTTTGGACCTGCTATCATTTGCAAATAGGTGGTGGAGTCTATGTTTCCCAGGAGTTAAGATACTTCTGGTCTTTGCTTTAAAAGAGGGAGAGCTACATACTACAATTTTTTTCCAGGTTGCCAGCTCTCAGCTGGCTGGAGAGATAGGATGCATCCAATTTCAATTTCGCTATCTCTTCTACAGAGGCATTAGAGCATGACCAGCAATAAAAATGGAAAACACACCCAACGGCTTGATAAATAACCCTTGAGAAATGTCAGCCTTCCCAGCGGCAGCTTCATCTCATAAATGATGGGAGGACTTATAAGAAGCGCCACTTGAAATTTGAATGCATGGGAAGTAAAATGAATAAAATATTTAATTTAAAAATTTCCCAATAACATACCATTGTTTCACAGAATTTCTCCACAATAATAATCTTATATGTCTCTTTAAAGCAGAAAACTGCATTATAACTATTGAACAATTTTTAGAAAAAGCTCCAACATTCGGAAATGAAAAATATGTGAATATTCAGTCTTTACATCATGAGAAATTTAGAAAACAGATTCTATAAAAGGGCAAGACATTAACATTCAAATCATCACTGTACATAAAGTTTACTTCAGAAATACATAGTAGAAACTATTAGAAGTCCCAAAGGGAAGGATTATTACAAACTGGCGCCTGCTTTTATGTTTAATCCAAGGACAGTCCATATGAGATACGTTATTTTCATATAATTAGCATTCCTATCCATGAACTCATTGAATTGAGAATCAGTAAACACATTTCTCTGGTAGGAGCATGTCATAGTTCTTAGGCACATAGTTTAAAAAGAAAGAGAGATAAACGGAAAGGAATCGACCTTTTGCCTATGGAGAAATTCTACTAAGAAGACAATGAATCCTGATGCTTGAGGGGATTGCAAGCATCCAGCCAAACCTGCCCTTCCTTCTGCCTTCACGTCTCCCTGCATATTCACTCTGCTCACAACTCCACAGACCTTCATCTCAGGGCTCTAGTCAGACCGCATGGCAGAATTGGTTACTTTCCATGACTACCTGCCTGTGTTCTAACCAGAAACCTCTGAAGCAATCACTTCTCTCTCTCTAAAGATATGAAACGTGGAGAGATTTTAGTTCCCACCCCGTAGCCTAGACATATGCTAGTTCTACATACTTCTGCTTCTATTACATTTGGTATAGGCCTGGAAAAAATGGAGAATTAACCTCTTTTTCCATTTGGATCTGGAAAAAAATGGGCTTTCCTTGAGAGTCATTTTAGATTCATGCCATCCAATTAGGCCTTTCTGCAGTGGCCATTGAACTCTTGACATGTGCAGGGCATGACTGAGGACCTTTGACTTCTTTTTATTGTTAATTAATTTAGATTTAAGTAGACCCCAAGGTACTGGTGGCTGCTATACTGGACAATGAAATTCTAGATACACTCAGATTATAGATTAAATCATAACTATTCTTAACATGCTGAAAAACATTATTTAATTTATGTTTGAATGCATACTTCTTTTGGTGCTTCAAGTGAAGATCTTCAGGAAAAATGGGTAAATTTCTTTCAAATCATGGATTTGGCTTTGTGTGTGTGTGTTTCTTTGTATTTTGTTTTTGTAAATTAAGCTTTAGTGAGGTGTAAGTTACAGAAGTTACAGAATTTCTGAATATAAAAAGATTCAGAAATTTTTAGTTACAATTCAGTGAGTTTTTGTAGATATTCTTGATCATATAACTACCACTATAATCATGATATAGAACATTTTCACCAATCCGAACGTTCCCTTCTGTGCCTTTCAGTTACTGAAAAGATATCAGTAGTTGCCAGGGGTGAGGGACATCATGTCCCTCACCCCTGGCAACTACTGATATCTTTTCTGTCACTACGACTTTGCTATTCTATTTTGTCTGGTGGTATCTCATTGTAATGTTTTTGAGTTTTTTCCATGTTGCTTTCTATTTAGTAGGTTTTTATTTTTTATTGTTGAATAATATTGCACTGTATGGGTTTATCACATTTTGTTTGTCCCTTTGCCTGTTGATGGACTTTTGGGTCATTTACTTTTTTGTGGCTATGAATAGCCTTCGTGTAAAAATAAGTTTAAAGTATAGTAAATGAATGCTTAGCACTGCAGGAAAATGTCAAACTCTTTTCCAAAATGGTTGTGGTTGTACTGTTTAGTATAACCACGAGCAACGTATGAGAGTTCTAGTTGCTGCATATCTTTGCCAACATATAACACAGGCACTCTTTTTATTTTCAGCCGTCGTAGTGCAGATGTAGTGGTGTATCACTGCAATTGTAGTTTGCATTTACCTAATAACTACTGGTGTGGAGCAGCTTGTGCTTATTAGGCACTGGTATATTTTCTTTGAAAAAAGGTCTTAATCTTTTGTCCATTTTTTTCGGTTTGGTTGTTTGTCTTCTATCATTGAGTTTGTAAGAGTTCTCTATATGCTATATTTTGGATACAAGATATTTATTGGAAATAATATTTATATTTAAATATTTATCTCTTTAAAGTATTTGCTTCTGTATGCAGATTGCCTTTTTCATTTTTAAATGATTGTCAAAGAGCAAAATATTTGAATTTGTGGAAAGCAAATCTTCAACCATCTGTGTTGTGCTTTTTGCTTATTGTCTTAGAAATTTATTCTTAGCCCATGATCATAAATTGTTTTTATCTTTTTTTCTAAAAACGTTGTAGATTTAGGTCTGACATTTAGTTCTATGATACATTTTAACTTTAGATTACAAAGTGAGGCAAAAGTTGAGATTTCCTTTCTTCTCTTTCTTTCTTCCCTTCCTCCCTTCATCCTCCTTCTCCTCCTCCTCTCCCTCCCCTTCCTTCTCCTCCTCTTCCTCCTTCTCCTCCTCTCTCTCTTTTTACATGTCTCCAGATGTTTCAGCAGCATTTGTTGAAAAGGCTTTCTTTTACACATTCATTTATCTTGGCAAAATTTTTATACATGTCTGAGTTTATTTCTTGACTCTATTCCGAACTCTCTATTTTACGTTAACCTCTATGCCCACTTTCATATCTTTAAAACATTTCTGTTAAAAGCATATGGAGTGGATTATGTTGTGTGCAACTAAGAATAATGACTGGGATATACCTTCCGTTTAACTCAATTATGAAAATTCTACACTGAAAAATTATTTATTTAGGCTTTTTAGAAGTCCATTTGGGGGTACATAGGATAATTTTATACTTTCAATTTTGTTGTGAAACCAAAACTGTTCTAAAAATATAAAGGCTATAAAAAGTCCATATGAAAATGTGTACTGAAAATATTAGAGATGCTTAGTGATAAAGCCAATATTAGGAGAGCATTGTTTTTCATATCAATACTACATTCTTTTAGTGTTTCTTATTAAACAACAAGCCAGTCTTTAGATTGTCCTTAGTTTTGTGACCTCTACTTCCCTACTGAGTGATTGTTGTGTGAGACCTTCTTCAGTGCTTCCACATATAAGAGGTGAGATAGGCCTGTGAATCTGAAGAGCTCTAGTATCTGCTCTTTGAAGTGGGGCTTGAAATGATTAAGCAAGTTTAAATCCACATAAACACTCAGAAATATAAGACAGACTTTTAAACTTTTTTTTTGAGGCAGGGTCTCACTCCTGTTGCTCAGGCTGGAGTATAATGGTGAGATTATGGCTCACTGCAGTCTCGACTTCCTAGGCTCAGGTGATTCTCCCACCTCACACTCCAGAGTAGCTGGGTCTACAGGCATGTGCCACCATGCCAGGCTAACTTTTTGTATTTTTAGTAGAGATGGGATTTCACCATGTTGCCCAGACTGGTTTCCAACTCCTGGGCTCCAGGGATCTGTCTGCCTTGGCCTCCCGAAGTGTTGGGATTACAGGCATGAGCCACTGAACCCAGTCGTCACATTTTCACATTGTTAATCTCATTGTTTATCTTAGAAAAAAAGTTAACTCTTTTGGGAGAGGTGAAATATTAGGCTACCATTAATTCGCTTAAAACAGGCAAGGCATTACAGATATTTTTGCAAAGAACATATACTTCAGAGAACTCCTAAAGTTTTCTTTGTTTCCAGAAAACACTTAGGAAGCGCCTCTCTTGATGTCTCTAACCATTAGATTATTCCATATGTTCCATCTTAAACAATTCACACCTATATCTTCTATCCTCACTCTAACATTTCATAGCACCTAGCCATATTGGTCTTAGGGCTAGGCAGAATCTACTATCTGGAGTTGACTTTATCTATCGACAATCTTTTATTTAGGAATTCAAAATATTCATTTGCCCACTATATCCATCCTGTTAATGTTCAGACATTTATGAATGAAGAGGGCTTTGAGAACAGGCTTGGTAGTTAAAACTCACATAGGAATGAAGACACACACAGAGACATATTTGTCTTCCTTCTTGTGCTCATCTTACAAACGTAGTGATATAGTTTGGGTCTGTGTCCCCAACTAAATCTCATGTCAGATTGTAATCCCCAATGTTGAACGTAGAGACTAGTGGGAAGTGATTGGATCATCGGGGCAGATTTCCTTTTTGGTGCTGTTCTTCTGCTAGTGATTGTGTTATCACAAGATCTGGCTGTTTAAAAGTCTGTGGCACCTCTTCCCTCCCTCTCTTCCTCCTCAACCAGCTATGTGAAGATGTGCCTGCTTCCCCTTTCCTTTCTGCCATAATTAAAAGTTTCCTCAGGACTCCCCAGCCATGCGTCCTGTACAGCCTGCAGTACAGTGAGTCAATTAAATCTCTTATCATTGTAAATTACCCAGTCACAGGTATGTCTTTATAGCAGTGCAAGAACAGACTAATACACATAGCTATCTTTCTAATGAATGGAATAAAACTGTTCAAAAGGCAACATCTGTTCCATAGGGTTGTTTGTTTGTTTGTTTGTTTTTTGAGACGGAGTTTCACTCTTGTTGCCCTGGAGTGCAATCTCGGCTCACCGCAACCTCCACCTCCCAGGTTCAAGAGATTTTCCTGCCTCAGTCTCCTGAGTAGCTGGGATTACAGACATGCACCACCAAGCCTGGCTAGTTTTGTATTTTTAGTAGAGACCAGGTTTCTCCATGTTGGTCAGGCTGGTCTCGAACTCCCGACCTCAAGTGATCTGCCTGCCTTGGCCTCCCAAAGTGTTAGGACTACAGGCATGAGCCACCACGCCTGGCCTCTTAGGTTTTATTTCTCTTTTTTCTATTTTAGCACAGTTTTGAGCATTCAGTTACTACTGAGGAAATAACAGTTGATTGAGTGATGTCTGCAGGACATTGAAGATTTTCATAGCCCTTTACGTAGAGTGGCGGGCTCATGTTCAGAGAGGGTGAAGGGAATGGATTTGATGGGTTGGCATGGGAAAAAGATCAAGGCAGTAAGGATCTGTGAACCAAACAACGGCATGATGAGCAGTGCCTCCACTGGGAAGTTTGCTGGGGAGAACAACCCAGCACTGAGAGACTGAGGTAATTTTTGTTATAATGAGGATGGACTGGAGGTTGGTGAAGTGGCTAATGGAAATATGGTGAGAGGCAATTTAGAGGGACTCAAGATCATAAGGTCCAATATTTGAGTAGACCTTGATGCTCATAATCACTTATCTCCCCTTGGAAGCAGCACAGGTTTTGAAGGCATGAGCTACATATGCTCATCATGTTAGACCAACAGATAACTTGTTCTCTCTACCCCTCAGTATCCCCTTAGTGCTTCAGTTCCATCTGAAAAGCAGGCTAATGCTTATAGTCCTGCTGACACATGGCTGTTGAGGGGATTTAAGGGGCGGTCCATGGTACAGTCCTGGCATGTGGTTACGTGCTCACTGTGTGACAGCAATGCTGTACCTCAGAGATGGTGTCTAAGCTGCTTGCAATACTCCCTTCTCTTCTCCCTGCCTCCAAGCAGGCTTGATCTAATTACTCTCTGTTCTGAGAACTTTGATATTATCTTATTACATGATAAAATAAATTATCTTACCCGGATTTCCTTTGCCGTCTTTCACAGTCTGGCCTCTGCTGTTTCATTCCTTATTAAAACCTTAATCCACAGTCCCTAGTTTCTAAACACATTCAGAAAGCGAAATATTTCATGACAAAAAAATATAGGGTACAGATAAACATAAAAAAGCCTGTAATACTGCAACATTTTTCATTCCCTAAACATGATCTATAATTTTGCTCTTTCTGCCTTTTTATCTGCAGTATCCTTTCCTCCAATCCTGTCTGAGCTTGAAGAACTCACTCCACGTAAAATCTTTCTGGAAACCCTCCTTAATCCCCCTATCACAGTGAATCTGCCTATATTAAGCTTCATAGAATGCCTTTGATATCACTCTCTCTGCATTTATATTCTTAGTATTTTGTACGTACTTCCACTGTATCACATATTGCATTTGCCTTGGATTATTGCAACTTGTAGAAGTCTTCTTGAGGGAAGGGACCTAATTTTCATATGGATTTTCCTCAAAGCACTTAATACAGTAAAGCATATAGTAGGACCTTATCAAATCTTTGATGAATAAGCTTAAGCTAGAAAAAGCATCAGGAATTCAGAATAGAGTGATGAAACCAGGAGCAATAAAATCATGTGAATTTTTCTGTTCCTTTGCTCAATCACCCACCCAGTACAGATGTTTCACAGAGGTTCATTTCCTAATGCAAATTGTTTGTTTACACAACAGGTGTGTTGGTTTCTCTCATTAGCATCTGTTAGTATGTATAATTTATTATATATGCATTTTATACACATTGGATTTCTTAATAAGTGTGAAATCCAGCTATTGCTTGAATGTCTTACGCCTCTCATTAGGAAATTAAATCCTAAGAAAATTCACCTTGAAATAAACCCACATACAATAAACTTACTCATCTAAATCAATAATTTATTAATAGCTCTTTCCTACATCAATATTTGATCATTATCTACAACAGAAATCCAGTTGCGTACATAGATATTTTTGTACATTTTGAGTACTTTTGTCTCATAAGTACATATACACACATGCATACACACAGGTACACACACACATACACACATGTACACACACATACACACATGTACACACACACATAGTCAACCCACCCATGTCTACTAAGTTGTGTCCTTAAATTGAGTGTCATTACTTTAATTTTAGGATATTAAAGTCTTGGTTTTTGTCTTTTAAACTTTAGCTGGAGTCAGTGTCCCAAGGTTTTCCTCCTGTTATATGATGTTGCTGGACATTGATCCAGGATTGAACTTCATTGTCAGTCTTCTAGCTTTAGTTAAGAAATCTAAAAAGTATCTTGACTTCTGGCCATAAACACATTGAGAGTTGTGAGTTACTTATAGTTAAAAGAAAGATGAAGACTAAAAGTGCTAAGTAGAGCTGTAACTAAGAAATAACTTAATACAACTTAATTTGACAAATTATGTATTTTTTTCACAAAAAGGAATAAATTGAACTGTGAATAAACTTTAAACATGTGATCAAAAATAAAGTTTGTTAAGAAAAATAAGTCTATATCTTGAAATGGCAGATGGTTACGTCCACAGTGCTAAGCTGGTGGTAGAGAGATGGGGTGGGGAATGAGGAGGTTTGGGTGGGGCTATGTTGAGAAAGACCATTAGAAGAAAGAATTAGTTGTACCCAACAAATAAAGGGTTCAACAAATATTGAAGCGAAGGATAGGTGACCGTTGGGAGACAAACTCTTCGGCATCTTGATAAATAATGTGGTTTTGCCAGTGGAGTTACAAGGAGTTGGCACTGGGGGCACATCCGCTGTGATAGTGGGGCATTCGTCCACAGGTTTACACCTTTAATTTTTCTTTATGGATATTTTCTATCTTAATAATAATATTTATAAATTTTATACCTTTGCAGAGCCAATGGAATAGTGATTTGCATTTTACCAGAACTAATTTCATATGCTTTCATATTTTATGTTCTGTCATGTTTTTAAAATACACATATTTTTTTCTCATGCATTGTGATTTTAAGTTGTTCTAGTGCAAAGTTGGGTGTAGGGGATAATATTGTGAACTCCCTGTAACCTCTGTAGTAAGCCCCATGTGTAATTAGGACCATGGACCACACAGTCATGGTAGTTCATTTCTAAGTTTTCTTTCAACACTGAGTTTTATAATTTATATTTCCTTCTCTTTCACTGTGAGGTGGTCCTTAATACATTGAACACTATGAATATTTTTGTACAAATTGTAAAGAAAATACTAGAAGTAGTACATGGTCAACAAAGAATTTGATTAAGGACAATATTTTATCACATATGAACTGTAAATAGAATGCCTATGTTTTCCATCCTGTTACTTTGGTTTATATCATTGCATCTCTTGCACCTTTCATTATTTAATTCTTGAAATTGATTTGCCATGGATACATAGAGTTTTAAATATTTGATGAAAGATTTATAAGGGATACATTTCTGGGTTTTCCAATTTAATTATGCTTTTAAGTTTATGTAGGTATTGGAAGTCATTTGATATGATACTGATACAGGAAATAGAAAAAATATTTAGGCAGATAGTGAGGGTAAAAGAGTCCTTGGCAGAATTTCCCTTTTAGCAAAAAGCAGCCTCTCAAATATTTCTTTTTTAACAAGAGCAGCCTGAAAAATCACGCTGCAGACATAGATAAGAAAGCTGGAAGCTTGCAAGGGTGAATGCTGGTAGCTGTGCCAATAGAAAAGGGCTACATGGGGGCCAGGTGTGTTCAACATGGAGTCTCCATCTTCCCTTTTCTTTGTCACCATGTGCACAGTAAAGGAACAGGTAACATGGCACTGGCCAGGTAAAGAACCAGTCTGCATAATAAAAGATTAGGGTGTGGGTGGCCAGTTTTTCACACCTTATGCAAATGGCACACCTGGACTGACCAATCTTTCATACCCTATGTAAATCAGACACTGCCTCCTCAAGCTCATCTATAAAACTCCTTGCATTTGCCATGGACCAGAAAACTCACTCAGGACCCCTCTCTGTAGGAGAGAGCTTTTCTCTTTCTTATGACTATTAAACCTCTGTTCCTAACCTCACTCCTTGTGTGTCTGTGTCCCTGATTTCTTTGGCGTGAGACAACGATCCTTGAGTATTACCCCAATGATGCTACTTTAATACTGATATGGTTTGGCTGTGTATCCACCCAAATCTCATCTTGAATTGTGGTTCCCAGAATGCCCATGTACAGTGGGAGGAACCTGGTGGGTGGTAATTGAATCATGCAGGTGATTAACTCCATGCTGTTCTCATGATAGTGAGTGAGTTCTTATGAGATCTGATGGTTTTATAAGGGACTTTTCCCCCTTTTGCTCAACATTTCTCCTTCCTGCTGCCATGTGAAAAATGATGTGTTTGCTTCTCCTTCTGCCATGATTGTAAGTTTCCTGAGGCCCCCCCAGCTCTGTGGAACTGTGAGTCAATTAAATCTCTTTTCTTTATAAATTACCCAGTCTCTGGTATCTCTTCATAGCAACATGAGAATGGACTAGTACAGTAAATTGGTACAGCAAAGAGTGGAGTGCTGCTGTAAAGATACACAAAAATATGGAAATGACCTTGGAACTGAGTAATAAGCAGAAGTTGGAACAGTTCAGAGGGCTCAGAAAAAGATAGGAAAATGTGGGAAAATTTGGAATTACACATTTGGAAAACGTGGGAAAGTCTGGAACTTCAACTTCCTTGAATGGCTTTGACCAAAATGCTGATAGTGATATGGACAACGAAGTCCAGACTGAGATGGTCCCAGATGGAGATGAGGAACTTTGGAACTGGAGTACAGGTCACTCTTGCTATGCAAAGAGACTGGTGGCATTTTGCCTCTGCCCTAGATATCTGTGGAACATTGAACTCAAGAGAGATTATTTAGGGTATCTCACAGGAGAAATTTCTAAGTGAAAAAGCATTCAAGAGGATGCAGATAATAAAAGTTCAGGAAATTTGCAGCCTGAAAATATGATAAAAAAAGAAAAACCCTTTTTCTGGGGAGAAATTCAAGCCTGCTGCAGAAATTTGCATAAGTAACAAGGAGCAGAGTGTTAATCACCAAAACAATGGGGAAAATGTCTCCAGGGCATGTCAGAGAGCTTCATGGCAGCCCCTCCAATCACAGGCCTGGAGGCCTAGGAGGGAAAAATGATTCAATGCGCTGGGTCCAGGGCCCCCCTGCTCTATGCAGCCTTAGGGCATGATGGCCTCTGTCCAAGCTGCTTCACCTCTTGCTGTGGCTAAAAGTGGCCAATGTACAGTTCCAACCATTGCTTCAGATGATGTGAGCCCCAAGCCTTGGCAGCTTGCATGTGGTGTTGAGTCTGTGGGTGCACAGAAGTCAAGAATTGAGGTTTTAGGAACCTCCCTCTAGATTTCAGAAGATGTATGGAAATGCCTGAATGTCCAGGCAGAAGTTTGCTGCAGGGGCAGAGCCCTCATGGAGAACTTCTGCTAGAGTAACGTGGAAGGGAAATGTGGGGTCAGAGCCGACACAGGGTCCCCACTGGGGCACTGCCTAGTGGAGCTGTGAAAAGAGGGCCATCATCCTCCAAACCACAGAACAGTAGATCCACTGACAGCTTGCACTGTGCATCTGGAAAAGCCACAGACACACAATGCCAGCCCATGAAAGCAGCCAGGAAGGAGGCTGTACCCTGCAAAGCCACAGGGGCAGAGTTGCCCAAGATCATGGGAGCCCCTTCTTCCATCATCATGCCCTGGATATGAGACGTGGAGTCAAATGAGATCATTTTGGAACTTTAAGGTTTAATGACTGCCCTATTGGATTGTGAACTTGTATGGGGCCTATAGCACCTGTGTTTTGGCCAATTTCTCCCATTTGGAACAGGTATATTTACCCAATGCCTGTATCCACATTGTATCTAGGAACTAATGAACTTGCTTTTGATTTTACAGACTTATAGGCGGAAGGGGTTGCCTTGTCTCAGATGACACTTTGCTGTTGGACTTTTGGGTTAATGCTGGAATGAGCTAAGACTTTGGGGGACTGTTGAAGGCATGATTGTGTTTTAAAATGTGAGGGCATGAGATTTGGGAGGGGCCCAGGGTGGAATGATAAGGTTTGGCTGTGTCACCATCCAAATCTTATCTTGAATTGTAGTTGCCATAATCCCCACGTGTTGTGGGAAGGACCCGGTGGGAGGTAATTTAATCATGGTGGCTATTACCCTCATGCTGTTCTCATGATAGTGAGTGAGTTCTCATGAGATCTGATGTTTTTATAGGGGGCTTTTCCCCTTGTGCTTGGCACTTCTCCTTGCTGCTACCATGTGAAAAAGGATGTGTTTGCTTCCCCTTCTGCATTAACAAGCAATACTTTTTTAAAAAAAATAACTAATTTTGTCTGACCATTGGACTTACACTCCCATCCAAATTCAGAGTAGCCTTAAATCCAGATTGAAGATGTGAAATACCATTTTCCACTGAAAGAGATGAGGGCTCCTTAGAGCAATGGCTGATTCTAGGTCTATGGGCAGTATAAGCTTTGGAAACTTTTTTGTGCCAGAAAGCACAGAAGCCATCAAAGACCACTAGTGTAGCCTCCCTTGGAGTTTTTCCATTGTTAAAATTAGGTTCTCTGCTTGGTTTTTATCTCTGTTTGCCTCTGGCTGCAGGAGTGATCATCTATTTAAATACTATCAAGGAAATTTACTGACCTACACATTATGCTGTAAATTGTAATTAATATTCTGACCCTGTGGCTTACTCTTTTTAAGTAATCCACAGCTCTTAGCAATATCCACTCAAACCCTCACTCCTCATAATTTCATTTCCCCATATATTTTTTTAAGACAAGAGAAACTCCAAGAGCAGGTGTGTGAATAGTTCCTGGTAAACACCTTCTGTGTGGATCGGCCTCCAGATGATAACAGGTGAAACCTGAATAATTACAGGGGTGCTTGCTAGGTGCTGTCCATGCTCCAGCTACTGCCAGGCACAGACACTTCCTTACTTCCAGGTCTGTCCAGGATCTGAGTCTAAAATTGCAGCCTGGGAGTTTTGTCTTAGGACTTCCACTGTCACCAGCTGCATTTGAGTGCAGTTCCTAATAAAGTACACAGTGCATGTGCCTTATTGAGAGGCTGCTCTTCAGGAAAAAGTTGAGGTTGTGAAGCAAGACAGGGCAGGGGCAAGAGCTGAGTGAGCCACTCTCAACCACAGCCGCACCTTGGCTGGACACACGGTGCTCTGGGGATTGGATCACACCAGAGACTTGCCTTCACTCCACCCATGGGTCAAATGGGCCAGTGTTTTATGCCCCCAAGTCAGGCAGTCATTGGCTTTAGGGCAACAGGTGTGAAGTGGGTTCTTCTACAGGTTCTGGGTGGTTCTCCAGAAAAGGGGACAACCACGAGCCTTTGTCAACCATTACTCATGGCAGCCGGGGTGATCACTGCACTTGGAGGTCACTTCAGCATCTTCCACAATCAGTTAGCAGAAAATACAGGACACAGAGAAACATGTCATATCCAGAATGTAGGGGTATTCATATACCAGGGCTGCCATAACAAAATACCACAGGATGGATAACTTTAAAACACAGACATTTATTGTCTTACATTCTGGAGGCTGGAAGTCCAAGATCAAGATCAAGGTGCCAGCAGGCTTGGTTTCTCCTGAGATTTCTCTCCTGGGATTGCAGGTGGCCACCTTCTCTGTGCGTCCTTACATGGCCTTTTATCTGGGCATCCCTGGAGTATCTCCATTTTCTTATAAGGACATCACTCATGTTAGTTTAAGCCGCCATCCTTATCATCTGTCTATTTAAACTTAATTACCCACTCGAGCCTTATCTCCAAATGCAGTCACATTCTAAGGTACTGGGGGTTAGGGCATGCATATATAATTTTGTGGGTACACAGTTCAGTTCATAACAGTGGGAAAGTCAACAGGAAAAACAACCCAATGCCATCACACATTTCAAACAGTTAAAATGACATGTTGTCTGAATTTGCTTTAAAATAGTCTGGATTTGCTCCCTTTCCAAAACCACAGTAGACAGTGTATTGAAAGAATTGAGGTAAAAGTCTTAGACATTTAAAAAATTGGGATATAGGTTCATTTTACCACTTTCTCTAGTTTTGTTCAAATGGCCATAAAAATGTTAATTAAACATAATTAAGAAATTAGAAAAATATTAAACTTGTTACATGAAATGAACCTATTCTTTGCATTTTAAAGGAAGGCTAGTAAGGGTTTCTATTACTAGCTAAGTACAATCTCCATTCATCTATCCGACTGGGAAATTCCTTTTGAGTAGCAGTGATAAATTCTTAGGTTTCCTTTCTTTTTGCATCATTGGACCCTTTAACATGCCTGACCATAGCCTTTGGAGTGCCAACCTAAAGCATGATTCAGAATAGGTTTTCCACTTATAATTCACCATACACTCATCATACTCCTTGATCTTACTATATTCTATCATGCTTTAGGGTTGTTAATGCATTTTCTTTATCTTTCCTGCTAAAATGTGAGTTCCTTGAAGGCAGGAAGCAAGTTTTACTTATATTTTATGTCTAGTATATTTTTCACAGGGTCTTGCACAAAATAAATGCTCAATACATATGTGAATTAGCTACTGATTAGAATGACTGACTCATATATGTAATATATACATATTTAGTTCTTTATAAATATTATGCATTTCAAAAACTGTTCGAATGCATTATTAGTTTCTATTGAATAAACTTGGGTAATTTCCCAAGGATGTTTTCCTGAATAATTTTGGCTGGTGAATTTTCTGTATCATATCCATATACATAGTCATGAGCTAGAATAGGTTCAGATAATAGCTATCATGTACAATTTGATAAGCACAGGAAAAAAGATAGCTGAGCAATTATTGAAATTTCTTCTGAATATGCCAAATAAGTATATTTCGCAGAGCTGAGATCACCAGTATATGAAGTGCTCAGGGACAATGAAATATATGCATTAAGTTAATTATCTATTAAGGAGTCATGCTTTTTAAAAGGGCCTTCCCCAGTTGATTTCATATAAGGTATATCCAAAGCTTTAAATTTCCTGTATGCTAAATGCCAGTGAGATGCCTGAAGGGTCTCTCTCTCTCTCTCTGTCTCTCTCTCTGTGTTTGTTTCTCTCTCTCTCTCTCAGCATAGGTGTAGGCACAGAAGCTTGGAAGCTAAGGAGCAGATGGGCATGATAATTGCTGAGGCACTGGCATATCAGCCTGGCTTTCAAATCAGACGTGTTCTTTCCATCCCATCATCTACCAGATGACAGTGAGCAGCCTCTTGCCTGCTAGTGCCTGGCACATGTAGTTTTTTTGATAAGAAGGGCACAGTTGCTACCCACTGAGGTCAGCCATGCCTAATTTCATCTGTAAGGAGAAATGCATGGTCTTGTTTCTCAAACACAAAATAAAAAAAACAAACTCAGAGGCTAAAATGTCTTGATAGAGTTTAAGATTTCATTTTAGAGCTTGAGATTATTCCCATGCAGACTTTGGTTTCTTTCTGCTTTCAGAAGATCTCTGTTGGCAGCCTGGATATGGCTGGGCTTGTTGATAAAATTCAGATTGCAAAACTAAGTCCCAGCTGGAAAACAGGTGCTGTAGCTTTTCGATATTCTCTATTGCGACGCATAGGTTTTCTTCTTTCACAGTTTCTGTGTTTACTGTGTTCTGACCCTTGTTTGATTTCTTTAGTGGCAGCCTGAAAAATCTGACATGGCTGAAAAGTGTCATGTTCAGAAAGATTAATGGCTAGACTTTTAAATTTTAAAAATCTTTAATAAATAAGGAGTCCTAGGGAATCTTTCTGAATTTCCAACTGAAGGACCCGGATTTTAAATCGATGTTAATTTATTGTTATTTCAACTATTTTTGTGTCTTTTTACTAAACAGACAGGTAAAAACCTAACAATTACATCAGCTTTGGAAAAGGGCTAACAAATATCTCATGACACAAAGTGAACCCCCAATTACCTTTGACTTGCATTTCCTTTTTTATCTCTATTTTCTACTTGGATTCAACTGTGCGAAAGCAGCAGCAACAAAAACAAAAACAAAACAAAAGAAGCCTCATTATTTCCTACACACGTGAGCCTCACAGGCCCCACACTACAGTTCTGATATGAAATCTGTGGCACTTTTTTCACTTTTTATCTCCAGAAGTTCAGGCAGATGGAAAAGTCATTTCATGTGGGAGGAAAACTCTTTCAAAGCACAAATAGCTGAAATAATAACTAAAGAAATTCAGCAAAGAGGTAAACTTCGAGGTGCAATTACTTTTCCTTTTTCTTCTTCAACTTTACCAAGTATGAAAATTCAGAGAGGTGAAGACATGGCAGAAGAAAAAAAGCAAAAATATAAAGTTTCTGTTTAGAGTGGTGCGTTAAAAGCTTCAGCTTAGTGCACTGTAGAAATCACAATGATTCCAGTGTCTCCATTAAAAAATGCTACAAGAAGACCAGGCGCGGTGGCTCACGCCTGTAATCCCAGCACTTTGGGAGGCCGAGGCGGGTGGATCACGAGGTCAGGAGATTGAGACCATCCTGGCTAACACGGTGAAACCCCGTTTCTACTAAAAATACAAAAAAAAAAAAAAAAATAGCCGAGTGTGGCAACGGGCGCCTGTAGTCCCAGCTACTCAGGAGGCTGAGGCAGGAGAATGGCCTGAACCCTTGAGGCGGAGCCTGCAGTGAGCTGAGATCGCGCCACTGCACTGCACTCCAGCCTGGGCGACAGAGAGAGACTCCGTCTCAAAAAAAAAAAAAAAAAAAAAAAAAGCTACAAGAAATACACATTTTTTCCTACTTCTTTAGTTCCAATGATGGAAAAAAGTTTGAAGAATATTCAAAGAAAATATTGTTTATTTTTTACTAATTAGAAGAGGAGAAATTCCTTTTCTTATTTTCCTCTAAAATATAAAGAAAACACACACACGCACATCATAAGTGCTGGTTGTGACAGCTCTCCAATGGCATTAATGGATTGTATCAGATGGCACAATGTAGGAACAATTCTGCCAAGGAGTGATTTGTCGGTTTTCTTGCTATTCCAGGAAGTTGAAACTCTACCAAAAGGACGCAATTAGTTTCTGCAAGAGAAACAGGTAATTCTTTTGTGAGGTTTCTGAAGTATGACAAAACTCTCTATACTGTATCAGCAGTGGGCTGTTTAGTGGAAATATCTTTTCATTTTTTTAAATCTGTTGTTCTGATAGACCAGAAATACCCAATTTGTAAAAAAAAAAAAAGAGTCCATTTTGTAAGCAAGAGGGAGGTTGTATAGCAAGAGGGAATGAGAAAGACTAGGAAGGTGCGAAAGTGTGTGGAAAATACAATTCTTTCCAGGTTTCATTGGAATATATTTCAAAATGCCACAAATGAAATTTAAGGCAAAGTTTTCCAGAGAAATCATAATTCAAAAAACACTCAAGTCTTTGGATTTTATATGAGGGCTACTCTGAGCTATTAATGTTAGAAAAAATATCATTTTGATCTAACTCACTGCTAATGTCTCATGCTGCGGTCAGTTATTGCAGCTTACACCAGGAGAGAGTGTGTATGAGCTGTGGTTTAGCCTTTTCCTATCGCATTTTTATTTTGTTGCTTTTATTTTCTAGCTCTGGCATAGATAAGAATAAGAGTAGCCATATCACCTACAATTAAAATGCAAACATCCATTTTTATGGAAATTTTTTCATCTAAGAGAAAGTTTCCCTTGGCAGTGGTGGCACATTATATATGTTGAAAATAAATAACAAGTTATGGCTGGTATTACAGAGAAGAAGTCACAAAAAGGTCTGTGATCCCTGTGGACCAAAAGAGATAAAACATGAAACTGCAATTAGCAACTAATGCAAGCCCCGGAGAGGCATGAAGAATGAAGAGAGGTAGACACATTTTTCTTTTGGAAGGATTTTAAGAGAACTAAAGCAAAGAAGGACATTAAAGTGGTGAGATAATGGTTTCTTTTATATGTCTACCAGGATAACAGTGTCCATTGTTATCTGTGTTAAAAACATTCATTAAACATCTAATGACGCACTGAAGGATAATAATACTAATTCAATATTTTAGCCCAGAAATCATTTATAAAAGTTGTCAGCACCATAAAATTCATCCTGCAAAGTTAAAATGGGTTCGATCACCATTTGACAGAATAAGCCATTTCATTCTTTTAAAGCAGTGCCTACCACTATTTTAGGGGATGCAGAGTCAAATTCTCTGTGGAAAAAAAATAAAAGAATGAATTATTATGGAATGTTGTAATATTCTCAGTGTCACTGAAATCATAATACCAAGTTTATTTTTTTATTTCAAAAGAACAAATTTAATTTTGAGGATCATGGAAACATTCAACCATGCTCTTGAAAAAACTGGCAGGAGTAGCAATGTCATAAAACTAGGCTTAGGATAGCTGGCTTATGGGAAGAAATCACACAGCATGTAAATGTTATAAATATATGATTAGGAATTTACAGTAATGATGTTACAATTTGTATTGCCCTGTAACCAACCAAAAGGCAGTAAGCAATCATAAGCATGCATCCGAATGAATGATCACGTGGGAGGAAACCCAGGTATCCACTACCCGGGCCTGAAACTGCACACTCTGCTCACCTTGGAGGCCCCTTCCGGTCCTCTCATAGTTACAGCCTACCCTCCTTGACTATGATGGGCAGGTACCACCTGTTTTGAAGATGACACCAAAGGAACCATTTGAATGTATCCTTTGTATCCTGTTCTGTCACTGAATATTATGTTTGCAGGTTTTATTCAGGTTTTTGTATGCAGTGATTTTTTTTTCATTACTTTGTAATACTCATTGTATTTCACAGTTTATTACCACATACCATGATTTTTTTTTATCATGAGAAAATATCAGCTAAACCCAAGTTGAGGAACATTCTACACATCTTGCTGAAGACTCTTGGCACACATGTGCATGCGTTTACATTGGACATATCCATTAGAGTGGAATTGCTGTTCATAAGGCTTGCATACATTTAATTTTAGTGGATAATACCTGTTTTATAAAGTGGGTTCCGATTTACCACCACTGGAGTGCGACTGTCCCTCCACAACCCTGCCCCATGTCCTGTGAGTCTTACAAATTTTAGCCTTTCTGGTGGGTGTGTAGTGATATTTAATGGTGGTTTCAATTAGAAGTGCCCTGATGACACTGATATAAAGCACTACTTCATTGGCTATCCTTTTTGTGAAGTGCTTGTTCAAGCCATTTGTCCATTAATTCCACACTCATTTTCTTTAGTAAGTTTCTAATGATTATGGGATTGATTCAGGACTGAGAACTTGTTAGCTATGTGTGTTGCAATAACTCCTACGTGTTGGTTTACGTTCAGTTTCTTGATGTTTTCTAATGAGAAGAAGTTCTTATTTGCCAGTTTTTTCCTTTATGGAAAACGCTTTTGTGTTCTATCAAGAAATATCTGCCTACCCCAAGGACATAAAGATATTCTCTTCCATTATTATCTAGAACTGTACTGTTTAATATAGCAGCCACTAGCCACATGTGGATATTTAAACATAAATGAGGTAAAATAAAAATAAAGTAAAAATTCAGTGGTTGAGTTACACTAGCCATATTTCACATGCTCAAAACCAATATATGGCTGTGGCTACCCTCGTGGAGGGTGCAGATGTGAAGCATTTCCATCACCACACAAATTCTATCAGGCAACACTGCTCAAGGGGCTCTGTAAGAAGGGTTTTCCTCTCACATTTAGATTGGCAATGCACAAGGTACAGATTGCTTGGTGGTAAGCCAGGAGTCATTTTGCTTTTCCCCAAGTGGATATCCAGTTGACCAGGCATAATTTTTTGAAAACACTGCTCCTTCTCTACTGCTCTGTGGTACAAACTTTGTTGTAATAAAAGTGTCCACTTATAAGAGGCTCTATTTCTGGCCTCTTACCCTGTTCTGTTCTATTTCTATCTATCCTTGTATCAATAACGTGTTCTCTTAATTACTATGACTTTGTAAACTTCTCAAAACCCAGTAGCTTATCTTAATGTTGGCCATTTTCATTTATATACATTCTGGAAACAACTTGTGAATTTCCACCAAAATATTAATTTTCTGGAAACTCTATTAGGGCTTCATGTTATCTACCTAACAATATGGGAAAGAACTAACATCATTGCATATATTTCCATTTCCATTTATTTTATTGATGTTATATATTTTTCTGTATAGAAAATTGACATGTGATTAACATGACGGTGTCTTGCCCATTTTTAATAGAAATACACATTATTTTAAAATGCTATTTTGGTATTTTGTTCATTTTTTAAAACATTTGAATCAATAATAAAGTTATAGAAAAGTTCGAAAGAAAGATATTTTATTCTCAGAATCTTATGAAAGTAGTTTGCTTACCTGATGTCCCATTACCCCTAAATAGTTCAGTGTTCATTTCCTGTGAACAATGATGTTCTCCTACATAAACACAAAATCTCCTACAGCTATCAAAATCAGAAAACTAACATTGGCATAGTAATAATATTTAGTCCTCAGATCCTATTTACGTGTCTAGTTCTCCCAATAACATCCTACAGCAAAGTAATCGAGCTGAGATTTACATGTCGCATTCAGTTGTCAGAAAGAGATCCTTAGTTATTGACTTTCATTAACTTGGCACTTTTGTGGATCATGGCCCAGTGGTTTTGTAGAATGTTCCTCATTGGGATTTGTCTGATATTTCTTCAGAAATGGATTCAGGATTCGTATTTCATCAGAAATAAAACTGTAGTGATGCTCTGTTGTTCTTTTGTATTCTATCAGGAGGCTTGCAATTTTGATTTGTTCTATTACTAATGATTACTGCCTTGATTACTTGATGAATGTGGTGTCTGCCAGGCTTATCCACTGTGAAGTTATTCTTTTTTCCCTTAGTAATTAATGAGTGTTTTCTATGGGGAGGTATTTTCAAATGAGGTAAATATCTTGTCTGTATGTATTTAGAGATGCACATCATTGAAGATTCATAGTTTTCTCTTTTACCTAGTGGATTAGAATTCCATTTACTTATTTAATTTATTTTGATGCTCAAATTGTCCTCAATTTGGCCAACAGGTATACCTTCAAAATGGTTCTTTCGATACATTCATTGTTTGAGAGCCTTTTTGCTTTCAAGAGTACATAACAAGATATTCATGGGACATTTTTTACTTCTCCTGCACCGACCTAAGAATCAGCACTTTATCCAAGGATCCATCATTCCTTTTTGTAGATAATAGTATTAAAATGTATATTAATAGTATTAAAATGTATATTGATAATGTAAGATCTGTGCACCACTGGGAATATGGCCACTCCTAGGCCTGCAATGGGCAAAGTTAGGGAATATGTAGAAGTTTATTTATGCATGTATGTATATATGTGTGTGCGCACATCTCTATCTTTATAGATTGAAATATATTAGTATGCACTGACATTTCTAATTCTGATCCAACATTACAGTGTTATTTTAGCTTTCTTCTCTTTTTCCATATTTGTTCATTCATTTTGCGACATTACAAAACCCACTGCCATTCTTTTGAATTGATTTACTTATTTGGTCCATCCCCAGCTGTAACTAATATCCTATTCTGCCCAGCACCCTTTACCCTTTGCATAGGTGCCTTCCTCATCCTATTTAGGGTCCCTGCAGGTTCGGGTCCCATGGGCCAGCCTATCTGTCTGCCTGGCTTCTCTGCTTAACCTGTTTACTACACCTGGGCTCTGATGTCCCACTTTATGTCACCACAATGCTTGGACACCCTCTGCACCTTGCTTGTACTCTGAGCCGCCCACCAGGCCTCCTCCTCTGCAGAGGCCTGAGGCCACATGGTGGATGCTTCCTATGGGTCTCTTTCTTCCTCCTGCTGCTCTGGTTCCCAGATTCCGCACCAAGCCACCCCTTCCCCAAGCAGACAGCAATGTTGCTCTGCCATACATGACGGCTTTAGTACTGAATTGTCTAGGAAGGAAAAGAAAGTAAAAGGGAATAGGTACCTTTTCACATTTTGTTATTGTTTGTTGCTGGTATGAAAAATGTTTTTAAATTTGGCATTTTTACTTTTATATTTTTATATTTGTAGCAAAGTTCCTAGATAGGTTCCTTACTAAACATACTTATTAATTCTAATACATTATTCATAGGTTCTTTTGAATTTTCCAATACATAGTTATACTTCTTGTAAATAATTTTAGATTTACTTCCACAAGTTTAATTTGAATTCTACAGATTCAATCTCTATGAATGAACTCTAATAGAACAAAATCAAAGAGATGTAGATCTAGATACATCATAGTCAAATTTAAAAAACTCAATGTAGAAGATATTTTTATTCATATAATTTCATTTCTGTTCCTTCCATTACTCCATTGTCTAAGATTTGTATATAATTTTGTTGGTAGGTAACCTTTAACATATTCCACATCAGAGGGAAACCTCTCAACATTTTGCTATTGAATGTGTTTTGCTGACGTATTTTTAGACTCTTTATCAGATTATCACTTTCTATTGCTAGTTTGCTGAAAGATTTTTATCATAGGTATATTATAAAAATGTTTTCTGAGTGTATTGATTTAATTTTATAAATTCCCCTACCTATTTTATTGATTTGATGAATTACATTGATTCTCAATATTAAAATGACCTTGCTTTTAGAATCATTTCGATATATCTCGATGTATTACTCTTTTTATTTTCTGCTTGATTCGATTTGCTAATATGTTGTTTAGAATTTTGCATCTATGTTCATGAGTGATATTGATCTTAGTTTCCTTTCTTGTAATGTTCTTAGGTTTTGTTGTCAAGATTCAGATTTTTTTTACTATTCTTCAGAAGACTTTGTATGAGATTGTCCTTATTTCTTCCTTAAAAATTTGAAGAATTCATTGGCAATGCTCTCTGGAACCAGAGTTTTTGTTTTGAGAAAGTTTTAATTGTGTGTTTACTTACTTTAATTTTAATAGTGCTATTCAGGTTTTCTATTTTTATTTGAATATGTCCTGAAAAGTTTTGCTTTTTTAGACATTTTCTAATTTTGTCTAAATGGTTAATCTTATTGGTCACCACCAAAATAATAGCAAACTGCTGGCAATATCTCAGTTGTGTAAGCCTGTGATTTCAGTGAAGGCAAAGAAGCCCCTGGGAGGGCTTTTTAAAGGAAACCTAGACACTAACAAGGAACCGTGAAACACTCTGAAATATTCTCTGTGACTTAAAAGGCTGCATGCATGGGCAGGGATGTGTGAGCATGAGTTGGGGCATTACCAGGAAAGACACTGGAAAGGAGCAGGTCCCAGTCATTCACCTCTGGCTGACTGAGGTTATGCTTGGCAGGATGTAAAAGCTAAGGCTGTCTTGCAAACTGCCTGAAGTTTGCAGGCATGCCTTCCCATACACATCCACTGGCAAAGAGTAGAAGACATACAGGCAACACAAAAGGAAGTCTTCCAACCATCATTGGTTGCCCACTAAATTATAGTGATCCAGGTGTGATTCCTAGGAAGCTAGTGTTAAAAATAAGAACAAGTATATTTTTTGAAAAGGGTAAGCAGAGAATTCAACTGCCGCATATTTCAATATATAGAACCTACAGACTTAGTATAGGAAAGTAGCTAACAAGCAAGCTGCAGCAAGAAAAATAAAACCAGCAATGGAAACAGATCTTAGGTGTGTGCATATGTGTGAAGGAATCTAATACCAGTATTGTCACAATATATTAACTAAAATGTCCAGGTTCCAACAAAAAAGTTTGAGATATGAGAAGAAACAAAATTTTGCCACATTAGCAGTAAAAAAGCAGTCAACAGAAAAATGTCCTTAAGGGGTCTCAGATTAGTAGATAAAGAATATGTAAAGAATTAAAGAAAGTGTGATAATAACGTCTCACCAAGTGGAAAATAGTGATAAAGAGATGGAAATTACATATACAAAAAAGAACCAAATAGAAATTTTGGAGAGGAAAAGTAAATAACTGAAATGAAAACAACACTAGATGGGCTGAGCAACAGATTTGAACTAGCAGGAGAAAACTGGTGAACTCAGAGATCTGTCAATAGAGATTACACAGTCTGAGGAATGTAAAGAAAAAAGAGTGAAGAAAGATAAACAGAGCTTCAGAGCCTTGTGGGACACCACCAAGTATATCAGCGTATGCATAATAGGAATTCTAGTAATATGAGGAAGATAAAGAGTCCGAAAGAGTACTTAATAAAAACAACATCTAAAAAATTCTCAAATTTGTTGAAGAATATTAACCTACACACTCAAATTCTAAGTAGAACAAATCAAGTACAATAAACTCTCAGTGAAATAAACTCAGAGATCCAGACTTTGACATATCATAGCCAATCTGTCAATAGTCAAAGACAAAGAAAAAAAAAAAAAACCCTTGAAAGTATCAAGAGAAAAATGACTAGAAACCCTGGAAGGCATAAGGCAGTGGGTTTACATAGTCAAAGTGCAAAAAGAAAAAGACAGTCTACTAAAAATTCTAGATTCAGCAAAACTGTTTTGAAAAAACAAGAAGAAATTAAGTAATACCCAGAAAAATAAAAACAGAGAAAATTTGTCACTAGCAAACCTGCTCTACAAGAAATTCTGCAGGGAGTCTTGCAGGCTGAAATTAAAGGATACAAAACAGTAATTCAAATCCACATAAACAAAGAGCACTACACTAGTAAAGGTAAATACTTAGGTAACCGGGAGGCGGAGCTTGCAGTGAATGGAGATGGCGCCACTGCACTCCAGCCTGGGCGACGGAGCGAGACTCCGTCTCAAAAGAAAAAAAAAAAACAAAAACAAAAAGGCAGGTAAATACAGAAGACTACATAAATACGTTATTTTTCATTTTAACTATTTTTTTCTCCAACAAGATTAATGACATTTAGCTAGGCTGGTGTAGAAAGTAAGAGAAAATACTCAAATTACTAAAATCAGGAATGAATGATGGGACATCACTACTGACCTTCCAGAAATAAGAAAGATTATAAGGGAGTAGTACTAGGAACAAAGTATGCTAACAAATTAGATAGATTACATGAAATTAACTGATTCTCAGTAGGATGAAAACTACCAAAACTGACTCAAAAAGAAATTGATAATGAGACGAGATCTATAATAAGCAAGGAGATTGAATTGGTAAATAAAAATGTCACAACAGGCTGAGCACGGAGGCTCACACCTGTAATCGTAGCACTTTGGGAGGCTGAGATGGGTGGATTGCTTGAGCCCAGCCTGGGCAAGAGAGTGAGACCCTGTCTCAGAAAAAAAAAAAAAAAAAAAAAAGAATCTTACAACAAGGAAAAACTCAGCCCTAGTTAGTTTTAGTGGTGAATTCCACAAACATTTAAAGCAAATTTAATACATATCTTTCAAAAGCTACCCAAAAAATAGAAAAAGAGGAAATACTTCGCAATTCATTCTATAAGGCTAGTTATTACCCTGATATCAAATATCAAACCCAGACAGACAAGAAAACAGTAGACCGATATCTAAATATATAATATAGATATTAATTGTACATTATTAATATATAGCATATGATATATAATTAATATATCAATTATACATTTTATTATATATTATGTAATATTAATATATTTATATTTATAATATAATATTTAACATTAATATATAATGTTATATATCATATATTATATATAATTATACATTATTAATACATAATATATAATTAATATATAATATATAATTAAATTTATTATATAATAGATTTTCTCACTGGGAATCACTGTTATAGACAAGAGTGAGAAGTGGAGTATGATTTATCAAGAGAAACACATACCTGCATTTACATGTCATAGAGCTAATTTTGATCACAGTGCAGCAGAAAAAATAGGGAGGGATTAGAAGACAGGGAAAAGAGCTGGAAGGCTGGAGGTAAGTTGGATATGTAACAAACCAGAACAGTCATGAGAAATGGGAAAAATGAAAGAAGAAAGTTTAAAGAAGGATTTTGGAAGGCGCGTTCAAAGGACCTGGATATAGATGAAAAAAGAAAGATGAAGTAAGAATTTAAAACTGCAGAAAATGCCAAGATTTGTGATAAGGAGAGTAGGATAAAGCACGAAATCTTCTTTTTGTGTGTTCTTGGAGATAAATCATTGAGAATATTGGTGAAAATTACATTTTATCCCTTATGTTACATGGTCTAAAACATGGATATGAGACATTGACAAAAATCAGAATTCATTTATTCTTTGCTCTTTTCCTATTCTAATTTTTAGATCAATCTACTGTGATTGCTTTAGCTTACTGTGAGTTTTGAGGTAGTGGTGATTTGGTAAATGCACACTCCTCTGTAACTATGATAATGTAGCTTTGGAAATGATATCCAGTTTGTTCACAGGTAGCAAGCACTTCTGAAAGAAGAATAGCATATACATTATGACGTGAATCCTTCCTTTAGAATGAAGTGGCACAACTTCTATTTCAACACACCTCAGTGAATAAATTCCATTTTTCTAATTATGGTTTATATGATAAAAGAAAAGTAGCAGGTGCTAACAAACAAATTAAACCCTTTCCTGATTAGCTTAGTGATAGAACAGTGACAAAGCTTTGATTGGAAAATCACCCAGCCTCTTATGTGTAATCGTACCCAACTTGTTTTGATTCTTATTTTGCCGTTTCTCTGTCATCTATGTCCTAGGAAATTGTATCCTCATGTTTTATTTTAATGAGAAGAAATATTTTCAGGATTTATACAGCTGTGCTCTTGAACTTGTGGCATTTAAAGGGCAATAGAATGCTAATGTGACGAATAAAACAAAAATGGTTTTATAACAGTCTGCATGAGGATGCTAGTTTCTCCTTATCTTTTAAACTGACTATATTTGACAACTTAGTTTGTAATGATTGAAGTAGAGAATCACTGTGGATTCAAGTAGAAATAACAGTAAAACAAAGACTTTCCTTACCTTTCAATAAACAGGTTGTCATGTTCTCCCTTTTTTGTAAGAGAAAATCTGTCAGGAAAGAGGTAAAAAAGTGTGTTTCTCTGAATATGTTGGTCTATAATGATTTTTGAATTACTCTGGAAGGCAAGAGGTTGCAATACAAAAATAATCCTTCTCTAGTAATTGATTTTTGTACTTTCATTTAAACACACAAAATTGGTTTCAGGGCTGGTGTATTACAATGTGCCATTGAGCAAGGATATTGATAACTCCAGTACATGAACTCTGCAATCTATCAGTTGCCATTTCTGCCCTCAGCACCTATATTTGGCATGCTAAAACCAGATCTGGATAGCTACAGTGACTATGTATTCAGAGCTGACAACCAGGGCAATTGGTCTATCAAATATAACTGTAATTATAGGGGAACACTGGGTAAGAATATTTGAAATGAGGATGTTATAGAAGTTCTAAGACATATAGTTACTGTAGATGAAGCTACTTTGGGGAGAAAAGACCATTTTTATTTATTCTTTCATGTATTATCTCAATAAACAGTTGGTGACTGTATAATAGTCACTGAACACACCAGAATTGGCAGTTGGGTATGTAACCATGACCAAGAGTCAGTTTCAGATCTTTAGGCACCCTTAGCAACTCTTTAAAGGAGCAACAAGAATGAGCAGACCCTATTGGCTTTGATCTTTTCTCCCCACTAGTTTTTTCCTGTGAGGAGGGATTTGGTCATCATGGAGCATGGTCATTATGATATGGATGAGAGGCTATAAATGAGCCTGGGAATCATCCAGACAGCAGGGCAGGGCAGGAAGACTCAGAGACCTGGCTGAAATGGCCATCCCTCATCCACACCCAGCATTTCTGTTTGCTGCTCCTGAGGCACTCTCTACTCCTTCTGTGCCCTGCTTTGAGCCTCAGGAGGCCGATCTGCATAGACCAGATCCATGGCACCCTGCGAGGCACTCTGGGCTTGGCTGATGAGACCCACCAGGAGGAGACTGGAGCCCAAGGTCCCAGTGTTCATTTCCCTCTCTGGCCCCTCCATGCAGGGTCATGGAGGGCATCACAGCCTGTCTCCATAGCTGTCTCTTAGAGGCACAAGGCTCTCTCAGGGTCCTGATAATCACTTCCCTGCATCAGGTCCGGAGTGACAAAGGCTTCCACTGTTGTAAGTCACAGGGTGCCTCACCATCCCTTGCTGGCTTCCTTTAACTTCCACACAGTTTTATAAAAGGTCCCTTTATCAAACTTTAGTAATCCCATTTGAGTGGATCTTCTGTCTGCAGCCAGGACCATGACTGATACTTAATGCAAAAATGTGGCAGCTATGCTGGCAAGAAACCAAGAGTGATGAGGCCACCACAGGTGGCGCTGACAGACAAAGAGCCCTTGGTGCCTTCAGTTGCTAAAGGGGCCTGTGGTGGAGTTTGGATGCTGGCTATAGTTGGTCTCATTTATTCATTAGAAAATGATCATATATAATCGATAATACACTCAATTTAAAATGAGGGGAAAATTATTTTAATAAGGTCCTTGCTACTAAAGAGAGCCCTTGACTCTGCATCCCTGTGAAGCTTAGGGAAGACTGTTGTCTTAGTCCACTTGTGTTCCTATAAGGAAATACCTGAGACTGGGTGAATTATAAAGAAAAAAAGTTTATTTGGCTCATGGTTCTGCAGGCTGTACAGGAAGCATGGCACCAGCATCTGCTTGGCTTCTGGCGAGGCCTCAGGAAGCTTCCACTCATGGTGGGAGGAGAAGGGGAGCTGGCATGTGCAGAGACCACATGGAGGGAGAGGCAGCAAAGGTCAGGGGAGAGGTGCCAGGCTCCTTTCAACATCCAACTCTCAGAAACTAAGAGAGCGAGAACTCAGTCACCCCAAAGAGAGGGCGTTCATCTACTCATGAGGGACTCACCCTCATAACCTAGACAACTCTCATTAGGCCTCACTTCCAACATTGGGGATCAAATTTCAACATGAGGTTTGTGGAACAAACATGCAAACTATAGAAACTGCATAAGATCCTCTATTAAGTTAATAAATGAAGAGTTAAACATCTCACTATGTGACTTTTACAGATACAGAAACTCCCCTTCTCAATATACAATTTGAAATTAAAAGGATGATGAAACATATTCAATGGGTGGGAGTAGGACAATTTTTCCATTACCACTGCAATTAGCAGTAAGTCTTCCCACAAAAAAGAGGTTTATATCCTTCTCCCATCACTATGAAGTAGAGAAGATTGATACTGGCATAGAAAGCTGCTAGTTTGGCAGAAAATACTGGCTCAGAGCAAAGAACTACAGCCATGCACAGTCATTTCTGTTGACTAGTAAAGTGGCAGCCAGCACTTTGCAGAGAACGTGATGCGGGGAGGCAACAGCGTCTGAGTTAAATAACTTTTTACCAGGACTATTCTTTGATCAAGTGGATGAAGTGAGGTTAATACTTTGGAGGAGCAAGTAATCAGAATGCTGATATCAGGAGCAGACATACAGGGTAAGGGAGGAGTGGGTACAGAGAATATGCAAGGAAAGAAGGAAGAATCATCCTCATCTCTATTCTCCCGGAAAATTGACTAAGGATTAGCAAAAATAGTTATAAGAAATCCTTACATAGCATATTATTTTATGAGTACAAACCTGCTGTTCACATTTCTAATTTCATTCTCAATAATTCCCAGTAAGTCATTTTCTGGTCTTCAGAAAGTGTCAAACAGTTGTCTAGTTCCTGTTACCTGCAAACTTACATGCGCGTGCCCTCACATGCACACCGGTATGTCATTTTAGAAAGGCGATTTATGTCTGCACATGCACGAGGGATCTAAAATTGCATCTCCCTGTGGAGGGGGCCATGTATCCCCTTCCTTCCTGTCTCAGCTGCAGGCAAGAACTGATCCTGGTTCAACTAAATAGATGATGCCTACTCACATTGTGGAGAATAACATGGACCAGGAGCAGGCAAGAACTCCATATGGGGTAACAAATTTGCTCCTCTAGGAGTTTGGAATCACGTTACTGAGTCCCTCCATCTGTGAATGTGGCTGGCATGGAACAGAGTGAGGCAGGATGGCCTGGAGAGCATTGGCCCGAACACCTGAGACAAAAACGTGCAGTTTCCTCTTCCTTCCTCACAACCAGCACATCCCGGTGAAGCTCAGATGACACACTCTGCCCATGGCAGACCAAGAAGACTGGAGACAACTGGTGAACTAGAAGAGGCTTTTCAGACCACATGCTAAATATTATACCAATGAACTCCAGGCTGTCAGAGAGAGAAAAGAGTTTTGCATGACACATTTTGGAGATGAAAGGGGAACTAGGAGTCACTTCTCTTTCTCTAGCCCCTTAGATTTCCCAGGAGAAGAGAGGCAGGATGCTGTATCCAATTACTGTAACAAGGATAAGGGAGTAGACATCCATTAGAATTCAGGCAAAAAAAAAAAAATGTAACAGGAAAAAATAATGGGCACAATAAAGCAGAATTGCATTCTCCCTCATACAAATGCCCACAGGTGGACTGTCCAGAGCTGGCTTGGAAGACTCATAGGTCAGGACCCAGGTTCCCTCTATGTGGCTGTGATATTTAATTTTATATTTCAATTTGGCGGGACATGGTACCCAGTTATTTGGTCTACCACCCATCTGAATGTTGCTGTAAAAGTGTGTTTTAGATATGATTAACATTTATAATCATTTGACTTTAAGTAAAACCGTATCATTCTCCACAATGTGAGTAGGCATCACCTATTTAGTTGAAAACCTTAAACGCAAAGGCTAAAATTTGTCGAAGAAGAAGGGATCCTACCTCTAGACTACCAAAGAGAAATTCTACCTGAATTTCTAGCCTTTGGAATAAAGACTGTAAAATCCACTCTTACCTAAATCTCCAGTTTGCCAGCTTACTCTACAGATTTTAAACTTGTCAGCACCCACAGTTTTGAGCCAATTTCTCAAAATCAGTCTCTCTCTCTCTCTCTGTGTTACACACAGACACATACACATACACACACACACACACACGTTCTGTCTGTCTGGAGAATCCTGACTAACATAACTGTGGATCCACCATTGAAAGCAGCAGCCCTGAAGGTTTCTCCACTGGCCAAAGCAGGAGGGTAGGGCAAGAGTGATAACACCCTGGTGTTTCCAGCATCTAGAAGGACACAGACATGGCCCTGACTTTTCCTGCATGCCCAAGGGTAGCATGTACAATAACCAAATGTCTCTGAGTGCCCAACCAGGGTTGTAAGTGTTTGAGGTGAGGGCCTCCTCCCAGCTAAGGCTGTGGGCAGCCATTCAGCTGGGTGTAAGAACAGAGGTGCTTCTGGGACCTCTCAGAACCAGTTAATGGCCCATCATCATCCAGCAGGGTAATCAGCACACATTATCCAAGCAGGGAGGATAGACTACTTATAATTTCAAAAACGAATGATGTTAGATGATAACCAGGGAAGAAGCAACCATAGCCACCCTGCCCGCACCCCCCAGTCACACCATATTAATATGGTGAGAACCATCCCTAAAATAGGAAAAAGTGGAGGGATCACTGAAAGAATGATGGTTTAAATAAAGATCAACCTGAAAATCCTGAAAAGACTATTTATCACAAGACATCGAGCTTGAAACCACAAACGGCTGTTGAGGGTATCTAATATTTTAATCACCAAATAGAAATGGAGACTCAGATCAATAATAGAAATGAGGAAAATTGTGTTATTTTCTTTCTATTTGAAATGAAATGGACATAAACTTAACCTTTTTAAAGTAAGAAATTCGGTGGCATTTACTACAGTCACAGTGTTACACAATCATCACCTTTATCTAGTTCAGAAACATTTTCATCACCTCAAAAGGAAACCCCATACCTATTAAGCAGTCACTGCCTGTTCTTCCTTCCTCTAGCCTTGGTAAATTCTGTCTCTGCAGATTTACCTATTATTGATATGCTTTATCTATTATGGATATTTCTATGTAAGTAAACAATATGGGAGCTTTTTTGTCTGGCTTCTTTCACTTAACATAGTATTTTCTAGGTTCATCTACATTGTAGCGTGTATCAGGACTCATTTATTTTAGACTTTGAATACAATTTTAATTTATTTATATGCAACAGTTTGTGAATCCACTCATCTGTTGATGGGCATTTGAGCTGTTTCCATCTTTTAGCTATTGTGAATACTGTTGTTATGAATTTGCACCTACATGTATTTGTATAAGTATCTGTTTTCAATTTTGGCAGAGGGTGGCGTGGTGTCTTTACCTCAGAGTGAAATTGCTGGATCATATGAGAATTCTATGCTTAACTTTGTAAGGAACTGCCAAACTTTTCCACATCGCTGAATCATTTTACATTCTAGCAGTTATATATTAATGTTCCATTTTCTCCACATCCTCAACACTTGTTATTTTCTGTTTTCCAAATTAAAATTAGAATTAATTCTGTTTAGTATAGCTATCTTAGTGGGTATGAGCTGGTACCTCTTTGTGGTTTTGATTTGCATTTCCCTAATTACTAATGAGAGTGAGCATCTTTTTATGCGCTCATTGGACATTTATATCTTTTTCTTTGAAAAAATGTTTATATGAGTCCTTTGTTTATTTTAAATTGGGTTGCGTCTTTGTTACTGTTTAGTTGTACGAGTTCTTTATATATTCTGGATACTAGACCCTTATTAGGTAAACGATTTGTGGATACTTTCCTCTATTATGTAGATTGTCTTTTATTTTCTTGAAAATGTCCCTTGATGCATAAAAGTTTTCAGTTTTGATAAAGTCTAATTTATCTATTTTTTCTTTTGTTACTTGTGCTTTTGTTATTACATCAATTGATTCGTTGCCAAATGCAAGGTTCCAGCCATCCTCCTGGCCTCCCTGCCTCTAGTCTCACCTCTTTCTCACCTCCTAGAGTATTCAAGTTTGGCTGAATTTTATTTCTCTTTTCCATTACAGCTAGGAGGTTGAGTAAACAATATCTTAACTGTGGTTCATGATAAGAAAGCTAGAGGAGATTGAAACAAAAATGTAGAGGAAAGACATGGAAGACAGAGAGCACCTATTACTCACCAGTTGCTGCCTGTATGGTCTTCATCATTTAAAAATCAGATTCTATTTTTTTTTTCTTTGCTCAATATTTTTATGGAGAAGATTTCTCAAGAGGAAAATCTAAATTCTTTATGATGGTGACCACACTGGCTGGTCATTTGCTGCTCCTTGTCAGTTGCATTTTAATCTAGATATCATAGATGATTTTAGAGCTCAGACTATATCAACCTGGCAGGTTGTTACTAAAATAAACGAAAGTGTGAGAGATCAGGACCAAAAGAGCTTTGATCCCTGGCATGGCCATCTGGAGGGACTGTGAATGTACACTTAGTGCATGCACTGCAAAGGATGGGAAAATTGGTGAGTGTAAATTCAGCCAAAAAGCCAGTGTGGTGGACGACATGAGGTAGGGAGATGTCCTAGCTGCAGGCAGAAGGACATAGTGAGGACTCTAAACCAAGTGACATGTAGAAGTTTATATCAAAAAGCAGCAGACATTGGGAAAGTCTATCCTTAAACAGTGGAGCTCAGTCTTAGGCAGAGTCCAGGTGCAGGTAGATATGAGGTAGACGATGGGAAAGCTGTGGCGGCTGGTGGATGTTCAAAGCAAGATGGGATCCTAGTCCCAGAAGGCCAGTGTTACTGCGAAGCTGACTTAAACAAAACATAGGCATAAGGAGAAAGACAGAAGCCAGGTAGTAAACTGGGTTGCAAGACTGGAGAGGACTTTGAGGTGAAAATTGTTAGACACTAAGTGCTAGATTTTTGAGCTCTTTAAATTTTTCTGAGTCAGGGATGGTGTAGACTGGGTGAAGGTTGATCTTCCAATGGGAGCCTGGTGTCTGGAGTCAAATACAGTAGGACTGGGCAGCACCTGAGAGCATGGGGTTAAATCCTCTAGTGTAGATCATTCTGGAAAGGACCCACTCCTTTATGAATACAGTCCTCGCTGCTTCCCTTTCCAGTCTTATAAGCCCACCTGTGCTCCATTAGATATTGAAATAATTGTTTATGACTGTGCTTTATTAAATATCTTTCAAAGCAGATTAAATCAGTATCCTGCTGATTTGAAAATGAAAGCTTTTAAAATAATCTTGGAAGATGCTTTTAATTGAGCATGTGGAAGAAAATTAACAAGTGAAAATCTATTGTTTCAACCATTTCTTACTGACATTTGTTGTTAAAATTGAGAAATCTCAAAGTAGCACATTTCACAGGGCTTCTGTTCTTCTAGTGCCTTAATTATTCCTTGTAAAGTGCTGGAAAGGAAAGAAATACGATTCTGGAAAATTATAAAATAATAAAGACTTTGTGAAAATACCTGCTGTTGAAATTCAGGTAAGAGCATACTTGGATAATTTAAACAAAATAAAATTAGTGGTTCCAGATGGCATTAAATGTGGTGCTGCAGGTGAATTAACTAAGGAACATATTCAACTACTAAAGATTATTTTTAAAGTATGAAAATAGAGACCTGGGAAGGTATCAGAGCATCAGAAAATAGGAAGTAGAATACATCTTTTTTAAAAGGAAAGAATAACCATGGTAATTATCCTAAAAGTGTAATTCTTATTAATGTTATAGAAAATAGTAAGATAAAATAGTTCAGAAATCTGGAGTCTGTTAGAGCTATGAAAAGTAAAATCCATCAGTTTTTAGACGTTGGTAATAATGTTTCTGGAGGAAGTTGCTTCCCCTCTCCTTCATTTGCACTCTTGCCTGCATGTGATTCCAGCCCCGGCCGGCCATGGCCATCTTTTGCTTTGCCATTTCTATTTCTTTGCTGTTCAGAATTTCTTCCCTTTCTTTGTTACCTCTGTCTTTCTCTCTAAATATAATCCTTCTCTGCCTTAGGTAATTGTCAGAGTTCAATGAGACAGGGTATGAAATACCTGCAGCACAGATCCCACACGTTATTCTCAGTTAGGTGTTGATTTTCTTTTTTTCGTTTTTGAGGTGTAGTCTCTTTCTGTCATGCAGGCTGGAGTGCAGTGGCACGATCTTGGCTCACTGCAACCTCTGCCTCCCGGGTTCTAGCGATTCTCTTGCCTCAGCCTCCTGAGTAGCTGGGATTATACGCATGCGCCACCCCATGCCCGGCTTACTTTGTATTTTTAGTAGACATGGGGTTTTGCCATGTTGGCTAGGCTGGTCTTGAACTCCTGGCCTCAAGTGATCCACCAGCCTCGGCCTCCCAAAGTGCTGAGATTACAGGCATGAGCCACCGTGCCCAACCCTAGGTGTTGATTTTCTCTTCTTCTGGGATCTTTCCTTCCCTTTCCTTCCCAGCCTTAGTTCTGCTTCTCTGCTGTACTCAGTTTGGTTTACTCTCTACCCTCCAAATAGGAATTTCAGTTTTCTAATTCTGTGAAGTTAGTTCGTCAAACATACATTGAAGAACCACCATGGTGAAGACGCCATTTTGATGTACATGAGTGTGTGGGAGTCACTCCACCTATTAAGAGCCCACAGTCTCTGTGTCATCTCAGACTTGGAAAGGCTGCTTCTTGCCTTACCTCTCGCCCTCTCCCATTGTATTCTGCCTCCCCAGGAACATCATGCCCATTCATCAGGCCCTCATTCATCTTGCAGCTTCTGGGGTGGCATTTTACAAACATGGTCTAAAGAACACTCAGCTAGGGGTTTTATGATGTTTTTTCTTCATTAAAACAGGGGTAAGTGGTCAAATATACTGGGAATTGCTGATTTATATGAATTAGATTTATTTACCACAGGATTTCTCAGCACTTTTATATCCTAATCTGCATTTAGAATACTCAAGTGGGATCTACTATGTCCAGAGTTTTAGATTTGCTTTTGAGTTCAGGTTTGATTGTGTAGACCCACAAAAGGGATTTCTGTTTCACACCTTGGAAAACTCTGTGCAGAGGTACGTATTGTACCATTAGTTTATGATGATTGGTAGCATTGTTTATATCATGTTTATGTGTCTAATTTCTTCAATTAAATTGGCAGTCTTCCTGTTTATAAAGACTGTGGCTTATGCTTCTTTGTACCTCATAACACTACTCACATTGTCCTATCTGCTGCATACAAGGTACAATTTCAAATAAAAATGAACTACTATTTATCCAGAACTTTTCATATGTAATCTACAGAGGGGATACAAAAGAAACAGTGTATTAGTCTGTTTTTATACTCCTGTAAAGAACTGCTTGAGACTGGGTAATTTATAAAGGAAAGAGGTTTAATTAATTCACTCTTCAGCATGGCCCTGGAGGCCTCAGGAAACTTACAATCATGGCCAATGGCGAAGGGGAAGCAAGGCATCTTCTTCACAAGGAGGCAGGAAGGACAAGTGCCAAGAGAAGCAGGAAGAGCTCCTATAAAACCATCAGATCTTGTAAGAACTCACTCACTATCATGAGAACCACCCCCATGACCCCATGATTCAATTACCTCCACCTGGTTTCTCCGTTGACACATGAGGATTATGGGGATTATAATTCAAGATGAGATTTGGGTAGGGAAACAAAGCCTAACCACATCACCGAATTTCAGAACAGCTTACCAACTTGAGCAGTTATTTGTTGGGTAAAGACCAGAAGAAAAACTGGATGCCAACATCTCTACATCTCTGCACCAGGCTTTCCACAGGAGCAAAGAATTCATGCAAGAGTGTTCACTTTATAGGGGTGACGAAGTTACCCAAATACACAAAACACAAATAACTACAATGTTGATGTTCTCTGGGGTATTAATTATAGCATACAACAGTTCTACAAAATAAAAACAAAGGAAAAACAACTTTCCACAACTCTGATAACTAACACGTTGATTAGACCACAGGGTATAAAAGGATGGGTAGTTCCTGAGGTCCGAGACAAACACACCCACTCCACTATAAGCTGTTTGATTTGGACCAGATTACTTAACTTCACTGGAGACTTTATCTGTCTGGTAGAACCCACTACTCTGTTTGCAAATTAAAGTGTTTATTTTGTCCCTATTTCCATGAAAACAATATCACATTTTACCAAAATTGCCACTTTCATTTTTGTCTTTTAATGTCACCTAAATAAGAAATTCCCTTATTCTGAGGGATATTTTCTGTCCCAGTTTTTCAGTGCATTCTTGCACTGCTATAAAGAGATATGCAAGTCCGGGTAATTGATAAAGAAAAGAGATGTAATTGGCTCATGATTCCACAGTCTGCACAAGAAGCCTGGAAACATCTGCTTCTTTGCAGGCCTCAGAGAGTTTTACTCATGGTGGAAGGCAAAGTGGGAGCAGGAACTTCACATGGCCAGAGCAAGAGGAAGGAGTAGGGAGGTGCTACACATGTTTAAACAACCAAATATTGTGAGAACTATAGCAAGAACAGCATTAGGGAGATAGCTAAACCATTAGAAACAGCACCCAATTGCCTTCTACCAGACCCTATCTCCAACACTGGGGATTACAATTTGACATGAGATTTGGGTGGAGACACAGATCCAAACCATATCATTCTGCCCCTGTCCCCTCCAAAATCTCATGTTCTTCTCATGTTGCAAGATACAATCATGCCTTCCCAACTGTCCCCCAAAGTCTTAACTCATTCCATTATTAACTCAAAAGTTCACAGTACAAACTCTCATCTTAGTCAAGGCTAGTCCCTTCTGCCTATGAGCCTGTAAAATAAAAAAACAAGGTAGTTACTTCCAAAATACAATGAGGGTATAAGCATTGTGTAAATACTCCCATTCCAAAAGGGGGAAATTGGCCAAAAGAAAGGGGCTACAGGCTATGTGCAAGTCCTAAACCCAACAGGGCAGTCATTAAATCTTAATGCTTCAAAATGACCTTCTTTGACTCATGTCCCACATCCAGGGCACGCTGTTGTAAGGGGTGGGCTCCCAAAGCCTTGGGCAGCTTCACACACCCCTGTGACTTTGCAGGGTTCAGCCCCCATGGCTGTTCTCTTGGGCTGGCATTGAATGCCTATGGCTTTTCCAGGCACAGGGTACAAGCTGCCAGTGGATCTACCATTCTGTAGTCTGGAGGATGGTGGCCTTCTTCTCAGAGCTCCACTAGATGGTGCCCCAGTGGGGACTCTTTGTGGGGAATCCAATCCCACATTTCACCCCTAGACTGCCCTAGTAGATGTTTTCCATGAGGGCAATGACCCTGCAGCAGGCTTCAGCCAGTGGATCTACCATTCTGTAGTCTGGAGGATGGTGGCCTTCTTCTCAGAGCTCCACTAGATGGTGCCCCAGTGGGGACTCTTTGTGGGGAATCCAATCCCACATTTCACCCCTACACTGCCCTAGTAGATGTTTTCCATGAGGGCAATGACCCTGCAGCAGGCTTCAGCCTGAATATCCAGACTTTTCCATACATCCTGTGAAATCTGGGCAGAGGCTAACAAGCCTCACATCTTGCACTCTATCCACCTACAGGCTTAACACCATGCAGAAGCTGCCAAGGCTTATGGTTTGCACACTCTGGAGCAGTGGCCCTAGCTGTACCTGGGCTCCAGTTAGCCAAGGCTGAAGCTGGAACACCCTGTATGTCAGGAGCAATGTCCCAAGGCTGCACAGGTCAGTAGAGCCCTGGGGATGGCCCATGAAACCATTCTTCCCTCCTAGCCATCTGGAAATATGATGGGAAGAGCTGCCACCAAGATTTCTGAAATGCGTTTGAGGTCTCTCCATTCTCTTGGCTACTAAAATTCAGCTCATCTTTACTTATGCAAATTTCTGCAGCTAGATTGAATTCTTCCCCTGAAAACAGGTTTATTTTCTGCCACATGGCTGGGCTGCAACTTTTCCAAACATTTACCCTCTGCTTCCTTGTTAAATATAAGTTCCAGTTTCAGGCCATTTATTTGCTTATGCATATGAGCACAGGCAGTTAGAAGCAGCCAGGTCACATCTTGAATGCTTTGCTGCTTAGAAATTTCTTCCACCAGATACCCTAAATTATCACTGTCAAGTTCAAAGTTCCACAGATCTGTAAAGGAGGGAAACGATGCAGCCAGGCTCTTGAATAATCCACAACAAAAGTTACCTTTATTCCAGTTCCCAATAAGTTTCTCATCTCCATCTGATACCTAAACAGCCTGAACTTCATTGTCTGTGTCACTAACAGCATTTTGGTCACAACAATTTAACAAGTCTCTAGGAAGTTCCAAAGTTTCCCTCATCTTCCTGTCTTCTTCTGTGCCCTCCACTCTCTTCCAACTTCTGCTTGTTACCCAGTTCCAACATCACTTCCACATTTTCAGGAATCTTTTTAGGAATGCTCCACTCCTCAGTACTAATTTTTTGTATCAGTTTATTCTTGCACTATTATAAAGCAATACTTGAGAATGGGTAATTTATAAAGAAGAGTGGTTAAATTGGTTCTGTACATGGTTCCACAGGCTGTACAGAAAACATGGAACCATCTGCTTCTGGGGAGGCCTCAGGGAGTTTTGCTCAGGGTGGAAGACAAAGTGGGAGCAGGCGTCTTTATGCTAGAGCAAGAGGAAGGGTGAAGAGGCACTACACACTTTTAAACAACCAGCTATTGTGAGAACTCAGTAATGAGAACAGCATTAGTGGGATGGTGCTAAGCAATTAGAAACTGCCCCCATGATCGAGTCTCCTCCCACCAGGCCCTACCTCCAGCATTGAGGATTATAATCTGATATGAAATTTGGGTAGGGACACAGATCCAAATGATATCACCCTGGGGGTGTTAAATTAAATTGAATTTGGCGTAAAGCTGCCTCTGTACATAGTGAACTGCAACCTGAGTATGTAAAAAAAATGCTAACTGAAGAGTATATTTTTGTAACAAATATTTGAGTTTCAGCTAATCACAGCAGCTGAGCTTCAGCCAAGTACAGCCTGCCAACTGATCAGACCATGTCCATATAAGGCAAATGCTGGAGCTATTGCCAATCAAGCTGCTTCCCGATGTCACTTCCCTTTTCCGTTTATAAATATGACCAACCCACAATCCTAAATGGAGCTATCTGGACCTCTGCTTGGTTAGGGTGCTGCCCAATTTATGAGTAGTTATTTGCTCAAATAAACTCTGCTAAATGTAATTTGTCTAAAGTTTTTTATTTAACAGAAGTAATCGGAAACACTGACATAATTATGACACAGATGTTGGAAGGGAATTAATTAAACTGTGTGGATTGGGAATGGTGCTCATTATGCATGTTTGGTAAATTATGATACCAATACAATAAAAGTTAAATTTAGAGATATAGGAGGAGATGAAAAATGAATACAGTAAAAATATAATTAAGTAGTGCCAGTACAAAAACCGTAATAAAGAAAGATCATGTTTGCAAATGTATTCAAGCTATAAAAAACAAATAACAGACCATGAACAATTTGTATTTATTGTCATAATTATACAACTTTTGAACTCTAGAGTTTTATATAGTTTAACAACTCTACTACTATAATTTTGTTATAAAAGTCTTAGAGATATGAGCTATTAAATTTGATTTTAAATGTTAGATGTGAGGGACAAAATTGTTCATATGTCTCTATAAGTATTAGCTTTCTTATTTAGTAAGGCAGGAAAAATGTGGTTTGCCTAGATAAAAGAAATATTGATGCTTGACAATTTTAACAACTGTCAGAAATTTAATTAGATATAGTGAAGTATGAATATTTGCAATGAAATATTAGATTATTTCAATATCATCTAATTTTTGTCGTGTTTAAATCGTCACAAAAACAAAGATTCTTATAATTCCCTTTAGCTTCTGATAATACTTTTAATTTGAGATTTATCATTGTTATTATATTCATAGTAACTGGTCATTAGTGGGAATTCAGTTTCTTGATAATATTTGAAGGAGAACTTTGAGTTGGCTTTTAAAACACCGTATGGCTAAGATACGCTATTTAAAAGCATATGGCAGATTGTCTAGCAGACAGCTACAACCATGTCTCTTGTCACTGGATATGGGTTCTTGTCTTAGTCCTTTTGGGCTGCTATAACAAAATACCACAAACCAGGAAGCTTATAAACAACAGGAATTTATTTCTTAGTCTAGAGGCTGGGAATTCCTAGATTAAGGGACTGGCAGATTCGATGTTTGATGAGGGCCCACTTTCTGGTGGACGGATGGTGCCTTTTCTCTGTGTCCTCCCAGTGGAGTGGGTAAATGAACTTCCTTGGACCTCTTTTATTAGGGCTCCAATTACATCCCAAAGCCCCCATCTTCTAATACCATTACCTTGGGGGTTAAGATTTCAACATATGAATTTTGGGATGACACAAATATTCAGATCATAGCAGTCCTGTTGATGACACAGAGCAAGAATTGTCAAACTACAGCTTGTCGGCCAAACTGGGATTGCTGCAAGTTTTTGTAAATAAAGTATTTTTGGAACATGGCTGTATTCATTCCTTTGCATAGTGTCTATGGCTCCTTCTGCACTGTAGTGTCAGAGTTGAATAGTTATGACACAGACTGCATGGTCAGCAAAGCCTAAAATACTTACTACTTGGACCTTTCCAGAAAATGTTTGTCTGCTCTGATACAGAGGATTGTAGTGGAAGGGTACCATTTTCCCCTGTCCAGCATCCAATTTTTCTTTTTCTGGTAATAGCTCCTGTTTTCCCTTTGGAACCAACCTCCTGCATCCCAGTCCATGTTCTTTGATTGGTCCAGTTCTGCTCCAGCTCCAGGAATAGGCACCTGTCCCTACCTTGGACAATTAGAGTTAAGGAAGGGACGCTTTGTTTACTTTGGGCCAATTCAGGACCTTTGATAATGGCATTTTTGATCAATTAAGGATTTTTCTTTGTTTTGTAAGTTCATAAGATAACTAGATTGTCACTATGTTCAGAGAGGCTGCCTAAGAATAAAGATAACCAAAGGAAATGAGTCAAGCACTGAAGAGAACGAGAGATGGAACTGTGTACTTCTATATCTCTATCTCTCTGCATCTGTATCTCTCTCTCTCTCTCTCTCTCTCTCTCTCTATCTCTAATGGTTAATATTGAGTATCAACTTGATTGGATTGAAGGATGCAAAGTATTGATTCTGGGTGTGTGTTTGAGGGTGTTGCCAAAGGAGATTAACATTTGAGTCAGTGGTCTGGGAGAAGCAAACCCACTCTCAATCTGGGTTGGCACAATCTAATCAGCTGCAGAATAAAAGCAGGCAGAAGATGGCCAACATGGTGAAACCCCATTTCTATGAAAAATACAAAAATTAACTGGTCATGGTGGCGCACGCCAGGAGTCCTAGCTACTCGGGAGGCTGAGGGAGGAGAATTGCTTGAACCCGGGAGGCAGAGTTTGCAGTGATCCAAGATCGCACCACTGCCCTCCAGCCTGATGATAGAGCAAGACTCCGTAAAAAAACAAACAAACAAAAAAAGCAGGCAGAAGAACATGGAAGGGCTAGACTTGCTGAGCCTTCTGGCATCCATCTTTCTCCCATACTGGATGCTTCCTGCCCTCGAACATCAGTTTCCAAGTTCTTCAGCTTTTGGACTCTTGGACTTACACCAGTGGTTTGCCAGGGGCTCTCAGGCCTTGAGCCACAGTCTGAAGTCTGCACTGTCAGCTTCCCTACTTTTGAGGTTTTGCGATTCTGACTGGCTTCCTTGCTCCTCAGCTTGCGGACGGCCTATTGTGGGACTTCACCTTGTTATCATGTGAGTCAATACTTCTTAATAAACTCATATATATATATATATATATATATATATATATATATATATATATATATTCTATTAGTTCTGTCTTTCTAGAGAACCCTAATACTCTATCTCCATCTCTATCTCCATCTCTATCATCTCTATGTCTCTAACTCTACCTATCTGTCTAGACCCGAAATCTTAATATTATACCAAGTATTGGGGCATAGAGCCCAGTCATACTGAACCCCCTCACCAATCTGAATCCCACTTTAGGTCAGGTGTTGATCCCTCCTAAGTAAATAATTCCACTTGGTAAAGTTACTAAAAGTCATTGAATTTTTACTTGAAATAGATGAATTTTCTGATATGTAAAACATGCTTCAATAAGGTTGTTTTTAAAATGAGGCCCAAAAGACAAAAATAGGATGAGAATGAAATCGACAGCAATGCCTATAAAATATTTTTTTATTAAAATAATTTTTTCTAGTGAGTAGCAGGTACACAGTATTAATAATATTACCATTTATAGTCAAATTCAATACATGTAAATTAATTGACTACTGGTTAAGGAGAAACAAACTACGTAAGATATTCTTAGGACAATTGGAATAATCTGAATGTGATTGGGTTTTAGATGGCATCATGGAAGTATCTTTAACTTTCTGATATACAGTAATGATACTGAATTTTATGGGAAAATGTACTTGTTGTAAAGAGAGTACATTAAAGTATTTAGAATAGTAGGATAATAGTAATTTTAAAACCTGGGCATTTACAATATTTAATTATTATGTAATACTCCACAGATTACAAGATGCATCATTATTTTTTATACCTGAAAAAGAGAAAAAATGCTCCTAATAAGAATGATACAATGCTTTTACATTAAAACAACAACAACAACAAAAGAAAAACAAAAAGGAAAAAAAGAAGGGCCAATGAATCAAACGAAGTCTTAGAACTAGAAACCAGAAGGTGCAGCAAAGACCATCGGGAAGATGTGATCTGAATCCTCCTGCCTTTTCATCCATTATGAGTGGGGTGAAAGAAATGAAAAATAGTGAGATTTTGGTGGGGTAGGCAGTTTTCAGGCTCAAATGCATTCTATTAGTTTAATGTTTGTTTTATATTATGGTGTATCATCGACAATTATTATTCAATAACATTGCTTTAAGGGATGTACCGAAAGAGTTGAGCTGAATAACACACATGGCCAGGGTGCCAGGAAAGGTGCAATTAGCTGAATGAAAGAAACCTGAATAGGCAGATGACTTGGAGAACGTGTTGGATGGGTGCCCCTGACACATACAAGCTACACATGATGAGTAGAATCAAGATGCAATGTCTGGTTTCTGGAAACTTTTATGCTAGTGTGAACAACACTATTGAGGAAGGTAGTCAGCCAAGTGAGAGGATGGCATCCAGGGAGGAGATTCAGGAGAACAGGGGCGGCTACAGAAAGTCATTTGGGGACCATGGGCATGATCCAGGCGAGAGGATTAGGATGTAGGGCAGAACTGTACATGGGGCTAATTGGCAGAGTTAGAAGCTGGCAGAGTCTGGACAGGTTTGAGAGAACATCTATTAGTTTCTTGAACTGAGAGAGAATGTTGTTGCTGGCTACCTAGTTTCTTACGCAAGCACCTGGGTGGATGGAGGATTCATCTACTTTGATGAGGGCATTGAGGGGACAGGTTTAAGGAGGAGGAAGCTTGGGTTGTGAAAGCACAGGGTGAGAAGAGAAAGACTGAGGTCTGAGGGCTGAGTGTGGCCAAAGTTTCATGGTGAAACAGAGAACATATCATCAATGAACACTGAGAAAGAGCTGGAGAGTGGAAAGTTACCTGAGCATGGGCTGCCGTGTAAAGTTCAGAAGAAGGGAGTCTTTCACTGTGTTAAGGCTAATAAGCGATTAGGAAGAATAACATGCTAGTGACCTTGCCATATTATGACAGTTTTCCAAAAGATATTTAAAATAATTTAAAACTTGGTGTTTATCAGAAGGCAACAGTATAATTATGTCCAATTAAGGGTGACAGTGAAACCTATGATATGATTTCCTTGATAATATTAGAGGGCCACTTTAGGCTGTATGAAGTACGTGCTTCCAACTGTACTGCTTTTTTAAAAGCACATTTAAGACATAAGACACAATGGGGTTATTTTCTGTTTCACTTCTTTTTTGCTTTATGGAATGAGATGACCTGGAACGGAAGAAGAGCAGATAATTTACAGGGATGATGATCTCTAGCTGTTGAAATGACTGTTTGACCTATACCAGCAGAATATTTAGCAATGTTGCCCAGTTTATCCTATAGCATCTACAATGTCAGTGAAATTCTCCTTTTCAACAACTATGTTAAAGATGTCCATGGATTTCCCAGCAAAGAATATCACACAGGGGATATTCTGGGCTTGGAGGAATGCTGGGGGGAGTGGAGAACACATAGGGAATGCAAACACTACATTTATTTAAAACTGGGGAACAAGCTAAAAAGAAAAAGAACTTATCTAAAAAGCAGCCTCAACAGAAGTTTTAAGAATCAGTGAAAATATAATGTAAACCCTCACGCCCTTGAAAGTGGAGATGCTGGTATTTTTAGGGACAACTTGGATGTCTAGAAGGATCCTTAGTGAAAAGTCAGTGGCTGCAGTAGCTTGACCTTCCTCTGCGCCTGCACAGGGCCTGATGGGAGCAGTGCTCACCCCTCCACATGTGCCAGTGGGCACCATCCGATGGGCTTTGTGGACACCTCCCACTGCGCCTCATGTTAGAGTGTATTTGTGTTCATACTTTAATGATTGGAAAATTCCTGACAGGTCAATCTCAGTTAATCTTAATAATAAAAAACATTTTCTAAATGTTAGTGATAAACACGAATGTGGTGCATGTCTCTTTTATACTGGGTAAACATCTCTATTACCATTCTGCTTCTGTGTGTGAAAAAGTTCTGTTTTTGGATGTACAGCAGCTGGCTTTAATCCATTTAACGAAAGATACATGAGATGTTAGCTGGCAAACAAAAATATCTGCAGTGGCTGCCAATTATTGTGCCTTTACTTCTTCCAAAATTGGGCACTGATTGCCAATTCTCGTGATAGGATGGGGCTTTCATGCCATTATGCACTTGCGTTTCTTCCTTAAAGCCTAAATATCTAATCCTTTTCTAGTTAAGAAGGTCCTTTTCCTTTTCTTTACCAAATCATTAAAAATTAATACTCTTTTTGTCTTTTAAAAAGCCCTAAAAGGAAATATTTTCTTTAATGCTGCCTATTGGACAAGCTGAAACTATTTCAAAATAAGGTTGATTAGCTTTCAAAAGGGGGAAAAATACTGTACAACTTTCCTGCTTGTCTTCTTCAGGGAGGCAGCTCAGGCTGGATTCTAAGTTGGTGTTGTCTGTGTTCCCTGGTAAAAGGAACTTTAAAATGAGCTAATGATACAATAAGGCAGACTGTGGCTCATAGGTATCAATCTGAAAGCTCTTTTATTTTTGTCTGGAGTCCAGTGAAGAAGAAATAATTGTATAGGAAAGGCATTAAGGTAGTGCAGTCTCCATCCACAAGCGGAAGCGATTTCAGACCAGTAGATTGGCTACCTGAGAGCTAAGTGATTTGATCTGCATCTTTCCTGTGCATTTGAAACATATCTCTTGTGTGGCTCATAAGCATTTGAAAGACCCCAACATGACATTTTCTTAACCTCAAGTAATTAACCTTATCTGGCCAGTTCTGGTGTATTTAGATACCAACGTCGAAAAAATGCTGATGACTCTCTGGCATTGCAATTTGTGCTTATGTACAGGAAAGTTACTTGTCTTCAAGATTATAAAACTTCATTAGGAGAAACAACAATGGCCATTTGTCTCCTCCAGGGAAAGTGTTTTGGGTTGCTCAAGGAAGATTTCAGAAGATATCTTGAAGGTTTTCAAGTAGCACATATAGTCACATCCTTTAAAAGTTAATTTTAGGCCATTACTTATCTTCGAAAAGGGAATAGGGCTGGATGGCCCAATATCTGTCAGTTAACATGCAAATGGCAACAGGTGGCATGTCGTGGAAACTTCATGCACTTATTCATCCATCCATCCATCCATCCATCTGTCCGTCCATCCGTCTGTCCATCCATCTGTCCATCCATCCATCAATCCATCTGCCCCTCCATCCATCCATCCATCCATCTGTCCGTCCGTCCATCCATCCATCCATCCATCCATCCATCCGTCCGTCCGTCCGTCCGTCCGTCCGTCCGTCTGTCCGTCCATCCATCCGTCCGTCCATCCATCCGTCTGTCCATCCATCCATTCGTCTGTTCATCCATCCATCCATCCATCCATCCGTCCATCCATCCATCCGTCCATCCATCCATCTATCCATCCATCCATCCATCCATCTATCCATCCATCCATCCATCCATCTGTCCATTCATCCATCCATCCATCCATCCATCCATCCATTCATTTGTTATTTTACTTACTCAACAAACCAACATTGAAAGCTTTCTATGCACAGGAGTTTTTGTTAGTTTCTGGGTGCAAAGAAAAGTAAAACACACATCTTACAGTTTGGTGGGAAGACAAACATAAACCGACAATTATAGTGCAGTTTAATTCTAGAAAACTATATGAAATATATGAAATACCCAAATCAGTAACGTGTGAACATGAGGAGGTCCTGTTCTGCCTAAATCCCTTCCAAAAATTTGATTTAAAGAAATAATCTTTTGTTTTCCCCAAGAAAAAGTAAAACATGCGTGTAAAGCACACCCACTTACTGTATTTATAAGTCCAAGGAGTGGGGACATTTTGTGTATACTGAACATGAACACTGCATCTCAAATCTTAGATTGATAGTAATCACGATGAATAAAAAGTGATAACAAAGTTGGAAAGCAATTTTATGGATTTAAAGAGAGATTTAACATTTAGCCTTGGAAACTTAGGACTCATATGAAATTTATTTATAATGGGTTATTTATGGCAATAGATGTTTTTACACAGTGGTTTTAATTGAGGATGCATGGTATTAGGAAATAAAACTGTCAATCTTGCTATCATAAAAGAACACAAAATTCAAAGATATGCCTTTAGATAAGAAATTATATCCCCAAAGCAAAAATCTACAACTTTGAAATATGTTCAATATTAGAAAACACTCCATAAAAGAAAGCAACATATTTCAAGCAGCATATTGTAACTGATGACAGTTAAAAGTAAAATGCACAGGAAACTTTTTTTTAGCATAAACATATGTTCTTTTTCCAGCAAAAAGCATCCAGTCTTTTCCACTCCATAGAAAATCCTGCCATTTTGTGGGCTTTCAGAGAGAATGGCATAAAAATAGATTATAAAATGGCATTTCCATACTAAGCCTCAAGATTTTATATTTTTATTGTCGTAAATATTTATGGTAAAGAGCACAATTAATTATGCTTCATGAAACTGAAATAGTTACCTACATAAAATTCAGACCCTGAGATTTCTTTTAAGCATACACAGGCTTTGTTCCTTGACAGGCTATGTTCTTCTGGCTCCAAAAATTACCAAATTCTGGAAGCATTTTGGAGACGATATTTACATAGCAAAGTCACCTAAATGGATTAGGCCTGAAGTTGATAATTCAGTTGTCAAATATGTATTTGTATCACACAAATGTCACCATTTTCCATTTATTTTTGCATCAGGTACTCTCCTCCAAGGAGTAGAACGTAGACCATGTTAGCTTGTACCTTCTAATGCAGGAAAACTTTAATTAGATATAAATGAGTTTGATCAATGAATAATTAACTTCTATTAAAGTTTAAGTAGATTGCCTGATCTGGACATTCTATTCTGCATTTAATCTGGTGTATGTCTGATAATTAGTGTTAAAGCAGTTGGCACCAGAGGGGATCCTTCTCAGTCCTCCCACTGAACAGAGTTGAGTCAGCCAAAAAGTTCATTTTAGAGTCTACTTTACAGGGCTCAGCAGACCATTGTGTACAATTTTACCGTGAAATTTAACCTACAATAGGCAGATCATGCTATTGACATCTGAGAGGCTACAAATCTTATGGACACAATAGGGATCCTTAATCGAGCCCCTTCGAATACTATGTTGGCCTATTTCTTGTGATCTGAATTTTTAAGCACACTTTCAAGTGTCACTAAGCAATTATCGATACACTTTTTCATATATTCATTTGTAGTTTATTTCACACCTATGATGAACTGACAATGTGCTATTTGCTGGGCATAAAAATATGAACCAAACCTAATGCGATTCTTCAAGGAGCTTATAATATGATACTCAGAAGGAAGCCTGAACATTTGAAATGCAATGTGAAAGTGCTGTATTAAAGGTTTGTAAGGTGCTGAGGAAGCATAGCACATGAAACCCCTAACAATACCTGGCTGAATAGTAATTAACAATCTGAGCCTTTACGAATAATTTTTTCTAGCAACAGTTAATCCCGTGAATGTAAGAGTGGGAGGAGATTGGGATAGGCAGTACTGTGAGGCGATGTGAAGGTGTCTTATACTTGAGATGAGGCTTATGAGTGTTGTACTTAGAAAGTTTTTCTCATGTACATATTTGATCTTTTGGTCTCAATTATCTGAGTTAATTTATTTAAAAATTAATTGAGCAATTACAACATACCTGGTGATATTGAGGGTAAAGGTAAAAATAAAATAAGACATAGATCCTTATTTTTCTCTTATATTATAATTTACTATAATGGTATAAGTTACTGCTAATAACATGAAAACTATTTTGGAGACATAGAAGTACTGAATTTTTAGCAGCCCTGACTTTTCCTAGAGCTTGCTTTGAATATCTACCAGATTTGATATAAAAGAGCTCTAAACGAACATAAATTTGAGGGCAGCAAATAGATTTAGATTTTTGGTGTTTATGCTACCCATCTTATTATTCACTAACTTTAATACAAAAAATGTGTAAAAGTTACTTCTGTGGATATCTATAACGTTCTTTCATAAAACTGCTACCACTTATTAATATAGAAGGTATCACATTATAAACTTAAAAGTTTTATACCATCTCATTGATCATTTGTAACAATCATATGAGGCACATATGTTATTTCATTTTAAGATCAGAAAATGGAGGTGTCATGCCAGACTGCCTATTGACTCCAGTAGGAATAACACTGTGTCCTAGAGGCCAAAGAGAGCACCCAGTGGATGAGAGATAGGTTTTAATGGGGGTACTTCCATACAGGGCAGTCTACGGTGGTGGGCTGGACAGGAACAACACCATTGCTGTTGGTTTAAAGCATGCAGTGTATATAACATTTTCACATAGCATCCTCCACCTAGCAACCTTCATTTAACCCAAAACAAAGCGCCTTGATCCCCTGCATGGCCTGTGTTCCATGGGATGGGTCAGGGGTTTGTATTTCTTTTTATTTATTTATTTATTTATTTATTTATTTATTTATTTTTATTTTTATTATTATACTTTAAGTTTTAGGGTACATGTGCACAATGTGCAGGTTAGTTACATATGTATACATGTGACATGCTGGTGCGCTGCACCCACTAACTCGTCATCTAGCATTAGGTGTATCTCCCAATGCTATCCCTCCCCCCTCCCCCCACCCCACAACAGTCCCCAGAGTGTGATGTTCCCCTTCCTGTGTCCATGTGTTCTCATTGTTCAATTCCCACCTATGAGTGAGAATATGTGGTGTTTGGTTTATTGTTCTTGTGATAGTTTACTGAGAATGATGATTTCCAATTTCATCCATGTCCCCACAAAAGACATGAACTCATCATTTTTTATGGCTGCATAGTATTCCATGGTGTATATGTGTCACATTTTCTTAATTCAGTCTAACATTGTTGGACATTTGGGTTGGTTCCAAGTCTTTGCTATTGTGAATAGTGCCACAATAAACACATGTGTGCATGTGTCTTTATAGCAGCATGATTTATAGTCTTTTGGGTATATACCCAGTAATGGGATGGCTGGGTCAAATGGCATTTCTATTTCTAGATCCCTGAGGAATCGCCACTCTGACTTCCACAATGGTTGAACTAGTTTACAGTCCCACCAACAGTGTAAAAGTGTTCCTATTTCTCCACATCCTCTCCAGCACCTGTTGTTTCCTGACTTTTTAATGATTGCCATTCTAACTGGTGTGAGATGATATCTCATTGTGGTTTTGAATTGCATTTCTCTGATGGCCAGTGATGGTGAGCATTTTTTCATGTGTTTTTTGGCTGCATAAATGTCTTCTTTTGAGAAGTGTCTGTTCATGTCCTTCGCCCACTTTTTGATGGGGTTGTTTGTTTTTTTCTTGTAAATTTGTTTGAGTTCATTGTAGATTCTGGATATTAGCCCTTTGTCAGATGAGTGGGTTGCGAAAATTTTCTCCCATTTTGTGGGTTGCCGGTTCACTCTGACGGTAGTTTCCTTTGCTGTGCAGAAGCTCTTTAGTTTAATTACATCCCATTTGTCAATTTTGGCTTTTGTTGCCATTGCTTTTGGTGTTTTAGACATGAAGTCCTTGCCTGTGCCTATGTCTTTTAGGCAGGAGAAGGAAATAAAGGGTATTCAATTAGGAAAAGAGGAAGTCAAATTGTCCCTGTTTGCAGATGACATGATTGTATATCTAGAAAACCCCATTGTCTCAGCCCAAAATCTCCTTAAGCTGATAAGCAACTTCAGCAAAGTCTCAGGATACAAAATCAATGTGCAAAAATCACAAGCATTCTTATACACCAATAACAGACAAACAGAGAGCCAAATCATGAGTGAACTCCCATTCACAATTGCTTCAAAGAGAATAAAATACCTAGGAATCCACCTTACAAGGGACGTGAAGGACCTCTTCAAGGAGAACTACAAACCACTGCTCAATGAAATAAAAGAGGATACAAACAAATGGAAGAACATTCCATGCTCATGGGTAGGAAGAATCAATATCGTGAAAATGGCCATACTGCCCAAGGTAATTTATAGATTCAATGCCATCCCCATCAAGCTACCAATGACTTTCTTCACAGAATTGGAAAAAACTACTTTAAAGTTCATATGGAACCAAAAAAGAGCCCGCATCGCCAAGTCAATCCTAAGCCAAAAGAACAAAGCTGGAGGCATCACGCTACCTGACTTCAAACTATACTACAAGGCTATAGTAACCAAAACAGCATGGTACTGGTACCGAAACAGAGATATAGATCAATGGAACAAAGCAGAGCCCTCAGAAATAATGCCACATATCTACAACTATCTGATCTTTGACAACCCTGAGAAAAACAAGCAATGGGGAAAGGATTCCCTATTTAATAAATGGTGCTGGGAAAACTGGCTAGCCATATGGAGAAAGCTGAAACTGGATCCCTTCCTTACACCTTACACAAAAATCAATTCAAGATGTATTTCTTTATAAATAAGGAGTGGAGCTCCATGTTGGCCAATCCTGGATTCCTCAGCTAAGAACTTTGAACCAATACTCTTCTTAGACCATGGAGTCGTTCTTGAGATATGCTTCGCTTACGGCTGTCAGATGCCTCTGCCATACAGGAGGCCTAGTTCAATAGCTGGCTCAAGGTTACGTATCGAGTGAGTAAAATAATAGGGGTTCAAAGCAGGATCTCTCTGAAATTAAAGGTAAGAATCTTCTCTATTATGGATAAGGTGACCATACAATTAATTTTACTAATCAGGACACTTGTGAAAGGGACATTATTAATAACTACTTAATAATCACTCTGGGAAAATTGGTATAGACCAATATTGTTCAGATACCTGGCACCGTGGGACACCTAGTACTGCCTCCCACAAATCTGTGCTCAGCTCACACTTCATACGTTTCTGTTGGTCACACAGATTACATGGTAGGGCAGCACACACACACACACACACACACACACACATATATATGTATATGTATATATACATATATGAATGTACATATACATGCATATGTATATACATATGTATGTATATGTACATATGTATATATCTATGTACATATATATGTACACATATACACATATGCACGCATACACACGTGTGTATATGCACGCATACACACGTGTGTATATGCACGCATACACACGTGTGTGTATATACGTGTGTATATGTAAAGATATATACACACACATATGTGTATGTACTTTTTTTTTTTTGAATTGGAGTCTCACTCTGTCGCCCAGGCTGGAGTGCAGTGGCGCTATGTCCACTCACTGTTACCTCTGCCTCCTGGGTTCAAGAAATTCTTTGCCTCAGCCTCTAGAGTAACTGGGATTATAGGCGCCCGCCACCACACCAGGCTAATTTTTGTATTTTTAGTAGAAATGGGGTTTCACCACCTTGGCCTGGCTGGTTTTGAACTCTTGACTTTGTCATCCACCCGCCTTGGCCTCCCAAAGTGCTGGGATTACAGGCGTGAGCCACCGTGCCTGGCCTAAGGCAACATATAGTTTTTAACCTCTCATCCTCCAATGGTAACCTGAGCAACTGGAGAGCTGAGATGAATCTTCTTCTTCTGCAACCTCTGCCTCTAGGGTTCAAGTGATTCTCCTGCCTCAGCCTCCCGAGTAGCTGGAACTACAGGCATGTGTCACCATGCCCAGCTAATTTTTGTATTTGTTTTTTTTTTTTTTTTTCGAGACAGAGTCTTGCTCTGTCACCCAGGCTGGAGTGCAATGGCGCAGTCTCGGCTCACTGCAACCTCCACCTCCCAGGTTCAAGCGATTCCTCTGCCTCAGCCTCCCTAGCAGCTGGGACCACAGGCACACACTGCCATGCCAGGCTAATTTTTGTATTTTTAGTAGAGACGGGGTTTCACCACATTGGCCAGGCTGGTCTCGAACTCCTGACCTTGTGATCCGCCTGCCTCAGCCTCCCAAAGTGCTGGGATTACAGGCGTGAGCCACCGCGCCTGGCAATTTTTGTATTTTTAGAAGAGATGGAGTTTCACCACGTTGGCCAGGGTGGTCTCGATCTCTTGATCTTGTGATATGCCAGCCTTGGCCTCTCAAAGTGCTGGGATTACAGGCATGAGCTGCCACGCCTGGCCGAATTTTATTCATTTCTATATGTGTATGGGAAAATTAGGAGAGCAATATGTATTTGCCTAATGAATGTGCAAACTGTTGATTTTGGCAAGGATAAGAGATGGGGGAGATGGGGATATCTCTTGGGAATTTATATCAGAGCCAGGTGGGGGTTCAAATTGCATATGTCCTCCGGGAATTTTGATTCTTCACCTCCTTTCTCAGTGTGGAAGAATCATTAGTTAATAAGTCACTGCAGCTGAAGCAGGGAGTGCCTCCTAAGGTACATTGTGTTGAGGACCACTGGTTTAACCATTTTGGAATGAAACGGTTTTTGTGAGGAGTGCTGTTTTACAAAAGCCACTGCAGCTCCTTAAAGAAAGGTATATAACACCCTTTTCTTGGTGGGGAGATTAGTTGAGCTTGAACAACTTAATAAATTTTTTTAAAAACCTTAGTTTTTAAAACTATTGATGCATTTTGGGTAAATCATACTATATAGTCAGGGGTCATTTAATGATGGGGATGCATTCTGAGAAATGTGTCTTTAGGCAATTTTGTCCTTTGCAAACATCATAGAGTGTACTTTTGAAAACCTAGATGGTACAGCCTACTACACACATTGGCTATATGGAAAAGTCTATTGCTCCTAGGTTCCAAACCTGTACTGCATGTTACTGTACTGAGTACTATAGGCAATTGTAACACATGGTAGTTGTGCATCTAACCATAGAAAAGGTACAGCAAAAACATGGAATTATAATCTTATGTGACCACCCTCATATGTGTGGTCTGCCTTTGACAAAAATGTTATTATAGGCACATAAATGTATTGGATAATTTCCCTTTCTTTAGACCTCCATAAAAAGAAAAATAATTGTAAGGTATAGGTTGCAGAGGATAAGGACGTGGAAAAGGTAACACATTAAAATTCTTTGGAAAATCTCAGGTAAGTAAAAGATTAATTAAGAATATTATGTAGGCTATGTTCGAAACAATGCTCATAATAAGCAAGTAAGATTTAAATGCAAACATTAAATTTATGAATTGTCACAGGACCTCTGAAAGAGAAAGCTCATCTAGCTTAAGTAGGAATTTTCTTAAAATATATGTAATCTGTGAAAGTTGTAAGATTCAAAATACAGTCACTCGTGTCAAACTCTGGCAAATGGAGCTGAGGAAGACCATGAAGAGAGGGCTCTCTCTCTCTCTCTCTCTCACATACACACACACACACACGAACACACACACACACTTCTCCTGATAACAGGAGCTAGCTCAAGATATGCTTCCAAACAGCAGCTTACTACCTGGGTCACACAAAGGTAGCTAGCAGCACAAGGACAGCTAGCCACTCATGCAAGAACATTTGCCCGGCACATAATCTCACAAACCCAGTGCAGGACTACAAGGGCCTTGTAATGCCAAGATTGAAAGTCCTACCTAACAACTCTTGACCCTTGCCAATCAACTCTTGTAAGATGCTGCCAGTGGCAATAGGCTTTCTTCCAAAACAACTTGTGTAACCCCCTCTCTCTCCAGTGAAATCCTATACTTCCTTTGTTCTCAGAACAATCCACAGACCAAACCAGTCTGTGCATACCAGACTGCAGTCCTATTTCTTCATTTTTTCCCAAATAAATCTTTTTAGCTTGGAGATCCAACTCTCTTTATATTTTTATTTCAAGTTGAAAAATCTTATGTGTAATCATGAAGTTGCCACAAATGCACAAAGTCTTTAAAATTAAAAGAATCTATATATACTACAGGAAAAGGGCATTTGCTGTGGCTCCACGGGTGGGGGCAGGACTTCCGGCAACATCATTTTGGGCTTTCCATTTTTGCAGGGCGTTTGGTTTTTTCAGGCTTTCAGCTGTTGCGTGGGGTTGTCTGTCTGTGTAGTTGTTGGAACCATGCAGCTCCATGGCCAAGCAGGGAAGGACAATTGGAGAATGGTGAAATCGCTTTTGCAAAGATTATGAGGAAATTATGACAGCAAAAGAGGTCTGACATAACCAACTCCATCCTGCCTTTAACCTCCAAGCTGCCCTTGTTTATTCCTGAGAGTAGGTCAAACTAACTTTGGGAGGAATTTAGTTTATAGTTTAGCTTTAAAACAACAGTGATAACAGCCCCACCCTGAAACAAACCTCCTCCTTGCCTGGGGACAAGACCGCCTTTGTAAAACTAACAAATTAGCCACAAGATTAGAAATTATGGTTCAGGAGTCACACAGCCAGAGGCCGTTAAGATTCCTAACCTCCCTGATTGTTCCTATGGATAACATCACTATTGTAAGACCTAAGATTGGTGTTTGAGATTTTTCAGACCCTGCATACTGATGAATCAGCTGGCACCACCCAGACTGGTAAACTGGCTCATCTAGTTTTGTGGAGCCCACCGAGGAACTGACTCAGAGCAAGAAGACAGCTTTGACTCTCTGTGATCTCCTCCCAAACCAACCAATCAGCATCCCCCACTTCCTAGCCCGCTGCCTGCCAAACTATCTGTTAAAAAACCCAGCCTCTGAATTTTCAGGGAGGCCGATTTGAGTAATAATAAAACCGCAGTCTCCCTTTTGGCCAACTCTATGTGTATTAAGCTCTTTCTCTATTGCAATTCCCCTTGTATTAGTCCGTTTTCACACTGCTGATAAAGTCATACCACAGACTGGGCCATTTACAAAAGAAAGAGGTTTAATGGATTCACCATTCCATGTGACTGGGAAGGCCTCACAATCATGGCAGAAGGTGAAAAGCACGTCTCACATGGCAGCAAACAAGAGAAGAGAGCTTGTGCGGGAAACTCCCCTTTCTAAAACCATCAGATCTTGTGAGACTTATTCACTATCATGAGAACAGCACAGGAAAGACCTGCCCACCTGATTCAGTTACCTCCCACCAAGTCCCTTCCATGACACATGGGAATTGTGGGAGCTACAATTCAAGATGAAATTTGGATGAGGGCACAACCAAACCATATCACCCTTCTTTTGATAAATTGGCACTATTTGAGAAGCAAACAAAAAGAACCCATTGGGTGGTTACAACGGGACCTGCCTCAAAGCCTTTTTAGGCCTGGGACAGCATTGGGCTGAGCCCTCAGGAATCCCAGGTTGCTGCCTCCTGACTAGCTCTCTCCACACATACGATTGCCCCAGGGCCAGGTCTGTGACCATTTAGAGTGTGACTGCCATCTTCATACAAAAGGAGTGGGGACAGCTTCACCTGACCCAGAGGACACTGTTAGGTGGGGGTGAGGCTGGATATCTGTGGTGCGCAGTTCTCACGAGGGTGTCCTGTTCTTAAGACACAGCTGGGCTACCTGTTGGGTAACTGGCAGGATGGTGAAGAGTCACTTGTCCTAAAGCATTAGCCCCATACATCTTCTAGGTACTGCATAGGGAAGAATCCTGTATGACTGACAGAGTAGACATGACTCCAGCCATAGTGGAAGTCACAGGGGTCCTGTACATTGTTGCAATCAGAGTTTTCTGAACCTGGACTCATCCTATTGCACAGCTGTCATGCATTACCAGCAGCCAAGGCTCTGCTGAAAGGCACTTACACAGAAGTTTTTTTTTTTGCTAGGAACGGAGGGCTAGAAGACTATGTTGTGAACATAGTGTTTCTTTAGAATGAGCTTCTGATACCATAAATACCAAGGCAGGGGTAGTACCAATACTGGCCATGCAGAAACCATGTGTGTGTATGGCATGTGGAAGAGGACTCTGGTTCAAGGCAAACCTTCAACCAGCAACAGGTGCAGTGGAAGGAAGGGAAGCCCATCCGAAGTGAAGAGAGCAGGACCCTGTTTGTAAAGAGCTGCAGAGACCACAAGTCAGAGTAATCCTCTTCCATGTGGGGGCTGGAGAGGATTTTCTTGCCAGCTCAGACCTTCTCCGCCACTGAGTCACTCACAACAGGGGAAAGTCACACAGGAGCCCTGAGTGTGTGGTGGCCTTTCCCACTGTACAAAGGCATTACAAGTGCAGTGAACATGTGCAAGCCTCTGGCCACAAATCCATACTTGTTCAGCACCAGAGAATCCACTCTGGAGAAAGGTCTTAGGACTGCAGAGAATGTGGGAAATTCTTTAGCTGCATCTCCAGTCTCCAGCTTGTCTGATGACTCAGGTGGAAATGGCCCTCATTGCTTTCTAGTCTCTGCTGCTAAGGTTGAGGACAAAGATGGTGGAATGAATATGGGTTTACCAAATTATTTTCTTTTCTAAAATAAATGGAAAATCTAGATTTTTTTATATGAAATACATTATTTTAATGTTTTATTGCAGTACAACTGACATATTGTAAACTATAGCTTTGATGTATACCATTTTATAAAATCAGAAATATATATACAAGTGAAACTGTCACAACAATCACAATAAGGAACATATTCATTACCTCCAGAGTTACCCTGTATACCTTTAAAATGGCTCTTTCTCTATCCTCCCTAGCCCCATTTCCCCAAGAAACCATTGCTGTACTTTCTTTTACTATTGAGTTATTTGCCTTCTCTAGAATCTGAATGTATTTAACTCTTGTCTGATTTCTTTCATACAATATAATTATTTTGAGATTCTCTTTTGCAATGTGTGTGAATTGTTCATTCAGTTTATTGCTGAGTAGTATTCTATAAAATGAATGTATTTTATAGAATACAGTTAATCTATTTTTGTTAATTGTCATATGGGCTTTTGATTTTTACAATTGAAGCTGCTATGACCATGATTTTATAGGCTTTTGTATGAATGTATACTCTCATTTCTCTTGACTTCAAATCTAAAAGTGCAATGCCTTCCTCACAGAATATATGAATGTTTATCTTTTGAAGTAGCTGCTCTACTGTGTTTTATGGTGTTTGTGCCATTTTATGTTTCCAACAGCAATATAAAATAGTTGCAGTTGTTAAACTCTTTACCTAAAACGTCCATTGTAGTTGCTTCCAATTTTTTGCCATTTAAATAGGTGTGTATTAGTTTGTATTAGTTCTTCATTGTGTTTTAACTAACATTTCTCTAATGACTCATGGTTTTGAGCATGTTTTCATGTGTTTATTTGCAACTCACAAAGCTTTTTTAGTCAACTGTAAATTCCTATATTCTGCCTGTATATTTTTAAATGTTAGAACTTCATCCATTTGTCAGAGATGTCAATGACTTATTTTGTAAATGGGCTAATAGAAGAATATTTTATCAAATTTTTGTGCTTGTCACAATGTAAAGGTACAGATGTGGTATACTTTTAAATTTCATCTGTACCGTTAGTGTATTCCCCAACACTTTAAGCCTATACAGTCAAACAATGAATCAAGCCCTGGAAAAAATAAAAGAACAATAAAAATTGTACATTCTGCTCCTAGGCTTCCAAGTATGCAGAGAGGCATGTTCAAAGATACTTACTCTAGCAAAAATGTGAAAACAAATTCCCTCAATAGGGCATTGGTTAACTGTATCATGGGGAATCCACATTGAAGAATACTATACAGTATGGAAAAGATGGAGGTAGATTTGCAATGTGTTTCTGTGAATCATTTTCAAGCACATTGTAAGAATAATATGCCAAAGATTTTCATGTTTGTGTTGAACAGTGCTACCTTTACAATTAAAACTGGTGGCACTGTGGCCAGGCGGGATTATTTTTATTTTATATTTATACCTTCCCTAAATATTTAGGTAGGGCAATCAGATTTTAAATATGCGTATCATTTTGGACAAGAAGTAATCTTGAAATGCATGAATTTTAAACAGAAAATGTCAACATTTTAGTGATTTATTAAACATATTATGGTATGATCATTTTTATTTTATAAAATAATTTATACCACTGTAGTGTTATCATTATAAATTACTAACTAGTATAGTTCTGTAAAGAGGCCACAGGGCTAGAAGTCAGAAACCGTAAGCTCCCACCATAGTCCGCCTAGCCAAATTCTCATTTAAAATTAAATACTGGTTGAATAATACCAAGGGTGTGAAAGCAGACAAGACTAAAAATTGTCAAACTGAGCCAACTGTAGAGTAGTAAAAATAAAGATATTTCTCAGAACCTATCCTGTAGTCAGAGTCACTCAGGACCTTTGTATAGTTTTTGTTGTTGTTGTTGGTAGTGGATTTTTTTGATTTGTTGTAGCTTTGCTGTTTTGTTTTATTTTTTCCTGTGGAGGAAGAAAAGATTATGTTACATCTGGCAAAGGGTCAGCCCTACTTCTGAGAGTACCAGGAAGAAAATAAGTAGAGATGCCTGTGAAGGGGTTCCATGTTGCTGCCTCTGGTATGAGGCACAAAGTTCATTGTTCCCGCGTTCCCTCTCATTATGTTTTCAAACAACCCTCTCTTCATCGAAACCCAGGCCTTTCCATTCATACATGTGCCACTTATTATATAATACTTTGTGATTCTTTTATCATGATTAGGGGGCGTGTGTCTGCATGAGCATGCTTATTTGTGCAGTATCGATTTTACTGCACTCTTAAATGGTTTTAGCTCTTTAATTTATGTAATAATTGAGCAACTTTACTTCAAATTTTCCTTAAAAATAAGAACCAGGAAGTGACATTCAAATGGAGCAGTGAAGAGGAAAGTCTATGTAACAGAGGGAAGATTTTTTGAATTTCAAAGCAGATCCTTTGAAATAACCCAGTCAAACAAACAAATAAAAGACAAAAAGAAGAAAAACTGGACAAAGCCTACATGACATGTGGAACACCACAAAATAACCAAATATTTTAATTTTCAGAGTTCCAAAAGGAGAATAGATGGCTACAGACATGTAAATGTCTGTAAAAGATAAGTAAATCTATGTAAAAGATAATAGCTGAAAATTTCCCAAGTCTTGCAAGAGATACAAACATTTAGGCACAGGAAGCTCAAAGATCCTCCAATAGACTCAACAATACCAAAATAAAAGGTCTTCTCAAGGCCCATTATAGTCAAATTGTCAAAATTCAGAGACAACTTCAAAAACAGCAAGAAAAAAGCATCAATTTAACTATAAGGGAATCCCTATTAGAATAACAGCACATTTCTCAGTATAAATATCACAGGCCAGGAGAGAATTGGATGGTATGTTCAAAGTGCTGAAGGATTACCAAAAAAAAAGAAAAAAAAACCCTGCTGGTCAAGAATACTATCTCCAGTAAAGTTATCCTTGAAAAATGCAAAAGAAATAAAGTCTTTCCCAGACAAGCAAAAATGGAGGGATTTTTTCACCACTAACTTGGCCTACAAGAAATGCATAAGGGAGAACTACATCTGGAAATAAAAGGATGATATCTACCATCATGAAAACACACAAAGGTATAACACTCATTGGTAGAGCAAACACACAAAGTAGGAAGAGAATGGAGTCTAGTGTTACCACCACAGAAAACCACCAAACTGCAATAATGAGCAACAAGAGAGGAAGAAAGGAACAAAGGATATATAAAATAACAAAAAATGGTTAACAAAATGACAAAAATAAGTCTTCACTTATTAATAGTGGTTTTAAATATAAATGGATTAAATTATTCACTTAAAAAGTGTAGACGGGCTGAAAGCATTGAGAAAAAAAAGGACTCAAATTATGTGGTGCCTATAAGAAACTGACTTTGCCTGTAAAGACACTTGAAACAAAAGGATGATATCTACCATCATGAAAACACACAAAAGTATAACACTCATTGGTGGAGCAAATACACAAGAGATAAAAAGAAGAAAAGCTGGCCAAAGCTTACATGACATGTGGAACACCATAAAATAACCAAATATTTAAATTTTCAGAGTTCTGAAGGCTAAAAGTGAAGGAATGGAAAAAGATAGTCCCTGAACATGGAAACCCAAAGAAGTAGGATTAGCCATACTTACATCAGATAAAATAGACTTTAGGTAAAAAACTATAAATAAAGACAATGAAATGATGAATGATAAGGGGGTCTATTTGGGAAGATGTAACAACTCTAAATATATATGCACCCAACACTAGAGCACCAAATTTATAAAGCAAATAATATTCAATCTAAAAAGAGAGAGGCTTCAATACAATAATAATGGATAACTTCAACACTACACTGTCAGCTTTAGACAGACCCTCTAGACAGAAAATCAACAAAGATACATTGAATTCAAACTGCATTTTAGACCAAATGGACCTAACAGTTACAGAACATTTTATCCACAGATGCAGAATATGCTTTCTTTTCACTGGCACATGGAACATTCTGAAGGATAGACCATATGTTAGGTCACAAAGCAAATCTCAACAAACTTTTAACAATTGAAATTGTGTCAAATACCTTCTGAGACCACAAGCAAATAACACTAAAAATGAATAACAAGAACACTAGAAATTAACAACAAGAGAAAATGTAAAAATGTATTTTTTCCATTTTACTTGGAAAATAGATAAATACAAGGAAGTTAAATAAAATGCTCCTCAATGACCATTGGGTCAATACAGAAATTAAGAAGAAAATAAAAAACATTTACTGAAACAAATGAAAGTTGAAACACAACATACCAAACACAACAGCAAACGCACTGCTAAGAGGAAAGTTTGTAGCAATAAATGCCTGCATCAAAAAATGAGAAATAAATAACCTAATAGTGCATCTCAAGTGACTGCAAAACATAGAACATGTTAAATCCAAAATTAGTAGAAGAAAAGAAATAATAAAGTCATAGCAGAACTAAACAAAATAGTGACTAAAAAAACCATACATAAAAGTCAACATTGCTTAATGATAAAAACTCTCAAAAAATTAGGTATAGAAGAAACATAACTCAACACAATGAAAGCCATAGATAACAAGCCCCCAGCTAATATTGCACTACATTGAGAATAGCTAAATGCCTTTCATCAAAGAACTGGAGCAAGACAAGAGTGCCCACTTTCACCACTCTTATTCAACATAGTACTGGAAGTCTAGGCTAGAGCAATCAGGCAAGAGAAACAAAGAAAAAGCATTTAAATTGGAAAAGAGAAAGTAAAATTTCTCTTCTCCGGAAATGACTTGATCTTATATATAGAAAAGCCTGAAGACTCCACCAAAAAAGTAAGAACTGAGGAAAAAATTCATTTCGAAATCAACATGCAACAATCAGTAGCTACACTTTCACTACTCTTATTCAACATAGTAATGAACTAGCTGAAAAAAGTCAAGAAAGTAATTCCATTTGCAATAGCTACAAAAAAATACCCTAGAAATAAATGTAACTGAGGAGGTAAAAAACCTCTATGAGAAAACCTACAAAACACCAATAAAACAAAAAAATGGAAAAGAACACAAACAAGTAGAAAGACATCCCGTTCTCATTGATTGGAAGAATTAGTATTGTTAAAATGAGTGTACTACAGATTAAATGCAATCTCTTTTGAAGTACCAATGACAATCTTCACAGAAATAGAAAAAAATTATGTAATTTCTATAGAACTACAAAAGACACCAAATATCCAAAGCAATATTGAACAAAAGAACAAAGCTGGCAGTGTTACACTACTTGACTTTAAAATATATTGCAAGCCTACAGTAGCCAAAACAGCATTGTAATGGTATAAAAATGCACACATAGACCAATAGAACAGACTACAGAACCCGGAAGTGAATCCACATATTTACAGGCAACTGATTTTCAACAAAGGCGCCAAGAACATGCATTAGAGAGTGAATATCCTCTTCAAAAAATGGTGCTGGGAAAGCTGATATCCATAGGCAGTAGAATGAAAGTAGATTTCTATCTCTCATCACATACAAAATATTAACTGAAAATAGATTGAAGACTTAAATGTAAGACCCAAAGCTACAAAAGTACTATTAGAAAAGATAAAGTAAATGTTTCATGACATTGGTCTGGGCGAGGACATTTTGGGAAAAAAACTAAAAGCACAGGCAACCAAAGCAAAAATAGACAAATGGGATTACATAAAATAAAAAGCTTCTACACATCAAACATAGGAAACTATCAATGGAGTAAAGAGACTACCTACAGAATGGAAGTGAATATTTGGAAATTATTAATCTGACGAGGGGTTAATATTCAGGATATACAAAGAACTCAAACAACTCAATAGCAAAAAAATAATAACCTGGTTAAAGAATGAGCAAAAGACACAAATATTTCTCAAAAGAAGACATACAAATGTGCAAGAAAAATTCTCAACATGACTAATCATCAGGGAAATGCAAGCCAAAATCACACAAGATACCATCTCACTCCATCAGAATGGCTATGATAAAAAAACCAAACCAAAACAAAACAAAATGCTGTCATGGATATGGAGAAATGGGAACCCTTATGCACTGTTGGTGGGAATGTAAATTCTGCAGTTGGTTGAATCCATGGAGAAAGAAGCAAAGATACGGAAGGATGACTGTATACATATATAATTATTTAAGATTGTAGATTTGGGCAGTGGCTTGAATGTAGAAACATTTGAGTAATTAACCTCTTATAGTGAAGTGCTTAAACATGCATATGTTTCTCTCTCAACAAGATATTTCTTCTTTAGTCAACATGGTTAAGAAATGTATATATTTCCATTTTTCAGATTGTATACACAAGTGGAGTGTATCCTAGGCTTTTTTGGATGTTATGCAGTGTCATTAATCATCAGGGAAATGCAAATTAAAACCACCTCTCAACAATATGTTGAAGAGATAGCTGCACTCCAATGTTCATTGTGGCATTATTCACAATAATGAAGCTAAGGAAACAACCTAAGTATCCATGGACGGGTGAACTGATGAAGAAAATGTGGTATATACACGACAGAATACTATTCAGCCTTGAGAATGAAGGAAATTCTTCCATCTGCAACGACATAGGTGAACTTGGAGAACATTACATTAACGAAGTCAGCTAGGCACAGAAAGACAAACACTGCATGATCTCGCTTATATGTGGAAGTGAAAAATGTTGAACTCATAGAAGCAGAGAATAGAATAGTGATTGCCAGGGGCCGGGGTAAAGTGGGGCAGAATGAGGAGATATTGGTGAAAGCGTACGAAGTTTCTGTTCGACAGGGGGAATAAATTCTGGAGACCTATTGTACAGCTTGGAGACTACAGTTAATAATAATATAGTTTATAACAATTTGTTGGATCCTTGAAAATTGCTAGAGAATAGATGTTCAATTCTCACCATAAAACAATACTAAGTATGTGAGGTACTGAATGTATTAATTGGCTTTGTCTAGCCTTTACAATGTATACATATATCAAAACATTACATTGTATACCATAGATCTATATGATTTTTATTTGGCAATTATACCTTAATAAATCTGGGGAAAATATTGAGGTGACTAACTGTGGGACAGGGAAAGGGAGAGGCAAAATAAGATTAGAAGAAATTTTTCTTTTTTTTTTTTTTTTTGAAACATAGTCTTACCCTGTTGTCCAGGCCGAACTGGAGTGCAGTGGTGCAATCTTGGCTCACTGCAACCTCCACCTCCCAGGTTGAAGTGATTCTCCTGCCTCAGCTTCCCGAGTAGCTGGGAATACAGGCATTTGCCACCACATCTGGCTAATTTTTGTGTTTTTCATAGAGGCGGGGTTTCGCCATGTTGTTCAGGGTGGTCTTGAATTCCTGACCTCAGGTGATCCATCCGCCTTGGCCTCCCAAAGTGCTGGGGTAGCAGGCGTGAGCCACCGTGCCAGGCCCAGAAGAGAAATATTAAGATTGACAGAGTGGGGTTGTGGCAGAGGCCTGAGAAAGAATTAGAAGCTGGGCGGGGTTGGGGTAGGCAGGAAATGGAAATAATGAAGATAAACAAGAGGGATGAAGGCAGATTAGAAAATATAGGAAGCAAATATTTGATGCCTCCCTAAAGCCCACAGTCAATGAAAAGTCAAAGAAAACTTATTGGAAAAGAATTGCTGAAACTGTAGAACAATCTAGGAGGAATTACATAAATAGAAAAAAAAGTTTAGATGGAGGAGACTCATATTACACAAAGCCTTTATTGGAGAATAAGTAACAGCCAAAGCACAAAGAACAATGGGGTCAAATGATATTAATCATATTAAGTCCATGAAGTTTAAGGACAGACACTATTTGACTCTGAAAACAATACAGTCTCTATATTGTTCTCCTGTTCAAACTGGACCCGAAGCCTACGAGAATGATGCGTAATGCCAGAGAAAGTTAGATTGAATGAGTTTCATTGAAGTTTTTCTGTGATTAATTTATTTGTGGCTGCTACTGACCGATGCATGATTTCTCAGCAGTGATTTTTATATTGCTTTTTGGAACAACGTTATTTAGAATCACTCCTTGACCTTTGAACATCTTCAAGCTTATGTATTCATTATGTTCTATGTAATTTTGATAAATTGTTTTGTAATTGTCCTGTCATTTCATATTGCATCTCCCTGAAAATATTTTAAGTTCCTTGAGGTTAGGGACTTTGTCCTCTTTTTATGTTGCATTTATAAGTTATGTTTCCCTTTTTCTCCAGCATATTTCCTTCTTCTCTCCAAAACTTACACATGCACATATGCATATACACATATACACAATACTTTATATGTAGAAAATGATCTAATCATCTATCAAGACTTGGTTACTGACTAAAGACTGGAAAACTTAACTGACAGCTCTTATATTCATTAAATAGACAACAATTTTGTTTTAAAAGATAATAGATACATGTGACCTGATTATCAGGGAAAATTACAACTCTTAAAAATTGATAAAATATTTGGACTGCATTTGAAAGGAGTACTGTGTTGGGAGTTAGCACACATGAATTTTGGTTTTGGCTATGTCTCCCTGTGTGACATTCATGTAATCACCCTTGAAGTCAGCATTCTCACGTATAAAATGTAATGCCCTATTCAATGATATCTGAAATATCTTCAACATTTTATTAGTCTGTGAAAAAAATAGCTTGTTTTGGTTTGTTAATTGAAATTTTTCCAACTTTTTTGAGGTATAGTTGACAAAAATTGCATGTATTTCTGGTGCACAATGTGGGGTTTTGATTAATATATATGTATACATAAAGTAGCTTGGTTTTTTTTGTTTGCTTTTTGTTTGTTTGTTTGTTTTATTTTTGTTTTTCTTTTGAGACGGAGTCTCTCTCTGTCACCAGGCTGGAGTGCAGTGGTGCAATCTCAACTCACTGCAACCTCCGCTTCCCGGATTCAAGCAATTCTCCTGCCTCAGCCTCCCCAGTAGCTGGGACTACAGGTGTGTGCCACCATGCCCAGCTAATTTTTGTATTTTTAGTAGAGATGGAGTTTCACCTTGTTGGCCTGGATGGTCTCGATCTCTTGACCTCGGGATTCGCCTGCCTCGGCCTCCCAAAGTGCTGGGATTACAGGCGTGAGCCACTGTGCCCTAGCTTGTTTTTAAAAGGCAGTAATGGGGAATAGATAAATGACAGGTCAAAAGAGGGCAACTGAGTGCAATGGTGGAACAGGGGTTGGAAAATGGGAACAAGTGGAAAATGGGACACTGTGATCACTTTTCAGCTCTGCATCTCCAGTCAGTTCTCCACTCCTACTCCTTGGTTCTTACATCTGGTGAATTTGTCATCCAATTACTGAAACAGATCACTCCCCTTAAAAGAAACGATATCATTTTCCCTGTTCCACTTCACCTGTCATGGTGCTGCAGTGGATCATCTCACATTTGGCCAGCATGGCTTTCTCATCATGACTCTGGGCTCACATCCTCTCTGTTGATGTGTTCATTCATGTTGGCCTCGTGGCATGGGTATCACTAACAGCCTGCCCTCAGAAGAAGGGAGGTGGGAATAATTTTGAGAAGCAAGAATTCAAAAGAAGTGTCAGCCTATGTATCTTCATTAAAAGATGCCATAGTCCATTTCACTGGAGGCCACAGTTCTTGGACTCCAGAAAATGACACTCCAGTCGAGGCTTGCTTACTAGGACTAGGAAATTTGAGAAAGGTCAGTCAATCCAGGCTAACTAACTTCTCTCGGGGTCCTGAGTGCCTCCTCTCACTCTCACGAATTGACTTGCAGACTTTAGGAATCACATTGAAGACCCTGCTGTCCTCTAAACCAGGGGTTCCCCCCTGCTGCCCACAGACTGGTGCCCATTGGTGGCCTGTTAAAAACCGGGCCACACAGCAGGAGATGGGCAGCAAGTGAGCAAGTGAAGCTTTGTCTGTATTTACAACCCACTCCCTAGCACTTGCATGACCACCTGAACTCCATTTCCTGTCAGATCAGCAGTGGCATTAGATTCTCATAGGGGCACAAATCCTATTGCGAACTGTGCTTGGGAGAGATCTAGATTGCACGCTCCTTATGAGAATCTAATGCCTGATAATCTGTCGCTGGCTCCCATCACCCCCAGCTAGGACCATCTTGTTGCAGGAAAACAAGCTAAGAACTCCCACCGTTTCTACATTATGGTGAGTTGTAGGATTATTTCATTGTGTATTACAGTGTAATAATCATAGAAATAAAGTGCACAGTAAATGTAATGTGCTTGAATCATCCCAAATCATCCTCCCCCAACTTCCTCCGGGTCTGTGAAAAAATTGTCTTCCATGAAACCGGTCCCTGGTGCCAAAAAGTTTGGGGGCCACTGCTGTAATCTCACTTTGCCTACACTCATATCCTCAGCCACAATCACATCAGCTGCCTCTCATTCCCCACAGTTCCACCCCGCACCTCTTTCTGCTTACTCACATCTCTTTCTATGTCCTACTGCCCAACTCCATCTCCAAATAATTCTCTATGCCCAAACATGTCTTACTACCAAGCTGAACATGTGATATCTTGACTCCTTGACTTAATGCTGCCTTTAACACCTGCCTCAGCTGTGCCATGGGGACCCTGCCACACCTGGAGGGCTCCCCCAGAGGCAGTTACTCATTGCTCCTCACATTCACCTCTGTCAAATTCCAGGGAGGCTGCATTTTCCTTCAGCCTGATTGCTACATGCAGACTATTACTCCTTTAAAAAGTATGCGAAAGACAACTACTCCCCAAAACACACAAAAAGCCCCGGCTTTGCCAAGGCACACACTATATCCTTTCTATTCTTCCTTCTCATCATTTCCTGGGATCCATAGCCCCATCAGTCATTGGAGATCTTGAAGGCAACCTCACAAGTGTCTTTTCCCCCTGAGTCTTCCCACCAGCCTGGTATCTCTTGTATGGTCAAATTCTGATGCAATCAAATTCTACCTTATGGGTTTCCAGACTTTCCCAGATGGTGGTTTTCATTCGATTTTCACTTATATTTTAAGATCCCTCACAAAACCTTCCCTAGTAAAGTTGCTCATCTAGATTTTCAGGATCTCCAGCTCCCTGTTCCCTGTTTTTTTCTTCAGGTTTGTCAGTCTTCCACCTGTCTTCATTTCCTTTGGAGTCTTATTTAGACTTTAGCCCAGCACTATAAGCATTCTTTTCCAATGGCCTGAGCTCCCTTGCTGTGCAGTTTTTGTTGCATCTGATACCCAGATCACCTGATATCCACTTTCAACTGGGCATTGGACTGTAGCAGCTTTGATTTTTTTTCTAGTAAACTGTTGCACTTTCCTCAAAGTCCTCTTCCACTTGCTGCACACTGCTTAGAGAAAATGCAGCCTATTAATATCAGAAATCCTTCTGTTTCATGCTATCCAATTTAAATATCTGCCTCTGTCTTCCGCAGTTTTCTTCCTTTGTCTATGTCACAATACAAGAGGTGTCCCCTCTCCTGTCTAAAGCTCATCGTCCTATTTGTTTCTGGATCCAATATCCACTTGCGCCCACCCCCAGGGACATCTCTCACCTGAACTTTCCCCTCCTCTCTCTGTGTTTTCCATTCTCTCCCTAGAAATTGAATAGCTCTTATCAGTGATTGAATAACACAAGCACGCAATACACATTCATTAACATATCTTCATTATCTTAAAAACCTCAACTCTGTATCTCAATCATTAGCTGCTCTACTTCTTTCAATTTATATTCCAAGTCCTTTATGCAGTTGTCTTTATGTGTTTTATGCATTCTAACACCCTTTCCTCTCTCGTTATTCTAGCAAATTCTGGCTTCCACATCTCCTTTCAACTCTCAAACCTCCTCATCTTTTAATCCAAGTGTCAATTTTTATTCTTACCTTCCCAGACAGAGTGTGGCAATGATGACTGCTCTCATCTTCTTGAAATGCTTTCCAGCCTGGATTTCATGGTATGTTATTCTTGTTTTTTCTTGCCCATCTTCCTGAGTCTTCTTTATAGCAATCACTTTTTCTGTCCTGTACCTGTCGCTTTTGTCCTGGGCCTCATTCTTTTTTACTATCTATACATTATTTATTAATTTCTTGTATATCAATACTCTAAATTACTGTTTCCAAGCTGATTTTTCTCACATATATCTTTTTCTTGTTGGATAGATTTTCCAGACCTCTGTGGATACTGATTTACTGAATTTCTCCACTTGTGTGACCCACAGATACTTCTAACCCACTACATTCAAAACTGGACCACACTTCACCTCCTGCAGCAACAGCCTCTAACTCAAATCCTAGCCTCAGATTTCATCATCCCCAATTTATTATCCATGCTGAAAAGTCACCTTTCTATACCATTCTGTCATGTCATTCTCTTCCTTAAAAAGCAGTTTCCTTGCATAAAAAAAGTAATTAAACTCAGAGTCAAAAGCCCATGCTTGCCAGGCGCTGTGGCTCATGACTGTAATCCCAGCACTTTGGGAGGCCAAGGCGGGTGGATCACGAGGTCAGGAGTTCAAGACCAGCCTGGTGAACATGGTGAAACCCCGTCTCTACTGAAAATACAAAAATTAGCTGGGCATGGTGGTGTGTTCCTATAATCCCAGCTACTCGGAAGGCTAAGGCAGAATTGCTTGAACGAGGACCCAGGAGGCAGAGGTTGCAGTGAGCTGAGATGGCACCACTGCACTCTGCCCTGGGCTACAGAGTGAGACTCTGTCTCCAAAAAAAACAAACAACAAACAAAGCCCCTGCTTAAATTTATAAACACTTATTAAATTTCCACACACATTGTGCATTCCAGCTCTGTATATCTTTTGCATATAGGCCTTCAATGCATCATTGTCTCCTCCTGGGACACTCTTACTGCTCAAATAATTTGGTTCAGTTCTACCCATTTTCTTAGATGAGGCATCACTTCCTCCAGTAGCTATTCCAGATTCTCCAAAACACGTTCACTTGGAATTTTTTAATTCCAGAGCACCTGCCTTTACTTATGATAATGTAAACCAAAATTAAAATTCTAAGGCCCTGGTCAGGCACAGTGGCTCACACCTGCAATCCCAGCACTTTGGGAGGCCAAGGTGGGCAGCTCATGAAGTCAGGAGTTTGAGACAAGCCTGGCCAACATAGTGAAACCCCATAAAAAAAGAATACAAAAATTGGCCAGGCGTGGTGGCATACACCTGTGGTCCCAGCAACTTGGGAGGCTGAAGCAAGAGAATCGTGTGAACCCGGGAGGCGGACGTTGCAGTGAGCTGAGATTGCACCACTGCACTCCAGCCTGGGCGACAGAGCAAAACTCCATCTCAAAAAAAAAAAAAAAAAAAAAAAAGTCAAAGGCCCACACAACCATCTGAATGGACTTTCTCAGCCAGGACACTTAAAATTTAACCTGAGAGACTGGTTCAGGCCATGATGGGAAGGGGGGTCGGACAGGCCTCATTATACATCTCCAGTACTAACATCAACACAGATTTTAAGTCTGATTAGAATCACTTTACAACCTATTATCTCTGAGGCCTGCTACCTGAATGAAGTCTTCCTCAGCAAATAAGAACTTTGGTCTTCACAACCTCTTATCTGAACCGAGACATTTCTTTCTTTTGATTCCAGGTCTTTAGATAAACTTAACCAATTGTCAACCAGAAAAATTTTAAATCTACCTGTGAGCTGGAACCCCCCCCCGCCACCCCCCCCCCCCATTTCACATTGTCCCACCTTTCTGGACCAATTCAATGTATTTCTTAAAATTAGTTGATTAAAATCTCATGTCTCCCTAAGATGTATAAAAGCAAGCTCTGCCCGACCACCTTGGGCACATGTTCTCGGGACCTCCTGAGGGCTGTGTCGCTGGCCATGGTCACTCATATTTGGCTCAGAATAAATCTCTTCAAATATTTTACAGAGTTTGACTCTTTTCATCAAGAGTAGCACAATTTCACGTTACAATTTCTCCTTTCTTGTCTGCATTTCTTACTTCATTACAAGTTCCTTAAGAGAAAATGTACACCTTTTTTACTATTTTATGTGCAGTGCCCAGGGCAGTGCCTGGATAAAAGAGATGTTTATTCAATATCTACTGAGTTAATTAATTAACTCTTTCCTGCCATTGAAACAGGATTTCTTCAGTGCTGTATCGTCAGCTGGAAATCTCTGCAGCTGCTGTGATCTCTGCCTGGGGCCTCACTTTGGCCTGTTGGACTCTCTCCACCTGGTCAGCCTAGCAGGCTGCACTCAGCTCATGCCTGCCTGGATGCCACACCCACTATGGCTCCAGGCATAGCCCATGGCTAAGCTGGGTGTGCCATGAGCAGCTTCCACACGGGGTACCAGTGTGTAGATGGATGGAACATGGTGGTTCCCCAAAACGTGGAGATGCCAGCAATTGTGGAGCCCCAAGGGCTGTTACAGATCTTGCTTGGGAAGTCCTGAGGTCTGGACTTCCAGAAGTGTCATGCTCTTCACTCCCATAGTTTGGAGAATGGAAGCGTGTTTCAAGCTCTTTTATTCCCACTGCTTGAAGCTTGGTAAATGGGGGCGTGTTATAGCTCTCTCATTCCCACAGTTCAGTGGGTTCCAGATTCTTGTCCTGTGACCAAGAGGAATGAGGTATGCAGACAATGGAGAGCAAATAAGGCAAAATAGAAGTTTATTGAGTAAAAGAAGGAAAGCTCTCAGCTGTGAGAGGGGACTGAAAGCAGGTAGCCATGTGTAAGGCTGAGTTTGGGGTTTTTATAGGCTTGGAATGAGGAGGTACAGGCTGTTGGTAGTCTTGGAAAAGGCAACATTCAATTGGTTAAAAACCGTTATTCAGAAAGAACCAATTGGGAAAGAGTGGGCAAACAAGTAAAGTTCTCACTCCAGTCATGGACTCTATCCGGAACTAGCAGCTCGGTTTTCAGGATTTAAACTATCTTTGGCTGGAAGGTTGGGTTTCACCAGGGAACCATCCCTGTATGCCTAGGAATCTGTCTGTCTCCTATCACTATGATCTCCCCTCTGAAGAGGTACATCTAACTGCTGTCAGGATAGGAATGGTGACTGCTCTCACTGCTTCATGCTGACAGAGGCATTGTTTGGGAAAATGGCAGTCAGGTCTCTCTCAGAGACCTATCTAAGGGTCCCTGGTAAAAAGAATCCATCATCTGAGGCTCCATTTGCATGACCATTTGGAGTTTGATGGCCTCTAGGTGAGAAGAAGCAAATCTTACAAGGAGGTTAACTATGAATAAACCAAACATGAGTATTATACAAAGAGGAGATAAAAGGAAAAATACCTAGTGCCAAAGAGAACAGAAATAGGAAATAAATAGACTAACCACTCTGAAAACAATGTTGTGGCCAGAGCTGTTTCACTCAATGAAAGGTATTAAATTTCATATGTGGAAGGGAAGTTAAACTTCAGAAGAGAGATAGCTGTTTAAGGGAGTAGATAGTATCATGGGCCTTTGGGAGTAAGTGGTCCTTGGCAAAGATGCCTTATAATGAGGAACAGTAAGCATAGGCAAGACTATAAAGAGGACATCCATGGAAGGTTAATTATTGACATTTATCTTTTGTGATCTTTAGCTTGAGCTCTCTGATTTTCTCACAGTGGTGCTTCAGGGGCTCTTCTGGGTCAACAGGTAATTCCATCAGCTTCCCAGGCCTGTACTCAAGTATAATCTGATAATCTATTTTAGTGACTTTCACTGGCAAAGGAGTAGAACAAAGTACAGTGTAAGGTCCCTCCCACTCTGGACCTAGAGAAGGAAAAAGAAGGAAGGGGCTTTACCAGTACTAAATCCCCTCAGTTAAATGGAGGTGACCCTAGTTCACAGTGTTGGACCTCCAACAGTTGTTTCAGTTCCCATTGGAAATGGGCCAAGAAGTTATATGTTTAATCAAATCAGAGGTTTCTTGGTCTAGCAAGAAATATTGATGGGAAAAGGCCGTCCATACATTTCAAAGGCACTTAAACCCAGCTTTGAATGGGTGTTTCTAACACGTAGTAGGGCTATGGGGGAGAAGAGTAATCCAGGGGAGATGAGTCTCTTGAGACAGTTTTCTGAGATCCCTTTTAATAATATCATTTTTCTTTTCTACCTTTCCCGAGGATTGTGGTCTCCAAACACAATGAAGATAGTATTGTATGCCTAGTAACCTTGAGACCCCCTGGTTGACAGCCACCTTGAATGAGGGACCATTACTACTCTGGAAGTACTTAGGGAGTCATAAGCGAGGGGTCATCTCACTAATTAGAACTTTTATCACCTCAGAGACTTTATCTGCCTGACAAGGAAATGCTTCTGCCCAGTTAGTGAAGGTATCTACCCATTCAAGGAGATACTGGGTGGCCCTTGTCTTTGGGATATGTGTGAAATCCATCTGTCAGTCTTCCTTCAGGTAGCCTACCATTCTTTGGGTTCTGGTGGGCATAAACCGAAACCATCGATTGAGGAGATTATTTTTAAATCAAGTCTCACAAGTATTAATGCCCTGTTTACCATTGTTAGCAGATTTTTACATGAGAACAAACTTTGGGCCAATTGATAGTTTTGTCCTTACGCATGTGGAAGGCTTGGTGAAGGACTTGAAGAACTTAGCATTGGCTGGAGGCTGGTAGTTGAAGTTGGCCATCCTCTCATTGCAGGCATCCTGAGGACTGAAAGGCATATACCTAAGAGGTGGTCCATTTAATTTCTGCAGGAGAATATTGAGGTTATATTTCTTTTATGGAGCCCTCCCAGATCAGAGGGGGCTCAAGCGGATTGGAAATCTGGGGCCCTTTTGCTGCTGATTTAGCTGCTTGGTCTGCCAACTTATTCCCCTCAGCTATTTCATCTGTCTCCTTTTAATAGCCTTTACAATGTATTACTGCCATTTCCTGTGAAAGGAAAACCAAGGATAACAGTCTGTTAATTTCCTGATGGTATTTAATGGGAGACTCATTAGCTCCCTCTTTCCAGATTGTGACATAGGCATGATGGACTAGGAAAACATACTTAGAGTCAGTATAAATGTTAACTGCTTTTCCTTTGCTTAATTCAAGCACCTTCATGAGGGCAATTAGCTCAGCTAGTTGAGCACTTGTGCCCAAGGAGAGAAGAACACACTGTCAGTAGTGCCATTCAGGGTGACTATTACATACACTGTTTTATGAATACCTTGTTCTACAAAAGAACAACCATTTATTTTAAAAAATCGAGTCTGGTTTCTCTTGGGTGGTTTCTTTGAGGTCCTCCCTGGCTGCATAGTTTGCACTATTCTCTATTTGCATTCATGTTCAAGCTCCCCATCCCCAGCTTCTTCCCTAGGAGGTTTAGGGAGGAACAGCTTCTTAACTGGACTTCAGATCCCTCTACTAGCAGCACTTGATATTTAAGGAGGTGGCTGTCCATTAGCCAGAGACTCCTCTTAGAAGACAGCAGTCCTGCCACATTATGTGGGGCATAAACAGTTAAGTTATTCATGGTTAACTTAGTATCCTCTGGCACCAGCAAAGCTACCAGTGCAACTATCCAGAGACAGGCCAGCCATACTTTAGACAGTAAATCAAGCTCCTTGCTTAGGTAGCCTACAGGCTGCTGGGCTGGACCTCAGGCCTGGGTTATAACTCCCAGGGCCATTCCCTTCCATTCTGATACATAAAGATTGAACATCTTCCCTGTGGGAAGACTAAGGGCTGGTGCCTCAAGCAAGGCTTGTTTCAATTGGTCAAAGTCCCTTTTAGCCTCTGATTCCCGAATTAGGGAGTAAGTCTTAGCTGCCTGACTATCCTTCATTAGGTGATATAAGGGACGAGTTATTTCACCATACTGAGGTATCCATAATCTGCAGAATCCTGTAATGCCAGGGGTTTTGGGGAGGGGAAAGGAGGAGATGGGCTTAATCCTTTCTTCACCTAGTTAAGAAAGGTTCCTTCTGACAAAACTAGACCTAGGTACTTCACGGAAATCTGATGGAGCTGAGCCTTAGATTTTGAGAACTTATATCCTCTGTTAGCCAAAAAATTAAGAGGAACCTTACTGTTCTCCTGAGAGACTTCCTCACTTCCTCAGTTGGGGCACAAAGGGTAATGTCACCTATATATTGTAAGACTTTAACATGAGGATAAAGGAAGTCAGAGAGATCTTTTGACAACTCCTGCCCAAACTCTTGCCACATGTGTAGTGTTAACAGGTGCATCTTGGGGATTCCGGGGTTTGTAAGCCTGCCAGGTGGCCATTAGAACCTCTGCCTTTTTTTTGGTGCTGTCTTGGAATTCCTGAGGTAACACTGTCCAGGTTAGCCAGGTGTTCTGGTTGGAGAGATTCTTAAATATGAACAAATACTGGGATTTGGGGTGTAGCAGTATGCAGAAAAGGGCATCCTTTAGCTCCACGACTATGAACAACTTAGTTCCCTCAGATATTTGAGTTAGCAGTTATAGAACTGGGAACCACCAGGTGAATTGAAACCACAGCCTCCTTAATGAGGCAGAGGTCCTGGACCAGTCTCCATTTCCCATTGGGTTCTGTACCACCAATATTGGGGTATTACAAGTACTGTTGCAAGGTTTGAGGAGGCCCTGCGTCCTCAAGTTATCAATGATGGCTTCTAGCTCTTTCCTAGTTTCTAGTTTTAGGGGATATCATCTCTGGTTAGGAAGGGAGGTGGGATCCTGAAGGTCGATCCAGAAGGTCGATCCAGACTGGTATGGCGCTTGTGGCTTGGCCAAATTTCCCTTGAATTGCCCAAACATCTGGATTAATATTGGTCTCCACCAGGGGGAGGCAAAGAGTCTGTCCTGAAGCCATAAGAATGGTGGTTCCCACATGAGCTAAAATATCCCTGCTTAGCAGAGGAGTTGGGCTTTCAGGCATGACTTAAAACCATGAGTAAACAAGAGGTCTCCCCAACTACAACTAAGGGGTTGGAAAAAATATCAGGTTAAAGGCTTTCCTGAGATGCCCCTCACAATTGTGCTAAGGGAGGAGGGGAGGGCCGGATGGGAGAGAACTGAAATGGCCACTCTGGTATCCAGGAGGAGGTCTACCTTCCTCCCTTTGACCTCCAGAATCACTCTGGGATCCTGGATGGTAATGGTGGTCTGAACCATCAGAGCCAGAGAGAGGAGTCCTGGAACCCATCAGTCCTGTTGGACCATTTGGGACACTGGCTCTGCACCTAGTGACGTCTGTCTGTGAGGACAGTCAACCCTCCAGTGATCCCCATTGCAGATTGGGCAGGGTTGATGTGGCTTCATCATGCTGCCTGGGCAGTCCTTCCTAAAGTGTCTTGGCTTGCCACATGTACAGCAGTTAACAGGTACATCTCGGAGATTCTGGGGTTTGTAAGCCTGCCAGGTGGCCATTAGAGCCTCTGCCTTTTTCTTGTATCTTCTTTTCCTGTCTTGGGCCTCCTCCCAATCCCTATTTTAAAAGAATGGGGTGGCCGTTTTCAGGAGGTTCTCTAAAGTACTCTCTGGTCCCATGACCTTTGGGTTCCTTAGACTTCATCTATGCCATGGATGTGAGTGAGTCCTCCACCTATGAAGGGCGAAGGCCTAGTTGGCAGGGACAGTCACCCTCACCTATGCTGTGCCCTGGCTTTTTTCTGTAACTGTCTCTGGGTCCCTCAGATCTAGTTTTGCTTTTAGGGCTCCAAACCAAAGCTTGGAAAAACCACTGGAGTAATGAAGCTGTGAAACCAAATCCTCCTGAAGCAAAGGAGATAAAGGGAGTCATGGGAGTTGGGGACGTGGCCTAATGAGATGCCCTGCCAAAAGGAAAAAAAACATCCCTCTTATAGAAAACTTCCTGTATTCGCAGAACTATGTTGACTCCTGACATGGTGGAAACAACAACAACAGCAACAACAACAACAGCAACAACAACAACAACTTAAATGCTGAGGAGTGAAAGTGCCTGGTAGAAGTAGCCTCTTACCCTATGCTAATGGATTTCTTCAACAGGGGGAAATAAAACTCTCTTAAATGTTACATCTTTTTGTTTCTAAGAATAGACAGAAACAATACTGCTCTGAATTACACTTCGGATGACTAAGCCAAGTGCTTACTCTCTTCAGTAATATTATCTCTGTGGTTTGCAGCAACACTCTTACATTGTATGTAAAGAGGGGTAGCAGCCATGGCATTCTCAAAAGAAAGAAAATGCAATATGAAGATCATCAGTCTTGGTGCCAATACCATAACAGGTTGTTGGGGACTGGAGCTGGTCTGAGAGCCTTTGGATAGCACCAAGGTGTGGCCTTGGCCAGATACCTTCAGTTGTCCTAGGACCTTATTCTGATCCCATGTGACAGCTAGACCTCCATGAATGGAAACTGAATTGAAACAAAGCCAACATTCCCAACACCCAAGGGTGATGGGGGATTGACAAAGTCCTCCCCAGCAAACCTCTCCTCTGAGTCTTGTAAACCTGGAAGCCACACTACTCACTCTTAACTGGGGAACAGAGGCCTGGTGTTTCATCTGCTTTTGGAAAAAAAAAATCTGAAGACAAGAAGCCTCAGAATGACGGTAAAGAGTCATAGGTTTGAACTTACCCTTCTGCAGATCCCGGACAAGATCCCAGAAATGACACAGGATTCCTTCAGTGCCACTTTGTCAGGCAAAAATCCCTGTGGCCACTGTGACCTCTGTCCAGGGCTTCTCTTGGACCCACTGGGCTCACTCTGCCCGCTTGGCCCAGCAGGCTGTGCTCAGCTCACACCCACTTGGATCCTGTGCCCACCACAGCTCCACACTTAGCCCGTGGCTGAGCCAGGCATGCTGCGAGTGGCTTCCACATTGGGTGCCAGCATGTAGAAGAGGAGAACGTGGTGGCATCCAAAAACTCAGAAATGTCAGCAATTGCAGCACCCCAAGGAGTGTTATAGCTTTTGCTTGGGGAGTCCCATTATCTGGGCCCTCAGAAGTGTCACGGCTCTTCACTCCTGTAGCTCTGCAAGTGGGAGCATGTTACGAGCTCTTTTATTTCTGCCACTCACAGCTTGGTGAACAGGGATGTGTTACAGCTCTCTTGTTCCCACAGTCCAGTTCTTGTCCCATGACTAAGAGGAATGAGGTATGTGGACAATGGAGAGCAAGTAAGGCAGAATAGAAGTTTATTGAGTCAAAGAGGAAAAGCTCTCAACTGCAAAAGGGGACCAAAAGTGGGTAGCCGTCTGTGAGGCTGATTGCAGGGTTTTTATATGTTTGGAATGAGGAGGTGTAGGCTATAGGTAGCCTTGGAAAAGGGAATATTCGATCGGTTAAAAAGCATTATTCAGAAAGAACCAATCAGTAAAGAGTGGGCAAACAGGAATAGAAGTTTTCACTCTGGTCATGGACTCTATTCAGAACTGGCAGCTCAATTTTCAGGGTTTAAACTGTCTTTGGCTTGAAGGTGAGGTTTCACTGGGGACCTGTCTCTGTCTGCTTAGAAATTTGTCTGTCTCCTCTTGCTACTTTGTTGTAATTACTTGATTCTCTGTAAAGCTTTTTATTTAAAAAAAAAAACTCATTAAATATCTTCTTAGAGAAAGAGAAGACAATGGAGTAGTATTTGAAATTTATTCTATTTGGAAAAATGTTTAATGGCTCAGCAAAGCAGTGGTTAAAAAGGGCAGGAATCAGATGCTGAATACATTTGAAATTAAAACAATGTTAAATATATTTTAAATAACAGAAAAGTAATAAAATCATTTTCCGAGTTTGATGATGTGATCACAGGCCAATAACAATAATAATAATAATAATAATAATAGTAATAATAATAATAATAAAAACAAAAACACAAAAGCATAAATTCATACACTATTGGGTCTTTATCAGCACTGGCAGGTTAAGGAAGGACAAGCTGGGCAAGCAAGGAATGAGGTGGGCAGATCTGGGTCAGAATCTTGGCCATATGATGTAGGAGTTACATTGGATTTTGTGTTAGTCTAAGTTTCCATATCTGTGAAATGGGAATAGTTAAAAATTACCTACTCTAAATCTTAACAGTGAAGATGAAATGAGATGATGTGTGTGTGAAGCCTGCACTGTAGAAGAAATTCAGTCTGTGCTGGTTCTTGTTGTCCCTGCCATTACTGCTTCCCCACTAAGTGTTCCTTGAAAGACTGCTCAGCACCAGGAAATGGGAGCCAACATTGAGAAGCAGAAAATGAGAGACAGTTCTAACAAAGCGATGTATGTGTTTAGCTCCTTTGATATGTCTGTGCTTTCTGAAATGGAATAAAGAAAATAAGTCCATTTGCAAAGGAATATTGTCAATAGACAATGCTGCTTGGAGAAAAGAATAGTACTTTTTGTAAACATTTTCTATAAACTGCTTTTTTAAAAAAGAGTCATGTATTCATGTATCTCCCCACTTGGGGAAAAATAATCTTTTTTTCTTTCAGTTAAGGCCTGTGAAAATTAAAGAAATGATGTCTGGAAATATCTTTGTGCTGCCTGGGGTAAATAGCTTTAACATGCTTAAAAATAGGTATTTTGTCTTTAAAAAATTTTTCACTTTAGAAGATGAGAAAAAAAATTTTAATGTTGCATTTTTTTCCCTGTAGCTTGAAATTTTCTTATTTCCCCTCAGTAAGTTTTTCATTCATTTTATGAAGTTAGAGATGTTGGAGTGAAATTAAAGGAGTGAGTTTATGAGTGATATTGTTAGTGGAAAATTCATTGTAAAACAGACAAGCTCACAGCCAATAGCTTAACAAGTACTGGGCTCACTGAGACAGCAAGTGTTACAGGTGAGACGTAGTCACTGAAAGGGTAAGGTGTATATTTTTTTTCCTCAGAAAGAGGAATTTCAGTGTTGTATTTGGAGAAAGAATGTGAAACCACGAAGCTAGCTATCATCAATTCACCCTCCACAAAAGTTGTGAATCCCTAGTTCTCACAGTTTTGAGAGTCATTTGTAAGCCTTTTGTGTTATTGAAGAAGATTTAAAAAAGAGTGGGTAGAAATTAAGACTTTAAATCACCATCTCATTGAACTTGAGATAAATTATTATGGTGCTATTTTCAAAACTGTATTCATGGGTTTTCAAGAAGGTTAATGAAGGTTTCCAAAACAAACCAACCAAGCAGAAGACAACTAGTTTCGGATCAAATGCATTTTGCTTTACTGAAGGCTACCTTGAAGCTGTCTGTATACAAAGAGGGATTTACTGTGCAGTTTCCCAAAGGTTGTATCACCTGGACTGTTTTTATGGTGCATATATTTTGTGATATACAATTGCTGAGTGGAATGTAGTTTGGAAAATGGTGATATAACAGATAGTTTGACACTAGGTAGGTCCTCTGAATTTGCACCGTCAAGGACAGTTACATAAATCTTATCAATAAAGAAAGGCATATTCTGAAGCCTTGGTGTTTGAGAGAAATAAAATGAGGAAGAAACTGTTTATCTTTAAGTAAATTCTAAATTTATTAAAATAGGCCTTCTTCTTTCCATTTTCTTTGTGGGGGTCTGACCCGCAGACCCTGACCCAACAATGAATGAATAAAATACACTGACACATAGATATTCTGCTTTGCCAGTCCAGCTGAACATCCGGGCCACTTACAGACTCCACGCAGAGTCCTGTAAACAGTTGTGACCATGGCCATGACCAGCCAGCAAGACTTGCATTTATTCAGTAAAAATTAATTGACAAAGGCTTGAGTCAACACCACTAGAGGGTAACTGACATTGTGGACTTCCTGAGTAGAATGCATTTAAGCACCCACAGTAGAACAAAGGTTAATCTTAAGACCACATGAGTAAACAAGTTAGTTAGAGAAACTCCCCACATTCCTTTGTTTCTACTCTAATTTATTTAACTAAAGTAAGGGTACTAGGCTGCCTTCAGCCTGATTTATTACCGAAGTTATGCAAACTCTCAGGCCTTCCAAGAGGGTTTGTGGCTATTAAAACTAAAATTTTTCCCACCAGCCTGACTGAACCCCCACATTCTTCACCTCTTTGCTAGGACAAGCTATGTTTGTCCCTCACCCTCTGATTCCTATGGCACCCTCTACTTGTTCTCCTGCAACTGGTTTTGAATCCTATCCAATTTGTCCCCTGCATCGCAGCCAGCGTTCTTTTCAAACATCAAGTCTGTTCACTTTTTATGAAGTCTTCATTGGCTGCCATCCAGAATCTGTACCATGGCTTTACTAAGCCTTGGCTAGCCTGTCCTCTCCCCACCTCCATGGTCCCATCTCACATTATTCTCTGTGTTGTGCTCTGCGTTGACCTTTCACTACCCCAAAACTCCACCTTGTCCCTCACTAGGCTCCTAAACATGCAGTCCCCCAACTGTTACCCCTTTTCCTCCCACCCAAACCCTGTTTCTCTTAGGAAATTTATTCTCATGGTACAGATTGCACCTCCAAGGTAATTTCTTAATTTCTTTGAGGAGGTCTTTGCTGATCTCCCTGAATAGGTTAAACACTTCTCCTCTGTGTGTTTATGACACCTTTCTGATTTGTGCACTGATGACTGAGGCAATTGAGCTCTTATTTATGTGATTAATAATTATCTACTTCCCCCTAGACAGTGGGCTGCATAAGATCAGAGACCTCATCTGTCTCCTGTCATCATTGTATGCTTTGTACATAGCACAGTGCTTGCCACTTAGGAGTATTTAACAAATACCTTGTTTAGTAAATTAGACATTTTTAGTCTCCCTAATGAACTAATAACTCTGAAATAATATGAAATAAAATAATAAACTCTGGTGGAAGGGAAACTATTCTGAACCATATCGAGGCTTCACAAACTTGACCAGAAGCTCTCTAAAGAGGTAAACTCTCAATCTCTCAATCCATTTATATTACATGCTATGCATCATATATATGTGTGTAGCCAGGCACAGTGGTTCACGCCTCAAATCCCAGCACTTTGGGAGGCTGAGGTGGGAGGATCACCTGAAGTCAGGAATTCGAGACCAGCCTGGCCAACACGGTGAAACCTTGTCTCTACTAAAAATACAAAAATTAGCCAGGCATGGTGGTGCACACCTGCAATCCCAGCTACTCAGGAGGCTGAGGCAGGAGAATCATTTGAACCCAGGAGGTGGATGTTGCAGTGAGCTGAAATTGCACCACTGCACTCCAGCCTGGGTGACAGTGTGAGACTCTGTCTAAATATATATATGTGTGTGTGTGTGTGTGTGTGTGCGTGTGTGTGTGTGTGTCTGGTGTGTATAGATATAACATGTTATATCTTTACGGGCATAGCTTCATGAGCATGTGCAGGTTCACACACACAGAATATGTAGGAATCTGACTTGTTCCGGCGTGTTTTCACTCCATGGAAGTCATGCTCTAGTGACCATAAGGCTAATGTGAACTTCTGCCTGAAGGAGAGGCCCAGAGCAAAGCACTCCATGGCATGTCAAGACCGTTTCATTGACTCGATTGTCTAATAAGTATTTTCATTTAAACCACAGCCTGTGTGGCTCCAGCTCACCCTTTCCTTGCAACACATGTTCCCTGGGAAAGATCCTCCTCAATTACAGACACTGGCGCGCTGCTGCTGCCCTTTGATGACTTTTATGGCTCCCTCTTCCTGTCAGTTTATTGCTCTTTCTTTCCCTGTTATAAAGCAAGTCATTTCCTGCATTTTATGAGTCCCAAGCATGGATTTCTGCTCATAATTAATCCGTGCACAATCCTAGCTCAATGCTAACTCAATGATATCTTTGAAGACAGGAAGGAGCACCTTCCTTTTGGAGGGACCTAGAGAATGAAAGGATAATTGAGAATAATTTTCCAAACTGTTTTGCAGTATATATGCCCTGACTTTATCCAGGAGCGGCTTGACAGGGAATGAGCCCGAGTGCCTTCCTGGAGGTCTTCCTCTTTCCTTCAGACTTCACATCAACAGGCAGCTCCTGTTGACTGCAATGAAAGAGCTGTCACTTACATTCCATTCTCTTACAATATGCCGCTCATTCTTTCATTTGTTTCTGAAGTTGCTAGTGGGAAAAAATATTTATTTTCTATTTTCTTTTGAGACTGAGGCAAATTTTTTTTTCTTTCTTTGCTTTTCTTTCTGAGCTTGTCTAGAAATTTTACTGTAGTCTCTGTAAATACCATGTCTTCCTTACCGGAACCTCTTCTTTATGCTCTACATTTAAGGCTCATTCTGAGCACAGGATGAATCTTGAACTGAAAGATAAGACTCTAATAATTATGTGTATTCATTTGAATTTTTTTAACAGATGAAAAATACAAATATGTACTGGGCATATGAAGTAGGCATGCAATAATTTTTGTTGAGTTAATAAATCAATTTTAAGTATCAGACATAGATTTCAAGTCTAAGACTACTTAGTTTTGAAATAAAAATACATATTTAGTTCAGTTACTTCAACTAATTTTCTGGTATGATTTTATATTTTATGGGAATAGCACAATTATTCAAGTTCTGCAACTCTATCACTTAATGTTTGCTACACAACAAACCATCCTCAAACTCAGCAGTTAGAAATAATAAATATTGATTATTTCTCCTGACTGTATGAATAAGCCAGGAAGTTATTCTGATCTGAGCAGATCCAGCCAGGATCAGTGAACCAGGAAGTCTTCACTCATGTCTCGTGCCTGGGGGCTGGCTGGTCTAAGGGGTATGGTGGGGGCTCTTAGCTGATTGGCTCACTTCTACTCCCTGAAGTGTCCTATCTTTTTCAACAAGCTATTGCAGGGTTCTTATATGAGGACAGCATGATCCTCGGCAGCATGAGAAGGCAGGACCTATTGCACGAGCACTTTCCAGCCTCTGAGTTTGCCACGTTTGCTCTAGTTCGTTGTTCAACACCAGTCATGTGAGCAAGCCCCGATGCGGTGCGGGGGTGGGAGGACTATGGAAGTGCAGGGAGACAGGGAGGTAATTAGAGCAGACATTTTGCAAACAACCTACCATGGTGACATATGGTCAAACATGAAGAAAGTTTAAATTACGATTCATGGTTATGCAACTCACATCTATTTTATAGATAAATGACCTACTTTGTAGCAATATTTTTTTCTTTCTTTTTCCTTTTCAGGGATGCAGCTTGAACCACAATGTAAAAAGATGTATTCAATAATAATGTTATGATACAATTGCAGGCTGAGTATTCCTTATTCAAAATGCTTGGGACCAGAGTGTTTCAGATTTCAGATTTTTTCCACATTTGGGAATATTTGCATACACATAATGAGATATCTTAGGGATGAGACTCAAGTTTGAACATGAAATTCATGTATGTCTCATATACTCCCTATATACGTAGCCTGAAGGTAATTTTATACATTACATAATTTTGTGCATGAAACAGTTTGTGTACACTGAACCGTCAGATAGCAATGGTATCACTATCTCATGTCCATGCTCAAAATGTTTGTATTTTGGAGCATTTTGGATTTTGCATTTTCAGATTAGTGATGCTCAACCTCTACTATATATAAGACTTTTTTATGGAATGATGCCAATGCCAAGGTATTAAAAGTATAATAAGGAAGAGAAATAATTTATATTGTCCTTATAGAAACATAGAATCCCAGTCTTTTGCTGTCAATAAGCTATTTCTTCTTAAAACCTAGAGCTTGGCATTGAAAGGTGTCTTAATGTGTTGGAGACAGCAGTGGGTAATGTCAGCTTTCCTCCCTTAGGAGTTCTCGTAGTCTACTAGGAGAGGCAGGCTAGCGCTCAGATGATCACAATACAGTACGGTCACTACTAGGACAAAGGGTTCTAGGAGGTACTTTTGGAGAAAAGAAGAAGATTGAATCCAGAAGGTGAAGTAAGGGAGAGGTCAGGAAAGACTTAAGACCATTCTCAAAAGAGATAAAGAGAGAGGTAAAAATAATGGCAGGAGCTTTCTGGTTAGAGGGGATTCAAAGGAAGGAGGAGTGAGCACCGTGAGGTCAGGGAAGCAGGCAGGTGGGCATGGCCACAGCAGAGTGTGCTGATTAGAAAAGGTAAGTCCCAGGGCACCAGGAGCAGGAAAGGGCCTAGAAGGAAGTGTGGCATGCAGTTTTGCTTCTTTTACTCATTTATTCCACAAATAACTACTGGAGGCCCAGTAGTTATGAGAGGAAGCATGTGGAGGGATGGGGCCATGGTGGTGAGCAGGTGCAGTGAGGGTCCTGAAGTTGCAGGAAGCTCGCAGCCAGCTACGGTGGAGAAGGTGGAGACCAGAACCACAGGCATGATCCGCCATGGCTGCACATCATGGCACCAGTGAGGAAGGAGGCTTTCACTGCATCCTGGAGGAGCAACAAAAGGATTTTTGAAAGAAAAAAAGATTGACCAGATTTTAGTTTGAGAACAAAAAGTGTCATGAAGGCCAAGGGAGGAAATAGTTTCAAGGAAAAGTTGATGTTGCTCATGTGTTAGATAAGGGTTAAAATATCTGCTGTGTTTACACAGCATTGTGTGGCCAATGAATATTTGCTTAGTTGTCAATGTATTTTATAGACATTTTAACACTTAATATTGATTATCTTCCAGGGCAGTTTAGATAGGACATGATGATAGAAAGCAGGTTGTGATATGGTGAGAAAGCACACATAGGGTTCAGTGGAAGCTCAGAATTTGGTCAATTAAGTCTACTAGAAGACATGGGAGACTTCATAGAACAAGCACATTTTGAACGAAAATCAAAGGCTAGAAGTATGGAGGAGACTGGCGTTTTATAATATAATGGGGAATAGGAAATATGCATATTTGATGGCTTATTAGATATTTAGTTATAAATTACAGAATTCAAAAAGCTTAAATTATAAAAGGTAAGGTTTTTTTGCCTCAATATCGGAAATGGTCTCATCTTCAGCTTTATATACATCCCCAGGCATCTGCCGATCATGTCTTGGCTCTGCTTAACCTCTGTGATAGCTTTGTCTCCAGGCAGGTCCTTCTTGCATGATGAGAAAGACAGTTCTCAATAGCTCCTGACTTCCATAGTTTTACACCATGGGATCTAAGAAAGGAGGCATTTTGCTCAAAGCATCCATATTGATCTCCAGATCTCTAGAAAGGGCAGTTAACTGATGCTGTTCAACTATGTTCTCAAGCCTGGGTTTGCAAATAACTACTGACTATTCGATTCTGCTAACAGTGGTTCTTTGGATGTAAAAACCTGCCAATCAGTCCAGGAAGTGGAGTACAAAAACGCGCATGGTGCCATGGTGGCAAGGGGGCTTATCACCGACATTGTTTAGGATTACAGGTTATGGTAATAAGCATAAGCAGATTCTTCTAACGTTTAAATTCTCCATAAGCAACGCATTCTTTTACTGCCCCTCTCAATTGGTACACAACCAAGTGAGAATTTTATTTTAACTTCTTTCATAGTAATTTTGACATTTTTGTTCTTTCAAGAGAGAAGGGTATATCATCTTGATTTTCTAGCACTTAAATGAATGACCGTTATTACAGAAGATAAAGTTCTAAGAAAGGATGTAAAAATTAAGTTCTCAAATAACCTGTAGGGTTAGAATGACTTTAGAGAAGCAAAATTGTGCAGCAGAGAGAAACCCACTAAATGAGTATTAGAATCACCTGCTTTTGAAGACAGTTCTGTTCCTATATTTAGCAGGATATACTTCTCATCATATGGTAATTGGTAGACTCTTTGCCATTTTTTAGAAGTTTTAGATCAGTGAGCACCTCTCTGTGGGAGACGTTTCTTTGGGTATTAAATGCTATTTCCTAAGACTTTAGGTCATATGCTGTTGACCTTCAGCAGCTATAGTGAGGTTTGGACACAAAGCATTTAGTTTGTTGCTGGTAAGTATGGCTTCTTTATGGTGCTACTTACAATGCAGAGAGGGAGAAATCAGTCATTGTAATGACACAGAGGCAATGGACGGAGGCTACAAAAGTCCCAAGCCCTGAGTTATAATTCAAATTCTGGTATTCACCAGGTGTGACCCTGAGTAATTCATTTCACTACTTTCTGATGCAGGTTGTTGACCCGTAAAATAAAAATTGAATTCAATCATTGCCAAAATCCACTGTAGCCCTAACAGGATATGAAGTAGGTCCCAGGATTCAAAATGAAGTCCAACATTAGCCCAATAGGAAATGGAAAAATTCCAGGGAACAACAATGAACTAAGCAGTTATCTTTAAAATAATTACTTTATTGCTGACATGTTGTCAGAGCCAAGCCAAGTGAGACGCGGCTGAACATTTCACATGTGTGCACCATGTGCTCAGTCTTTCTCATGGGCTTCTTGTCTCTACTGAACATGTGATTTTTTTTCTGCTCTAAGCAATACATGAAGCTGTTGGGGGAGGCTTGTGATTCTCTCCCCAGCCAGTGACCTAGTAAGCCCACCTGCCCTCACACTGAGTCACATGCTCCACCTGCCTTATGAATAATGAAGGCAATATTTCGACCTCAATCTGTTTCATTGTTATATTTTTCAAGTGGTTCTGCAATGCAGGTAAGGAAAAGGGGAGTTATATGTTGACACCCTCAGACTGCAAGAAATGGGGATATCGTGTGTGTGTGTGATGGCAGAATGTCCTATGATCAGAAAAACAAGGAGGATCCAAATGTCATTTTGCACCTGCCTTGCAAGACTGCCCCCCTGTGAAGCAGGTGGCATTTGCTTGGAACCCCAGCCTCTCCACTGCGTTCCTTTCTCTGCTCCCACAACTCCCTCTAGCCTGCTGCCACAGCCACCCCATCTATAACCTTTTCTTTTTCTCTCTCTTTCCTATCTATGGGAACCATTCTATTTAGACTATTTGTGAGTATTAACATAAAAAATGCTCTAATTGTCAAATTATATCACACTACAGTTTCTGGTTTCAATTTTGAAAACATTTCAGGTACTTGTATTCCCACCGCTTGAGTTAGAAATTATGTTCATTTGCAAATAGCAAAAACCCCAAGAATAGTTAAAAAAAAAAGATGATTCTTTTTTAATTTTAAATTCAGAGGATACATGGGTAGGTTTGTTACATGGATATATTGCATAATGGTGAGGTTTGGGCTTCTAGTGTACCCATCACCCAAATAGGAAACACTGTACCCAATATGTAATTTTTCAAACTTCACACCGTCTCCCCCCTTTTGGAGTCCCCAGTGTCTATTATTTTTATCTTTACATTGATTTATTTCATCTTTCATCCATGTGTACCCATTGTTCAGCTCCCACTTAAAAGTGAGAACATATATATAGTATTTGATTTTCTGTTTCTGACTTATTTTACTTAGGATAATGGCCTCCATCTCCATGGAAAATATGCAGCCATAAAAAGATGAGATTAAAAAATTTTATTTTTCTCACATATCTGGAAGTTGCCGTCCAGGGTTGGTGTGGTGGCTCCATAATAGTACCCAAAATCCACCCTGTTCTATCTTTTCCCCCAGGCATCTGCAAAATATGGTCATTCCACTTCCAAATCCCCTTCCCCACCCCAATTTCTCATTGGCTAGAACAGTTGCGCATGGAAAAGGATTCTTTGAAATATAATTTTGTTACTAAAAAAAATTGAGGTGGGTGGATGTTGAGCAGGCATCTAATAGTCTCTGTCAGCAACACCTGCTCTCATTCCCACAATAGGAAAGATGCCATCAACATAGGATAGGCCCACTCTGGAGTGTTTGAATTTTAACAGGGTTCAAACATATAAAATAATTACTTGGTAAATCACCAATCTGTATGTTAGATATCAGTCAGCTTGTAGTGTTGGCCATTTTGGGGCTGTGGGACCTCCTCAAGGCCCTTGCCATCATACCATGTGGGCAGGTAGTACCGGTGGGACAATTGACAGTTACTCTAATTAGAAGTATTAGCCCTTGATTTGCTCAGCACATTTGACCACAGACAGTATAATTTTTACATGAAATAAAGATGTGATATTATGTTGGTATAATAATGTTATCATCAAAATGTAGAACCATTAGAATACTGTAATGGCCCTTTGGACATTTCTACTTTTCTTTGACTATTGTCTGTTTTTGGTAGCTATATCCTATTGTTGCAGCCTAGAAGTGAGCTAAAAGGAAACCAGGTACAGGAGATGAACCCATCGATGTGGGTCCTTCTGCTTCTTTGTCCTTCTGCAGTCACTGGAAGGCAAAAGGGAACCCTTGCCCTGACTCTGGCCCTTCTGCTTATGAGAACTCAGAGGGCCCACGAACCAGCTGGGAAGAAGTTTCTTTCGAGAGGCTTTGAGATAAGGGCACTGCTTTCTCTTCGTTTCTTTTCCAACTGGACCGCTCTCCCCTTACCACTGCACACTGAATGTGTCTCTTCTGGGGAAAAAGCTATTTTTCTTAACCATTCAATAATTGCTTTGCTTGTGTCAAAGGCTATTTATAACTAGTTAACATAGCTTTTCATTTTGAACAATTACCCTATTATCATTTTTGTAGGATTGTGGTAACTTTCCATTTGGTTCTTGGTAGCTCACAGTGAGTGGTGGTTTCAAAATTTAGCATCCAATGTTTCTGACTGATGTTGTGGATGCCCCGGACTTGGGGATTAGGAAAAAGCCTCAAGCACTTGTATAAATGACTGCCACCTGCACAATGGAAAGAAAGGCAAGGCTGCCTGTGAGCCCATGTTCCTGATTATCTATGGAAGGTGTAAGGAGAACTGAATACATCTTCTCATTCTGCTATGATACTATGTCATTTTCCCATATCATTGTGGAACTCAAGTACATGTCCCAATACGTGGAATTGATATATTTAACTTAGCCAACTTTGTGTGAAGAAACTTCTTCACCAGAAAATTAGATACTTGAAGTTATTGGTATAATAATCTGTGTAATTTTATAAAATATAATCGGTAAAATGGATTCTGCAATATTTTCCAATCAATGTTTTACATTTAATAATTGTAAATCTTCACCAGAAATTCTCAGAATATTATTTGTAGAGTGTTGAGGCCACGATTACACAGAGGACCCAGCACTATGGGAGTCGATTTTATTAGCTAGTACAGATGAGTTAGCGGTGGAAGAGATCTGAGCTACCCCGAGTTACCGGCGGCAAATCTGTATGCATCTTCAGCAACTTCAATTCTTGCCTCCTCGGAAGAAAGAATTCAACTGAGGGGCATAGAGCAGAAAAAGAGACCACGCAAATTTCAGAGCAGGAGTGGAAGTTTATTTAAAAGGCCTTGGAACAGGAAAGAAAGGAAAGCTCACTTGGAAGAGATTCAAGAGGGCACGTGAAAGTTAAAGAGAGAAGATGAAGCGCCCTGTTTAACAGTGATTCTAGGACTTTTATAGACTCACCTATTTCCCATGATTCTTCCCTTGAGGTGGGCTACCTGCATGCACAGTGCCGTCTTTACCCTTGGGAAGTGAGCATGCGCCATGTTTTAGGAAGTCGTACACGTGCCCACCAGAGGCTTTCTTCACTTTTTCAGTGGAGTGTGCCCGGATGATCATATTTTTGTGTCTTAATGTGTATGTTTCTTCTTCTTGGGATGGGCTTTAATTAACACTTTAATGTTAACAGGTGTGGATCATCAGGAAATGGCATCTCCCTGGCTCTGGCTGCCAATGTATCACTTTTAGAGAGGCAATTTGATAATTGCCAAACCGTTACCTGACATTCCTAGTGGGTGGGGGAAGAGGCTTCTCCTGCACTGCTCATGCCTAACCACCTGGAACAGATGGACTTTCCTTTTTAAGAATAGAAGCAGAAGACTTTCTAAATTGCTTATAAGAAAAAATAAACAGAAAGAACCAGGGGTAAAACAACCAAGCTACTAAAACAATGAGGGTTAGTGAGACACAAAAGAACATCAGAAAAAAGAATACATTATTGCCATCATTTATACTTTCAAATTCTCTTGATGGAATGGCATAAATGCATTCTACTAAAGCATTCAGTCGACATAATGTCAGTTGACATTAAATGTCATTTAATTATTTTTACTGAAGAACTATGGTGTTCAAGTAAATAGCTGAAATGGCAGGGATTTTTGTCTTCCATGTTTTGAGATGTGTATTATAAACACTTTTCTGTCTAGCTTTTAATATTTTCCCTAAAGATAAATCTTCATTCTTTGATTCTTTCATTTCTCATGTGATTAAAAAAAAACTCCCTTAGGTTTATGTACACCCGTGTATTAGTTGGCATTTTTCTTACGAATTGCTAAACTTGGATAATATTGTATTAATTAAATGTATCTTCACAATTTATTGGTATCATTGAAAAGGTTGAAAGAGCATTTATGACTTCATTTTTCAACTTGGCAAGTGCAGGGGGAAAAGAGGTTGAGTGTCCTGAATTAAAGAGCACATTGATAAAGCCAAAACAAAGTCTTAGGTCCCAGAGATCCCAATTTCTTGCCAAAATAAGCCTTTAAATTTTGTTTCCGTCAGCATCATATCCAAGTTTTATTGAGCTGTTACATTTCATTTTCCCTGATGTAATCACTGCACAGAAATAAAGGAGCTCAGGACTGTTTTGCCATCTTCTAATTATGAACTGGTGCACTTTAATCTTCCGTTGTCAATCAGCCAGTTTCCATCAGGACTCCCATAATCTCACCATTTGCCTCCATTTCAAATTCTTTACTACTTTTCTTCAGTTTAATGAAAAACCTCATTGCCATCATCTCCATTCTCCTCAACCTCATCCCCACCTCATCAGAATGGATTTAGGGAGCTTCTCATGACACATTTCTAAACACCTCTTTATTCTGGGTGGTAATCAGACGCATAGGAATACTTTTTTATTTTTGTCTCGGTTCTGTCTTACTATCATGGTCAGACAGCAGATGTTCGAAACTGGATAGGTGGCCATGTAGCCTGAGGCCTGCCAAGTGGAACAACAGAGGCCCAGTGCCTTCCTAGAAGAATTCCTGATGGCCGAAGGGTGGGGTCAGGCTCAGTGTTGAAGGGGCACAGACGTCTCTGTACATCGCTAAAAAGAGCAGGTGGTGGACAGCTAGAGTGAGTGATGGGGACGTGTGCTGGACTGCTAACACATTCCTCCTAAGGAGACACTCGGGGTCTCACTATTTCACTCTGCCGTTTTGATTCTGTGATTCTGTTTTCAGTTCCTCAACAGTTAGTCATGGTTCAAGCCTTACACACTTAAAAGGTTGTTTCAGAACCCATACTACTAACTAGTTTTCAATTTTTGTCTGCAATTCTTTTGAAAGTGTTTGAGATAAATTTCTATACAGTGAAAAGCAGAGAATTTAGGTGTACAATTAGGTGAGTGTTGACAAATATATATAATCCTGTAACCACACTCCTACCAAGGCATGGAATATTTTCATTATTCTAGAAAGTTTATTTGTGGCTTTTTCTCCTTAATTGCTCCCAAGAGGCAACCCATGTTCTGATTTTTGCCACCATACACTAATTTTTGCTGTCCAAGAACTTTGTATAAATAGAACCATACAATGTGTGCTTCTGAATGTTTGGGTTCCTTTGCTGTATTCGATACTTTCACATGTATTTCTATATTTGACTAGTTTGTTCCACTCTATAGCACTATTGTTTGACTCATTTTGCTATCAATAGACCCCTGGATCATGTCCAGAATTTGGCAATAATGAATAAAGCTGTGTATATATTCTTATCTATATCATTTTAGGTGACATATATTTTTACTTTTACGGTTTTCCTCCACTGGTTAGAATCAGTGGAATAGAAATGATGAGGACAGATATCCTTTCTTCATTCCTGATCTTAGGAAAAAACGATTACATTTTATCCCATTAAGTATGATGCTAACTGTATTTTTGAAAAGTATGTTCATTGAGTAGAGGAAATTTCCTTTTATTCTTCGTTTGCTGAGACCTTTCATTATAAGTAAGACCTTTCATGAGTATTGATAAATGTTTTTCTTCATTTTAATTAATATAAACAGTATAGTTGATCTCATTTTGTTAATATGGTGAATTACACTGATATTCAGTTATTCTACCTTGCATTTCTGGGATAAGACACATTTGGTCGTGATGTATTGTCCTTTTCGTATATTTCTGGAATTTGTTTGTTCATATTTCGTTTTTATTTGCTTGTTTGTTTTTGGCCAATGTTCAAGACAGATATTAGTCTACAATTTTCATTTCTTGTAATGTCTTTGTCTGGTTGTTGTTAGTTAATACTGACATTATAAAATGAATTGGCATGGGTTTCCTTCTCTAAATTTTGGAATGTTACTAGTATTTATTTTTTAATGATTGGATTAATTTTTCAGTGAAACCATCCAGGCCTGGAATTTTCACTGTGGACAGGTTCTTGATAATGAGTTCAGTTTGTATAGTAGATAAAGGACTGTTCAGATTTTTTTTTTCATCTTTAGTCAGTTTTGGTAAGTTGCATTTTTCAGGAGATTTGACTGCTTCACTATGTTGTTAAATTTACTTTTTAATGAGTATAGGGTTTGTAATAATATCTTCTTTCTCATTATGATATTGGTAGTATGGGGTCTTTTTTGGCCTTTTTTTACCTTTAATCTACCAAACTCAGTATGTTGTTATTTTTCCAATTGTTTGCCTAATCTTTATTTCATTGTTTCTGATTTCATTTTTATAGTTTTTTTTTTCCTACTATTGACTTTGGCTTTAATATGTGCATCTTTTTCTAGCTTCTTGAAATGGAAACTTAGCTTTTTGATTCTAAACTTTTATTCAGTTTTCTAATATAAATATTCAAAGCTATCAATTTCCCTGTAAACATTGCTTTAGAAGTATTTCACAGATAGGACCTGTTGTACTTTGCATCATTTAGTTCAAAAGATTTTCTAATTTTCATTGTGATTTCTTCATTGTTCCATGGATGATTTAGAAGCATGTTGCTTAAATTACAAATGTTTGAGAACTTTCTAGATATTTTTTCTAATGTATTTCTATTCAATTTTATGGTGACTAAAGAAAATACTCTGTACAATTAAAAAAAGAAAGGTCCAGAATCCAGTCCAAGATCACTCACTGTTTAGTTCTCTCATGTAATGTTAATCTTTAATCTTGAATAATTTATTAGTCTTTGACGTTTTTGATGAATACAGGCTAGATATTGTGTTCACCAACTTTTAATTTGGGATAGTCAGATGTTTTCTAATGAGTATATTCAAGGTTATGTATTTGTTACTGAAATACTACAAAATAGGTGTTGTTTTTAGTACATTCTATCAGGAGGTATATGGTACTGAATTGTCCCTTTTCTACCAATGATAATTGTTATCATTTTTAAAGTTATATCTTCAATGTCTCTTGCTATAAGATATTGCTTTAACTTTGTGATTAATAAGTACCTTGAAGGGAGATACTCTGAGACTGAATTAATACACTTTTCCTCAAATGTTTCTTATACTAATTTTAGTAGCCATTGATGATTCTTGTCCAAATAAATTATCTTATGATGATTGTCAAATAGTGCTTTTCTAATTCAATCATTCTTTCTGAATTTATTCTTTGGGTTTCTACTGTGAGGAAAAGGTTTTGCTTTTCTGCTATTAAGTTATTTATTTCAATATGGAATTACATAATCTTAATTTCGAATATGGCTTTTAGCCAGTGGGAGCCCCTTAAATCTGATTTCTATGGTTTTTTACCTCTCCCCATCATTTTTCCATCACTTTAATTTTTGATTAACAAAATGCTCTACTCTCATTTTTTATTTCCCATTTCCAGCCCTGGAATTAGTATTTCCTCCAGTTCGCCTTGATTTCTTTTAGTGAGGATGGTGTTTGAAAGCCAAGGTTTGGGCACTAGATATGCCAATTGCTGCTAGATGTTATTGCTTTTAGTTCCTCTCAGCAGATAGGAACCAGAGCCAGGAAACAGACACACACACACACACACACACACACACACCATGATATCAATTGTAAATGTATATGTCAATATGTACATTTGTATCTATGCCCATTGATATGGTTTGACTGTGTCCCCAACCAAATCTCAACTTGAGTTGTCTCTCCCAGAATTCCCACATGCTGTGGGAGAGACCCAGGGGGAGGTAATTGAATCATGTTGGCCAGTCTTTCCCATGCTATTGTGGTGATAGTGAATAAGTCTCATGAGATCTGATGGGTGTGTCAGGAGTTTCCGCTTTTGTTTCTCCCTTATTTTTTCTTTTGCCGCCACCATGTAAGAAATGCCTTTTGCTTCCTGCCGTGATTCTAAGGCCTCCCTAGCCAAGTGGAACTGTAAGTTCAATTAAATCTCTTTTTGTTCCCAGTTTCAGATATGTCTTTATCAGCAGTTTGTATGAAAACAAACTAATACACTCATCTATTAACCCATAGATGTATATTGATACCTTCAGTTCCAATTTAATAAGAAAGATTTATTCTCACCTCCGTCCTCTCTTTATTACCCTGTTCTCATACTGCTATAAAGAGCTGACCGAGACTGGATAAATTACAAAGGAAAGATATTTAATTGGCTCACAGTTCCAAATGACTTGAGAAGCCTCAAAAGGAGTTTAGCTTTTATATTTTTATATTAGAAATATTTTTAATATTGTTATTATTTATACCATGTAGACATTCACCATAGGCCTGTAGTGGAGTGGGGGGAGTGGGGAGGGATATATAACATTATCCCAAATATATATATTTGGATATATATATATATATACTTGGGATATATATATATCCCAAATATGTAACATTAGGAGATATACCTAATGTTAAATGAAGAGTTAATGGGTGCAGCACACCAACATGGCACATGTATACGTATGTAACAAACCTGCATGTTGTGCACATGTACCCTAAAACTTAAAGTATAATAAAAAAAAGAATTCTCTATATATTCTGGATATCATTATTTCATCAGATAAATGTATTAAAGATATTTTCTATCTTGAATTTTTATTTTCTGAGCACTATCTATGAGGATCAGAAGCTTTACATTTGAATTAAGTCTAATGTATTTTTGTTGTTGAGTTGATTCTGTTATTGGTTTCATAGCATAGAAGTCTTCATGTATTCAGAGATTTTATTTCTGATGTTTTCTTCTACACATTTTATAGTTTTGGTTTTTGGACTTAGGTCTATGGTTTAGTTTATATTCACTTTTGTCAAATATCAATTGTCCACAGATGTGTGGGTCTATTTCAGGACTTTTTAATGTTTTCCAATGGCCTATGTGGACATAATGCAAAATTGCCTTGATTCCCAGGAAAGGTGACGTAACATATATAATTATTTACAGATGTCCCCACTTCATAGTGGCGACTTCTCATGAAATGGATCCACCTGAAAGACTAGAAATCAACCTGGTCACTCAGTAGTCAGTCACTGGACTGTCAGGTTTATGTATTACCTAAAGTACCCTGGACACTTCATTCCCAATTCCCATAGTAATTTGTACCCTACTTTGTTAAATTTATTTTTTCAGTACATTTTAAAAAGGGCCAGAAAGTGTTGGAATTAAAAAGGATAGTGCGTCTTTAGTTAACACACAAGGGAAGTAGAGCAAATTCTGACTCTGCTACTCACTGACTTTGTGAACTAAGTGAGTTATCTATCTACCCTGAGCCTCAGTTTCCTTATTTGGAAAGTAGGGACAATAATAATATATACACTATTTGGTATCTACTATCATATGATATCTACCCCACACTGAAATATTATATATAAAACACTGAGTACACATCAGTGGTATATAATGATAACATAATTTTTAATAAATTTGTATGACCAATATTTTTATTCTTTTACAACTCAAACATTGTGTCTTTTGAAAAACTTCCCAGTACCTTAAAGTAGCACCTCTGTGACATGTGCAAGGAGAAATACTCACATACATCATCTTGGGGTGTTCACTGAACCACCTTTAAAATAATCCCTTTTTATGCTTTCAGACATATCAAATTAACTTGGTGTCTGTAACATCTTAATTAGTTCTGCATTGAAAATCCAACTTTAGATTTCACAGTGGAAATGTAACTCATGGAGAGAAATTGATATTTACACGCTCAGAGTTAAGCAAAACCAGGTTTCATATTACCAGGCCCATCAATTTAGTGCTAAGACCAAGAGATCTCTGCTAATCACTGTTGCCCTTTTAATTGATAATGGCAACTAAAGTTAATGATTCTCAGCTTTTCAAACAAACCGCTGCCTTTTTTTCTGAGTAATTTCTTGATGCACAGTAAATGGCTAGCAAAATTCCATGCATTTGATTTGAAAGACAATGGGATTATGTGCACGTGATTTATTTAAAAAGAAATCATTACTATCAAAACATTTTCATGAATCAGAAAAAAAAGGTTTTTTTGTGGGAAAGAATAAACATTTATATTGACTAGAACATTTTTTAATTTACATCAACAATAAACTAATTTTTATTTGTTTTTACTCTACTGGCTGGATTAGCCTGCAATTTCAACTAATGGTCTACTAACTTTATAGAGACTAGTAAACCCTGTGCTTAATTAACACTGTCTTTGATCTTGCCAATAGTAACTTTATATCACAGAAACATGCCAAATAATTTCAGGGCCTTTAATTCCTGGAGAAATGACCTAAGAACATATTATAATAGATGAATTTAGAAAAATTAAGAATGTTGTCCAAAAAATAAATTTTTCAAAAGGCCTGACTTCTAGGAAAGTGTAGTATTGATTGTACAACAGATACCAGTATTTCTTCAGCTCTAGGTCACATTATCCACTCACATATTGGCATTCTGGTTTCTAGATCAATCTCTCAGGAATTGGCCATAATGAATCATTTTGATAACCTGGGAATAGGCAGATAAAAAACAGTCTGGACTTCCTATCCTGCAACAAACAGTGGGGGATCCTGGGCTGTGAAATCTGTGCTAAAATTATAATCAATTCACTCCCCTGTAGGGTTTGCTTTGTCTGAGTTTCTGCCAGGGCTGCCCTCTCCAAGGAGTTGCAAGGTTTTCAGCAGAAAGGCCTGTGAGGTTTCCTTCATGGAGACGCTCCTGTCCCTGATGACTGCAGGTTGTTCCTTGAAGAGCTGTATTTACTTTGTCTGTAAGAATAGATATCACACAGTTTACTTGCAGTAAGAGATTCAGACTTAGCATACGCAACCAAATACTCTTGAGGAAAAGATTTATTGTTTGTCCTCATTTTGCTCACCAAGATCTGAGATTCATCCTTCTTAAATTCCTTAAGCTATTCACTGTTTACTAAACTTTCACCTTGTGGAGAATGATATAACTTTTAGATGAATGTGTTCATCTCAAGTCCAAAGGGCATTATAGGCCCAGATACTTGGGAGGCTGAGGCAGGAGAATCACTTGAATCTGGGAGGCAGAGATTGCAGTGAGCCAAGATCGGGCCACTGCACTCCATCCTGGGCAACAGAGCAAGAGTCTCTCTAAAAAAATAAATACATAAATAAATAAATAAACACCACAAAAGTAGTTTTTTTTAATTCCAAAATAGGAATTTTCTATGCCAATGTTCATTGGCAGGATGAAGCTGCTTTGGGGGTGATGATCCATGAAAATCCTGAGGGCAGGCATGTGGAATTTTATTTTAAAACCTCCTTATTCATTAGCGTGACCATTATTCAGGCCTGCAGAGCCCTCCAGTATCCGATTCCTGCTCCTCTCCTAGACTTCTTGTCAATCACTCCCAAGTTCTCAGATTTTCTTTCAGCTTCATAGAGCTCTTTATAGAAACTGCAATCTAGGACTAGCAATTCTGTATTATGATTTCATGGGGTGCCATGTATTATCATCATAAAACAAATCATCATCCTCATCACTGTTATCTACTGAATGCTTGTGCTCCCACCAATGATGCATGTTGAAAAGACCATTGTGATGGTGTTGCGCAGTGGGGATTTCTGAGAAGTGATCAGATCTTGAGGATAGAACCCTCAGGAATAGGACTTGTGCCCTTATAAATAAAGACCCTGGAGAGCCCTCTTGCCCTCTTTCCACCATATGAAGACACAGTGGTATGTCAGCTGCCTCCAACCCAGAAAAGGGTCACCCCAGACCCCAACCATGCTGGCACCTTGATCTTGAACATCCAGCTCCCAGAGCTGTGAGGAATAAACTTCTGTTGTTTATAAGCCACTCTACCTATAGTATTTTGAGAGCAGTCTAAGCTGACTAAGACATGACTTAATGGAATGCAAAGCTTTATCATTAAAAAAATTAAAAATTGTTCATTTAAAAAAATAATCCGGGGATTATCAATAGGAAAGAGTGTAAGAGCATGTGTCAGAGAAATAGGAGCAGCTACAACAAATACACCCCAAGGTGTCCACGGTGCAGCACAACAGGAATTTCTGCTCACTCATCTGAAGTCCATGGTGGATTGTCCTAGTCAGACCACAGTGATTTAGAGTCTGAGACTCCTTCAATCTTGCACTTTTACTACCACCAAGAGCCTCACCACCAACCAAAGAAGAAAGACAGGGTGAAGAATACATCTCAACTTTTTATTGCCTTGCTTGTCACTGACAAATATGCTTCTGCTCGTGGGCATGGTGGCAAGAACTATGCTTATGTCCTTCCCTGGATGCAGAGAAGAGGGGCTGGGAACTGTCACCCCTGGCTACTGCCAGTGCTTTCCTGTGACAAGTCTACATTATGGGAAGAGGCATTTGAATGTTGGTAGTGTCCATTTTGTCATCCTGTAGCAGAGATATCTGTTTGCACTCTTCTTCCCATGCAGAGTATTCTAAACCATCCCCCAGAAAGACAACCCAATGTCCTACCCAGTCAGTACATGGAGCTGAAGGTCTAAGACCTCTGGTTGATGATCAGTACTCCCCACAAGACCCAACTGTGGCTTCTCAGCATCTAGAAATCAATATCCCGGTAGACAAGTTGTCCGTGCCTTCCATCCAACAGCAGTGCTGTGGGATGGGGACAGGTTAATTGCAACACAGTCTCAAGGACAGAAAAGAATAAAGAGAGAACACCACACACTGGGGACTATTGGAAGGTGGAGGCTGGGAGGAGAGAGAGAATCAGGAGAAATAACTAATGGGTACTAGGCTTAATACCTGGGTGACCAATTAATCTTTACAACAACCCCCCACCCCCGACACAAATTTACCTATATAACAAACCTGCACATCTACCCCTGAACTTAAAAGTTTTTTTAAAAAACTTAAAAACAATTAGAAAACAATATGATTTAAAAAATAAAAATATAGAGAATAAAAAGAGGAAGACAAGTGCACTCCTGGTCCACAGCATTTAAGAACTAATGCTATATATGCTTGTCAAAACTCACTAAATTCTGTAATAAAAGGGTGAATTTTACCCTATGTAGATTATACCTTAATTTTTAATTTGTACACCTTAATTTTTAGAATTTTATATCTTAATTCTTAAAACTGGGGAGGGAAGAACTAAAACAGGGATAGAGAACTCTTTATTGGCATGGAAATCTATAGGTATGTCTTACTTCCAGGGAGTCAATTAACATTTTTATTGTTTTTATATATAGCAGTTAGGCCATCTCCTCTACTATGTGGACTTTGGTTTTTGCTCTGAGATGGGAAATCACTGGGGCATTTGGAGTAATGGAGGAGTGTGGGCACACCTGTTTTAACCCATTGGGTGCTGGACTGAGACCAAAGGGCAGTGGTAAGAGAGCAGCTGACAGGATCCTGCACCAGCCCCGGGGGTCACCGCAACCCACCTGGACCCAGTGTGTTTTATAATGATAAGGAGTTGGGATGTTTGCTCACTTACCCATCTTCCAACTCTAAATTTCAGCAAATAAATGCATCCCTGGTTGTGTCCACTTTATCTTTATTGATACCATTTGGTCTTTCTATTTGCAGATTAATTTATGAAGATGCTTAGGGAAGAAAAGACTAAAAGAATGGCTTGAACAGATGTGCACTGAATCAATGAAATGCATTTATTCTGAAAGAGATCATAGACATATTTTGCTTCATTTATGGCGTCTACTCATTTCCTAATTCACATGAGAAATTTGAACACTAGAGTTGTTTTGATTTTCACACAGATAGCAGATTGCAAGGAAGTGAGTGATAGACTTTTTCCTTACTGCTATATATAAAAATATAAAAAACTAAATTGACTTATTGGAAGTAAGACAATACATGTATAGATCCCCTTGTCAATGAACATTTCTCTATCCCTGTTTTATGTTTCTTTCTACCCCCCTAATTAAAAAAAATTAAGGTCTAAAATTTTAAAAATTAAGGTATAATTTACATAGCATGAAATTCACCTTTTTTAGTACAGAATTTAGTGAATTTTGGCAAAGATATACAGGCATACTACTACTACAATAAATCTCTTGAACAGTTCCATTATTCTAAAATATTTCCCTGTGCCCCCTGGGGTCAACCCTTCACCCAGCCCGCAGCCCCTGCCAACCACTGACTGATCTGTTTTCTGTCTCTATAGTTTACTTTTTCAAGAATAATTCAGCATTTAGCTGACATGTGGATTTTTCTTTTCACTTTGTAAGTTTTTGCTTCATTTATTTTCAATCTCTGTTTTAAGATTCACCTATTTGTCCATGTGTTATTTTTGTAAACGGGCCTTATATTTTAGAAGAGTTTTAGGTTTGCAGCAAAATTGAGTGGCAGATACAAGCTCTCTTATGTCCCCCACCCTCACACAAGCAGCCTCCCTCTCTATCAACCACCCTGTCCACAGCCATAGCTCTGTTACATCCGATGACCCTATACTGACACATTGTTATCACCCAAAGTCCGGAGTTCACTCCTGGTGCTGTACATATTCTATGGCAGCAGTCCTAAAACTTTTTGGCGGGACCAGTTTTGTGGAAGACAATTTTTTCATGGACCAATAGGGTGGGGGGATGGTTTGGGGATGACTCAAGTGCATTACATTTATTGTGCACTGTATTTCTATCATTTCTATGTTATGATATATATTAAAATAATTATACAACTCACCATATTGTAGAATCAGTGGCAGCCCTGATCTTGTTTTCCTGAAACTAGACAGTTCCATCTGGAGGTGATAGGAGACAGTGACAGATCATTAGGCACTAGATTCTCATAAGGAGCACATGACCTAGATCCCTTGCATGGGCAGTTCGCAATAGGGTTAGTGTTCCAATGAGAATCTAATGCTGCAGCTCCTCTGACAGGAGGAGGAGCTCAGGTGGTAATACCAGCGATGGGGAGCGGCTATAAATACAGATGAGTCTTTGCTTGCTCGCCACTCACCTTCTGCTGTGCTGCCTGGTTCCTAACAGGTATTGGTTCATGTCCCAGGGGTTGGTGACCCCTGTTCTATGAGTTTTGAGCAACAATGGCATTATAGACCCTTAGAGCTTCATATAGAAGAGTTCCACTGGTCCCAAATCCTCTGTGCCCTACCTGTGCATTCCCTTCTCCCCTGCTCACCCCATCACCTGGCAACCAGGGATTCTTTCACTATCTCCACAGTTTTTCCTTTTCCAGAGTGTCATATACAGCCATGTGCTGCATAATGATGTTTTGGTCAATCATAGACTACATACACTACAGTGGTCCCATAAGATTATAATGGAGCTGGAAAATTTTTATCACCCAGTGATGTCTTGATGATCCTGATCCTGAGTAGGCCTAGGCTATAATGTGTGTTTGTGTCTTAGTTTTTAAAAAAAAAGCTTAAAAAATAAAACATATCAATAAAAAACTTAAAAATAGAAAAAAGCTTATAGAATAAGTGTATAAAGAATTCTTTTTACATCCCTACAATGTTTCTGTTTTCAGCTGTGTTATTACAAAAGAGTATAAAAGTTTAAAAAATTAAAGCATATGTAAAGGAAAAACATTACAGTAAGCTAAGGCTAAATTATTATTGAAGAAAAATTTTTAAATACATTTATTGTAGCCTACTTGTGCAGTGTTTTAAATCTATAGTAGTGTACACCAATGTTCTAGGCATTCACATTCACTCACCACTCACTCACTGACTCACCCAGAGCAACATTCAGTCCTGCAAGCTCCTTCGTGATAAGTGCCTTGTATAGATGAACCATGTTTTAGATTTTATACCATATTTTTACTGTAACTTTTCTATGTTTAGATACAAAAATGCTTATCATCATGTTACAATTGCCTCCAGTATTCAGTACAGTCACATGCTGCACAGGTTTGTGGCCTAAGAGCAATAGGCTACTCCATAGAGCTAAGTGCTTAATACGCTGCACCACCTAGGTTTGTTTAAGTACACTCTGTGATGTTCACACAGTGACAAAATCAGATATTGATGCATTTCTCAGAATGTTTCCCCATTGTTAAATGACACATGACTGTATTTGAAATCACACAGTATATAGCCTTTCCAGCTTGGCTTCTTTCCCTTCATAAGATAAATTGAAAGTTCTTTGATGTCTTTACATGGCTTGATAGCTTATTTCTTTTTAGCACTGAATAATATGCCATGATGTGGATGTATTACAGTTTATTTATCCATTCACCTACTGAAGGACACCT